>NC_000011.10:107475454-107778485 GCF_000001405.40 Homo sapiens
GTCAGGCACCCTTTCAGGTCCCCTAAGAAGCATTTTACAACCTGCCGTCTCTCTAAATCTGCAATCTGAGAGCTTCCTCTGCACAATAAAACTTGGTCTCCACAACCCTTTATTTTAACCTGAACATTTCCCTTCTATTGATCCTAGGTTTTCAGATAAATTCAACCAATTGTCAACCAGAAAATGTTTAAATTCACCTACAGCCTGGAAGCCCCCGCTTTGAATTGTCCCACCTTTCTGAACCGAACCAATGTATTTCTTAAATGTATTTGATGGATGTCTCATGTCTCCCTAAAATACATAAAACCAAACCCCGACCACCTTGGGCACATGTTCCTAGGACCTCCTGAGGGCTGTGTCATGGGCCATGGTCACTCATATTTGGCTCAGAATAAATCTCATTAATTTTACAGAGTTTGGCTCTTTTCATCAACAGTCTTTATGACCTGTGTCTTGTGCTGACCTCCTATCTCATCCTGTGACTTAGAATGCCTTAACCTCTTGGGAATGCAGCCCAATAGGTCTCAGCCTTATTTTACCCAGCCCCTATTCAAGATGGAGTTGCTCTGGTTCAAATGCCTCTGACAAATCTGGCTTAACGGATGCTTTCGTTTCGCATCCCCACTCTGTGTGGTACACCTGCCTGATGAGTCTCTGGGTTTCTGGTTTTCCCTCACTGAGGTAAAACTGGCACTGAATTCTGGAACTGGAACCTAGTCCTGAGCCTCAGCTCAGTCAGAAAAGAACTTTAGGGTCTCCCTTTCCTCTTTCCTGGGTCTGGCTCCTGCTTTTGTGATCTTTCATATTATTTTGAATGGATTGCACAACCTACACTGTTCAAGTCTGATTCTGACCCCTACCAGATTCTTAGGAATGCCCGTTGGCATTTGGATATTGACACCTCCCCTAATCAGAACAGAACTGGTTAAACTTCCTTGATCTTGATGACTTAAGAGTGTTGTTTCTCCATCGGGGTGGTATTGACCTGTTCTTCCCACTCAGTGGGAACACTGGTGTGCTGTGTGGCTCAAGACAATTCATTCCACCCATCTCGATGATTTGAAACTCCTACCGTTTTGCCAGGTGAGGCTTTCACTGGTCTGGGACCTGGGTTGGCCGAGCCTACAATTAGCAGATTTTTAGTCCTCTAAGCAAGGAAAGCAGGAAATGACAAACTATGAATTTCTAATTTCTCACACTGAAAGTTCATTATGTTTTAAGCACCAATCAACTCTTAATTATCCACAGTAACGGGAGGGGTAATGGCATATTTCTATACAGCATTGTCCTAAATCACATATGCTTTAGAGCATAATCATTTTCACCAGAAGCACATTTACTTTGCTAGTTTTACTGTGCTTGTAATTTTATCAAAACGAGTCTGCTTTCTCTCAGCACTGTGCCTTATGATTCTAGGAGGAGACATCATGAAGTCCTGTTTGGTGGCAGAGGCCAGTCAGCCTTGGATTTGATATTTAGATTAGATGTTTGCTGTAGGAAAACTCCATGTATCTGTTGAAGAGTCCATCATTGTGACCACCTTAGAAATCATGTAACAAGATCATATGGTGAGACTGGTGGCGGGGAAATTGGGTATAATTTGGAGTGAGGTATTGAACATATGGATAGTTAGGCTCATCAAACACTAATAAGAGAACAATAGGCAGAAATGGAAAAAATGAGAAAATACATTTATTCAGTGACAACTCATTGCAATGTTCACATGTTTAGGGACCATGGTTGTTTACTTCATAGTGAGAATCATTTTATACTAAAAATAAAAGTTAGAAAAAGGAGGAGAATGAGAAGAGGATAGTAAGAGGGGTGGAGAGAGGGGAAAAGCTCACATATACTGAGTGTATCATCCATGCCAAGAACTGTGCTGAGCAATGTATGTGCATTAACTCTTTCAGTCCTTGTAACCACACTAGGAAGGCACCATCATCATCCTCATTTTACAGATGGGCAAGAAAGGCTCAAAGAAGTTAAGTTATATAAGAATCCAAGATAATCTGATTTCAACATTAATATTATTACCTAGTCTTTATTTTCGACTGCCTTCTACAATATTTTCTGCAAGTTATACAGAACAGTGATGTTATCTATAACTTGAATAGGACAACAACATCCAAGAAGAAAAATCATTTCTTCCAATGAGTGAACCGTTTTAACTTGGATAAAAGATGATTTGGGTGAGAAATGGAAGCTAAGGGTAGATGGTGAATAACATATTTATATTTCTTTCTCCATGTTAGTCCAGTCCTCAGTACTTACAACCATGTATCAAAGCAGATTAGTTTTTAAAAAGTGTCCCTGCTTGGGACTGAAGTGAGCTACATCTGAGGAAAAATGGTGTTATAGAAGGCAGGGTCTTTGGGAGTTTAGTTTATATTGTATAGTACACAATACAAATTAATAGAAATTATGGCATTATAAAAGTAGTTGCTCTATAAATGTAACTACTTTTATAACTCCATAATTTATAGTAGTTTATATTGTGTACTATAAATGAATAGGTGCTATATATCTCACAAAATAAATATCGTCATTCTGCAGTAAGTATGTAATCTAAAGAGCCAGCTCTCCAGGGGACAGGATATTAGTGGTACACATATGATCGGATGCCAGAAAGGTTGTAATGCAGAAGTTTGAGTACTACCACTTCTCTATGGTTTCTTATTTCCTTAATTTCTAGCTTATTTTTCATCATGACCAATCTTCTTAAAGAAAATGCAAAGATCTGAATAAGTTTCGTTATTTTCCTTTTACCTAATTTCTTATGGGACTGTTTTCCACAGACCACAAAAACCTATACAATTCACAGTGTCCATGTGTCCCTAGAAAATAAGTAGAATAAATTGAGTAAGAACAATCATATTCATTATTGTGAGATTCTGTGCCTGGACACCTCGTCCTGTTTGCTAGGATATAGCACATTTTCCCTTCAAAGTGCCTCAGCTCACATGGAGTAACTAAAAGGCAAAGTGAAAGCTCATGTTGCAGTGAGGATTTGTCTGATAACATCCTCTTGCTTTCATGAACAAGTTTCATTGCTAAAAAAAAAATAGCACTTACCAAAGCCGGGGGAACATGAAAAGTACAACATGGCCTGGTGTAGAATGATGTCTTCTCTGTATTTCCATCCCACAAGTCAGATTTCCAGAGCAGTATTTCTGGGATTATGATAGCCTGTTTTATTACACATTTTCCCTAAAGGTTAAAGTTTCCTACACCAGTCCTGTCCAATAGCACTTTAGGCAATGATGCAAATGTTCTGTATCTGCACTATCCAATATGGTAGTCACTAGTCACATGTGGCTTTTGAGCACTTGAAATATAACTAGAACAAGTGAGAAACTGAGTTATTAAGTTTAATTTTAATTAATTTAAATTTAAATAGCTACATGTGGCTAGTGGCTACCATACTGGAAAATGCCACCCCAGAAGAAAGAATAGCTTAAGAAATTGTCTATGCTAAAGAACTAATACACAGTCTTCTCCCTGCTTCCATAGCACTCATCACTGAAAGCCAGTGATAATGCCACTCATGGTGATCAGAACCAGGGAATGAAAATAGTTTGAGACTTCTTCCTGTCATTCAGTAAACTGTGGGAAACCAAGAACTGCAAAGCCCTAGGTATGTTTATGACCCAGGGATACTGTTTCATAAACAAAGGATTGGCTTACATAAAATGGGCCTCCTAAATGTTATTGTATTTACACATTGGGATTACTAACAGTTAGATACTATAAAAGTAAAATACTGAGACAAAATTCCCTTTTTGCACATATCAAAGTTTTATTCAACCCATTAATGAGAGAACCATCCAAAAGACAAGATCTCTACTTCCTAGAGTATGTGAACAGAGATTTATAGTCTGTTAGCAAAGAAATACTGAAATAAGATTCCTAAATTAGATACACATTGGTTAGTTTCCCACAGGGAAATACAGTTGTAACTTTTGGGGTTATTTTTCCTACCAGACCCACGAAGCAAAAAGAGACAGAGGTAGAAAGGAGGAAATGGTGGTACCTCGAACTCAGGAGAAACTGATACTGGATTTATCTTTCCCAATATCCAATGTCTCCTTCAAACATCTGGACTTCTCTCAAGGACACCAACTATTATCTTTTGCCCTTGCTCTTAGTTGTTAAAGCTTTTTTTTACAGAATTTTCATAACCACTGCTTTCTTTTCCTTCCCACTGATACCCCTACAAACTTCAGTTTCTTATCATCTCGTTGTGAAAGTCAGTTAAGCAAACAAAACTCTTCTGGAGTGTTTAAGATTCCAGAAAACTTCTCAAATCACTTTTCATATCTACTATAAGTTGTTCATTTAACACCACAAAGACAAATGGAACTCATAAATTGTGAATACTCTGCCCCTTTAAGAAAACTTTGTTTTTACATTTCTTAAATCAACTAATGCAATCTTAAAATCACCTTTAATTTTCACATTAAAAATTATTTTCTGAAGTATAATTATCTGAACAATGTTTAAGAAGGATTTGAAACAATTAAAAGGCACCAAAGGTATTTAATCTATTAGAAGCAAAGAAAGAAAGAAGGAAAAAACAGTAAACTATCACATTTTGGAGGACTAGAATTATCTTTTTAAGAAGTTACAGATCAATTATTATAGTGTAAAGGAACCAACAATACATTCACGGTGACGGCTTTCTTTAACCTTCAATCTAACTGTCAAGCAGTACTGTGCTTTGAAGCTAGCTGTACATCTTCCTTAAGGAAGTTCATTTTTCTGAGCTTAGCTTTTCTTTTTTTCTGATACAGTCTCGCTCTGTCGCCTGGGCTGGAGTGCAGTGGCGCGATCCCTGCTCACTGCAAGCTCCGCCTCCCGGGTTCAGCCATTCTCCTGCCTCAGCCTCCCGAGTAGCTGGGACTACAGGCGCCCGCCACCAAGCCCGGCTAGTTTTTTGTATTTTTAGTAGAGACAGGGTTTCACCGTGATAGCCAAGATGGTCTCGATCTCCTGACCTCGTGATCCGCCCGTTTCGGCCTCCCAAAGTGCTGGGATTACAGGCGTGAGCCACCACGCCTGGCCTCTGATCTTATTTTTTCTTAAGAGAGGCTTATATGCTTTTCTTTCACATCATTCATGGGCTACTCTGTCAGCCTCCTAAATGGTCTCCTGGAACCCAGTTTTGCCTTCTGTCCTTCCACCCCAAATCATTCTATATAGCACTACCTGATTAATCTGCCTGGATTGCTGATTTAATTTAAATTGGCCTGGGGTGTGGCCCAGACCTCTGTATTTTTGTATTTATTTATTTATTTAGAGACAGAGTTTCACTCTTGTTGCCCAGGCTGGAGTGCAATGGCACCGTCTTGGCTCACTGCAACCTCCACCTCCTGGGTTCAAGTGATTCTCCTGCCTCAGCCTCCCAAGTAGCTGGGATTACAGGCGCCTGCCACCACACCCAGCTAATTTTTGTATTTTTAGTAGAGGCGGGGTTTCACCATGTTGGCCAGGCTGGTCTGGAACTCCTGACCTCAAGTGATCCACCCACTTCAGCCTCCCAAAGTGCTTGGGATTACAGGAATGAGCCACCACGCCCGGCCTATTGATTTATTTAGACACAAAATAATTGTACATATTTATGGGGTACAGTGTGATGTTTCAATACATGTGACAGACTGCTCTGTATTTTTAAAAGTCTTCCCAGGTGATCCTAATGTGTAGCAAGATGGAGAACCACTGTTCTAGTCAAACCAGACTTTGCTTTCACCTGTTTGTAATTCCCTCACCATTTACGCCTATTGAAATCCTTGCAGCCATAAAAAATGATGAGTTCATGTCCTTTGTAGGGACATGGATGAAATTCGAAATCATCATTCTCAGTAAACTATCACAAGAACAAAAAACCAAATACTGCATCTTCTCACTCATAGGTGGGAATTGAACAATGAGAACACATGGACACAGGAAGGGGAACATCACGCTCTGGGGACTGTTGTGGGGTGGGGGGAGGGGGGAGGGATAGCATTAGGAGATATACCTAATGCTAAACGACGAGTTAATGGGTGCAGCACACCAGCATGGCACATGTATACATATGTAACTAACCTGCACATTGTGCACATGTACCCTAAAACTTAAAGTATAATAATAATAAAATAAAATTTAAAAAAAGAAAAAAAGAAAAAGAAATCCTTAACCATTCTTCAAAGTCCAGCAAATGCCACCCCTTCTATGAAGTCTTCTCTGATTACTCTAGCCGAATGTTTTCACAGCTTTTTTCTAAATTCCTACATCAATTTGTTTCACATACATAATCTCTTATTGTTATAGCAATTAATTATCATTTACTTAGATATTTACAGTGTTCAAAGGTTTTCCATAAATTTGTCTTCTAATCTATATTTTCTGTGCAATGGAGGCTTTATCACTCCCAAGTTATAACGAGGAAACTCTGGCTCAAAGAGTGTATGTGAGTTTCTTTTCCAAGCCCACACAGTTAGTAAATTACAAAGATGCAGACTGAGCCTGGGTCTCCTGACCTCTGCTAGCTTGTTGTTGGAAATATTTAAAACAAAAACAAATCCCCTTTCACCACCATTAGAGCTCATAAAAATTACCTAGGAAGCCTGTCAAATGCATACACCTGGGTGGCAGCCTCAACGAGTCTTTTGGTTCACTCTAGCCAAACCGACCTAGATGCCTGATTTTCATCAGGCACTGCCAAGTAATTCTCATGCAGGTGATTTTGAGAAATACTACGCTAGGTGATTACACACCATATGGAGATTGTAGGAAAACCTCCAAAGGGCCATTTTACCCATATAAAATGATAATTCAAAAATAATTAAGAATTAGTGGTGGGAAAAACATTTTTCAGCCAGTATAGATCACAGACTTGTGCCCAGGGCACTTTCTTTTTAATTGTGAAAGTTGCTTCTTTAAAACCACATCTGTTGGTTTTCCAGATGAGCAGGTAGCAGGTTGACCAGAAGTATGCTCAGTGGTCACTGCAAACCTCCTCCTTCTGAATTGTGGCAGGTGCACTTGCTTTGTGTTTCTCCTCTGGGAAGCAGAGAGGTCACTTGTAGCACTTCTCATTTCAGAAGGCTTTTGGAGGAACTCATTTGGCTCAGAGTTTTCAAACCAAATCTGCCTCATAAGAGACTCTGCTGACATTGTGTTCCATTGACAAGGGCAATGATCTAAGGCCACCTGGAAAAAAATCTCCGCCCAGATTAGAGAAGTACCATTTGTTTCCATGGAAAGAGGTTGAAGTACTTTAAATTATTCACAATTTTACAACCTTGACACTGAAGAAGATATCATTATAGTGCCACCCAGGATAAAAACTGCCATTTTCCATTTGGCATGAATTTTCTTCTGTAGGTCAAATCTGTTCACAATATCTGGCTTATATAGGGGAACTTTGTGTAGTCCAAGAAGATTATTCAGATGCATTCATTTCTCAAGCAGAATATGTTTAAAAGGCTGTTCTATAACTGGAAGTACATAGATTTTTCATTCCTTAAGGGAATCTTTACTCGCCTATGTCACATTGTGTAGAGAGAGGGCACAACGCTGCTTTAAACAAGCCCTTCAGACTAGCTGAACTGAATTTTAAAATAGATGCTCTCTATTCTCTTGATCACTACTTAACTTTGGATTCCAAAGAACTTCTGTCTTTTCTCCTCCCACCCCTTCAGAATCCTCTGTTCTCTAAGGAAGGTCTGAAGAATCTAGCCAGTAATAATAATAATAATACCTAGCATAACCCTATAGGATAATTATAGTGGTAAGTTACCTCTTGCTGTGTGTTTCTCTCTGAAAAATATTTTCTCCATTCTCAGGATGGTATGCAGGCCTTTTTGCTTCTTGGAAAGAAAAGAAGGAAACTAATTAACTTTTGGGTTTTGGGGGGCTAAAAGGAGGAGTCATCAGTTAGGTGTACGGAAATCCACCCTACACCTTTCTCACCCTGCTCTGTGCCGTGGGAAGCTGACCTTTACCGACGGCATCAGCTGGGCTCCTTTGTTTCCTGATTTCCTCGTGGGTTCAGCCAGTGAGAGACAGAGGCAGAGGCTGAGAGTAGGATAAAAAGGAAGTAGGGGTATTTATTCCTGTAGGCCCTCAGGTTAAACTGTCTGTGTTCTGTTATCAAAGGCCACAGCTCTTGTCAAATAGCTCTTTTTCCTTCAGCCATCATCTTATGGTTCCAATAACTATCCACTTCTGCTGGCCTTATCGCTTCATGTTTAGAAAGAGAAATGGCTCCCAGCTGTCAATAGTTGTGGGGTACTTCCACTTCCTTCTGATGGTTTTAATTAACTTTGCCCACACTTTAAAAATTTTTAAAATTTCAATAGCTTTATATGTACAACTGGTTTTTTGTTACATGGATGAATTGTATAGTGGTGAAGATTTCAGTGTACTCATCACCCAAATAGTGTACATTGTACCCAACAGGTAATTTTTCATCCCTCACCCCCAACCTCCTCTTTGAGTTTCTAATGTCTATCATTCCATTCTGTAAGCCCCTGCATACCCATAGCTTAGCTCCTACTTATAAGTGAGAACATAACGGTATTTGTTTTTCTGTTCCTGAGTTACTTCACTTAGGATAATAGCCTCCAGTTCCACCCAAGTTGCTGCAGAAGACATTATTTTGTTCTTTTTCATAGTTGAGTAATATTCCATGGTGTGGGTGTGGGTGTGTGTGTGTATATGTGACATTTTCTTTATCCACTCATCAATTGATGGGCACTTAGATTGACTCCATATCTTTGCAATTGCGAATTGTGCTGTGATAAGCATATGAGTGCAGGTGTCTTTTTGATATAATGACTTCTTTTCCTTTCGGTAGATACCCAAAAGTAGGATTGTTGGATCAAATGATAGATGTACTTTAAGTTCTCTGAGAAATCTCCACAGAGGGAGTACTAACTTACATTCCTACCAACAGTGTGTAAGTGTTCCCTTTCTACTGCATCTACTTGCCCACAATTTTGTAAATATTCCTTTCATTACACTCTCCCGTATTCCCTAATTTGAATATGCCATCTGTGCTATTAGCTGGGACCCTGACTTATGTAGAGAGCAATGCTTAAACAGGCCATGTTAAATGATATTGGACTTCCTAGTAATCTTGGTGTATGGAAGCTAGGGGTGACTTTAATTAAATTTGGACAGTAAAGAGAGTTCACAAATAAGATAATAAATAAGGCAGATCTGATCTAGATTTCTACACCCAAAATAAATACCTTTTCTTCAAATGTTCAAACATTCACAAAAACTAAAAATATATTAGGCTGCAAACCAAGCCTCAATAAATTATAAAAAGTAGAAACAACATAGACAACATTCTCTGATTACAAATGCAATAAGATTAGAAACTCATACAAAATAAAAGTTTGCACTATAACTGAAAATTTTCAAGCTCTCACACGGAAGTAATTCTTTGATCAAAAACAAAACAGAGGCCAGGCACAGTGGCTCACATCTGTAATTCCAGCACTTTGGGAAGCCAAAGCCGGAGGATCCCTTGAACCTGGGAGTTCAAGTTCAGCGTGGGCAACATAGCAAGACCCTGACTCTACATGAAATTTTAAGAATTAGCCAAGCATGGTGGTGCACACCTGTAATACTAGCTATTCTGGAGGCTGAGGCAGGAGGATTGCTTAAGTCCAGGAGATCAAGGCTGCAGCGAGCTATGATCACACTACTGCACTCCAGCCTGGGTGACTGAGTGAGACCCATCTCTAAAACTAAATGGAAGTTGCCAAATTTTTAAAAATCAGTCATGATGAAAACAGAACATTATCAGAACCTAAAGAAGAACTTAGAGGAAAGCTGAATACTTTTATCTATATAAAGGAAAAATAAAAGTAAATAAATTAAGCTTAAAAAGGAAAGCAGTAGGAAGGATATCAATGAGTTAGAAAATAGAAAAAACAGTATTAAGAAATTAATAGCTAATTTATTGGGGGAAAGTTAGAAAAACTACTAACTGAATCAAAGAAATGATAAGAAAAAGTAACAACAGGCCGGGCGCGGTGGCTCACGCCTATAATCCCAGCACTTTGGGAGGCCGAGGCGGGCGGATCATGAGGTCAGGAGATGGAGACCATCCTGGCTAACACGGTGAACCCCCGTCTCTACTAAAAATACAAAAAAAAATTAGCCAGGCGAGGTGGCGGGCACCTGTAGTCCCAGCTACGCGGGAGGCTGAGGCAGGAGAATAGCGTGAACCCCAGGGGGCGGAGCCTGTAGTGAGCCGAGATCGCGCCACTGCACTCCAGCCTGGGTGAAAGAGCGAGACTCCATCTCAAAAAAAAAAAAATAAATAAAAATAAATAACAACAGGAAAAGAAACCAAAACTATCCATAGGCCACTTTGCTCAACTCTGTGCAAATAATTATATAAATCTGGGTAAAAGGAATAATATTCAAGATATAGTGTCTGGCCCCAGAAGAGGCAGAAAGTATATTTCCACAGAAGAAACAGAGAATTGATCAAAGAGCTAATCCCTACCCAACGGAAAAAAAAAATGGTTTTAATAAAAACAGATGCAAATTGCTTCTTCTTTTTCTTTTTCTTACTTACTTTTTTTTTTTTTTTTTGAGATGCAGTCTCACTCTGTTGACCAGGCTGGAGTGCAATGGCACCATCTCAGCTCACTGCAACCTCCGTCTCCTGAATTCAAGTAATTCCCTGCCTCAGCCTCCCGAGTAGCTGGGATAACAGGCAGACACCACCACGCCTGGCTAATTTTTGTATTTTTAGTAGAGACAGGGTTTTGCCATGTTGGCTGGTCTCCAACTCGTGGTCTCCAGTGATTGCCCACCTCGGCCTCCCAAAGCGCTGGGATTACAGGTGTGAGCCATTGCGCCTGTCCTCAAATTGCTTCTTGAAAGAATTCCAACAATTCCATTTAAGGATCAGACCATTCTAAGGCCAGTTATCTTAGAGCTCAAGGAGTGGAGTGGAGGGAAGTAGATGGGTGGAGAGAAAACTTCCACATTATTTATAAAGAGAGTATAACATTGACACCAAAACCTCACATGGACTGCAGATAAAAGAAAACTACAAACACTTCCCATTTATGAATATCTATGCAAAAATCCTGATTAAAATATTAGCCTATTAAAAGAAAAAACACATCACTACAGGTGGAGCTTACCTGAAAAATTTTTAAATGACTTAATATTAAAATATATATTAATATAATTTATCAGATTACAGATACAAGGAAAATAATTACACTTATGTCCTCGGGTGCTCAAATAGCATTTAAAAAAATTAATAAGATACTTCCTTTAAAAAAATGCAATAAAATAGAAATAGACTAGATGTTATAATAAAAGTTTAGTCATTTCAGCCCCAAAACAAGCAGCATGCTTTCTGAAAATCACTACAATTATTTCCACTCGAGTAGAAATAAGACAAAAATAATCACTGCGTCCACTATTATTTACATTGTCTTGGGAGTACTGGCTAACACAAATAGGCAAGAGAAAGTAGTCATAGAAACTGTAAATGAGGAGTTAAAGCTATCCTATTTGCATATGATATGACTGGGTGTGTGCAAATATCAAAAGAATTCATTGGAAATCACAATTGGAAGATACACAATTGGTACGTAGAAATTAAAGATAGGTTTAGGGTTAGGGTTCACGAAAAGATGAACACATATAAATACACAAAAAAAATGACTAGTTAAAATACATCCTATGTCCTTGGATTAGAGGACTCAACATCATAAAAATTTCAGTTTTTCCTAAATTAGTATATAATTTACTATAATCCCAATTAAAATACCAAGAGGGTTTTTAAATTACATAAGATGATTAAAAAGTTCACATCTTAACCCAAAACAGACAGACAGGAAACTGAGTAAGAGTAATTGGAGGGAAGACAGGGATGTGACTAGGCTTGGCAGATACTATAAATCTTTAACAATTAAAACAGTATGGAACTGGTACTTGAGTAGACAGAGAAATAATGAAAGAAATTAGAAAGCACAGAAATATTCCAAATATATATAGAAGATTAATATATGGTAAGTACAGCATTTTCAATCAGTGAGACAAATATGGGCTTTTTAACAAATGGTATTGGGTCAACTGAGTAGCCATCTAGGAGAAATGAATAAATTTGATTCTTACATTATACTATAAACTAAGGCAAATTCCAAATGGCTCAAATATTTAAATATAAAAAATAAAGCCAAAAAATTACTAGCATGAGGTGGGAGCATGGGAGAAGACACAAGGCAATTCCTTATTTTCTTAGAGTGGGAAAGATCTAAATTTGATTAAAAATCTAGAAGCACTAAAGATTGACACCAAAGTCACATATGTGGCTAATTATATCATAAGCAAAGAAAAAAGGAAAAAGAAGAAACTGGAAAAAAAAAACATTTGCAAGTCATCTCACAAAAGACTAACCCCTAAAAATCAACAGAGAAAAAGCTTAATCATAGAAAAACAGTCAAAGGTGCAAATTAACAATTCACAGAAGAGGATTTATAAATAGCTTAACACATGAAAATATGTTCAACCTTACTCATAAGAGAAATGCAAATTAATATACTCTGAGCTATGATTTTCCACCTTTTAAATTGGCAAAAAAATCCAAAATCTTAATAACAAATTCAGATGGGAAAGTATTTTCATATATTGCTAGCAGGATTATAAATTGTTATTAATGATTTGATGGGCAATATGAAAACAATAAACCAATTTACAAGTGCACATTTTCTTTGACCCAGCAATCCCATGCAGTAGAGTTTTTCTTACAGATATACTACTGATGTACATACAAATTTTTAATGTATATACTTTTTTTGTAATAGCTAAAGATTGGGGTATTTGTTGTCTATTGCTGCATAACAAGTTACTCCAAAACTTAGCAGCTTAAAACAACATATATGTATTATCTCAGTCTCTGTGGGTCAAGAATCTGGGCACAAATTAGCTGGTTTCTCTGCTTCACTGTCCCTCACAAGGCTGCCATCAAGGTATCAAATCCAGGTCTGCAGTCTCATCTGAAGCCTCGAATGGGGAAGACTCTGCTCCCAAGCTCATTCAGTGGTTATTGGCAGCATTCATTTCCTCAAGGGCTGTTAGACTAAGGGCCTCAGTGCCTCACTGACTGTTGGTGAGAGGTTGCCTTCAGTTCCTTTCCATGTAGCCTCTCCCAAGTGACAGCTGACACTATCAAACATGCAAGCCAAGAAGGAAATAGAGAGTTGGCTAGCAAGACAGAGTCAATCTTTTGTAATCTAATCATGGAAATGACATCCCATCACTGTTACTGTATTGTGTTTATCAGAAGCAAGTCTGTAGATCTAGCCCACATTAAAAGGAAAAGAATTACACAAGGGCAGAAATACCAGAAGGCAGAGATTACTGGGAGCCATCTCCTATCACAGTTGGAGACAGCAACATGTTGGAAACTGGGCATATAGGTGATGGGTATCGAAGAGGTAATTCACTTACATGGTTCAAAAGTTATAAGATAATGAAAAGATCTTCAGCAAAAAGCTACTCAGTGTTGTAGGCATTAAATATCTTTTTGCATTTTCAAAAGTTTGAACCATGTAAATATATTAATAAAATTTTTAAAATAAAATGCATCTATTTTTGGTGTAGGCTTATTATTCTGCAGGAATTCTCTGACTTTTATTCTCTTCCGGCAAATCTCATTTATTTATTTGGAGCACTTATCAGACTTTGCAAGTATATAATTGTTTGCAATATTAACTTGTTTATTGTTTGTCCCTCTCACAATACTTTAAGCTTCAGGAAGACAAGGGCCAGGTCTGTTTCATTCATCAATGTATTATCCAGTACAGGCACAATGCCTGGCACACAGTGGGCATTCAGTAATTACTTGTTGAATATTGAACAAACCAATGAATGATGCAAGCAATAAGAGTGAAAATGTATCCTTTTTTAAAATCCAGATGGCATGAGATAGTTGTTGTCCTGTCATTGTACCTCTATCATACCAGATTTTGATGTATTTTACACACCTATGATCTTCTTGGGAGGTGATTAAACTTGATACAAGAAATATAATAGATATCAAATGTATTAATACGACCTCAAGTTTTAGCTCTAATCTATTTAATTATGACATTCTTATGACATGTAATTATTGATCCCCTACTAGGTATCATCAGTACCCCTATTCTCAGGGAGTCTAAATTACAAAATAAAGAAGATATTCATATGCACAAATGAAAATAAGGTACAAAGGAATAAATATGAGCATTCTAATAAAATTCTTTGGAAATCAGAAGACAAAGAAATTGTTTCCATCTGGAAGGAATGAGAAAAGGCTTTATGAAGGGA
This sequence comes from Homo sapiens, assembly GCF_000001405.40. NCBI lineage: Eukaryota > Metazoa > Chordata > Mammalia > Primates > Hominidae > Homo > Homo sapiens. Next base: position 107,489,792 of record NC_000011.10, read on the forward strand.
ATAACATTTAAAGTGGGTCTTAAATAGTGGGTAAGACTCGAGGTTTGGAAAATAACAGAAAAGGACATCCTAGGAGCAAGGAGAACAAGATTCAGTAAATGATACAGGGAAAGTGTGAGGCATGTATGGGCAGAGGCAAATAATTTGGGATAAGGGAACCCTGGGTGTGAGGTGGGGAGCAGAGAGAATTGAGATTGGAGACATAGCAGATGATAGTTATAAAGTGTTATTTACACTTTGCGTTTTATTGGATTTTGGATTTCGTTACTAAGAATTAGAAGTCACTGACAGAGTTCAGTTAAGGAGAAACATCTCCAGATTTTATAAAGCTCATTTGTGCATCAGTGTAGAGAAAATCAGAAAGGTGAGCCTTGAGGCAAGGGAAAAATCAATACTTGAAATATTTAGGAGTAGGAGACAGCAGGGCAAGACAGCAGGGCAATTCACACTCCTAAATTTTGAGATATAGACTGTATGTGGTATGGAGTTCAGGGAAGGGAGAAATCAAAATAAGGGCTGGCGAGGCCTGGGAAGACCTTTGATTACCCAGTTATGAGGGCGTGCCTTCTGTGAGTCTTCAAGGAGCTGCCACTGCTGCTGCCTAAATCACAATTCTAGTGTTGTTATAGAGCTTTGCTTTGTATTCAAGTACAGATCAGGACTCCAAAACCTGGCTTGTTCCTTGTTACTAAAACGACTAAGTAATTACATAGTTTTAACTCTTCAAATAATACAGTATTTAGTTAGAGTGATCTAAGAAAAAGCAAAATGAATTGAATTTTTTTTTTTTTTTTTTTTTTTTTTGGGGACAGTCTCGCTCTGTCACCCAGGCTGGAGTGCAGTGGCGCGATCTCGGCTCACTGCAACTTCTGCCTCTCGGGTTCAAGTGATTCTTGTGCCTTGGCCTCGCAAGTAGCTGGGATTACAGGCATATGCAACCACGTCCTTCCAGAAATGTATTTTTGTAGTCAATTTAGCTATATGTCAGGTAACAGAGAATGTGTTAATTTGCTCAAGCAATTAAACCACATCCGAAACAGCAGCTGCAATTGGAGTCACCAACTGGTTAATTTTACAATAGCCCACTGTTACTCTCCAATATCCATCTGCTCTCTACTATACCCACCAAAAAAATGAGTTGCAATGGAATGTGGTGGGAATCACCACCCCTGCATCCTTCAAGAAGATGCACCCCTTCCTCTTCAAAGGTGGCCCTAATCTCTACAATCCCTCTGGGAATGTGGTACCGCTTTTGGCTTACTATTTTCATTAGAAAGGCATTCTAGTGGCTTCCTCTTGGCCTTTCCCACAATAACAGCTGACACTCCACAGGTTAGAGAACCAATGCAAGGATTCTGCCAATTGCTGAGTATGTCTATTCTAATTTTCATTTTGGAACTGGGGAGATAACCATGGTACAGTTTTGGGAACACACCGGACCTACTGTTTGAAGGACCTGAGCTAAAACTTCATTGATCACCTGACCTCCATAAGCCCCTACTCCACCTGAAGGGCCACAGTGACATTTTGGGTCTCCTAGAACTTGTTTTGGTTAACAGCCAGTGTCCAGTATTCCTCAAAAGTCTGGTTATTTCCTTTTTTTCCAATGCACAGTCACTCTGGTTGAAAGTCATAGGTCCCTTTGGGAAAGGCTGGAAGAAAGATTAACAGTATAAATTTTTGGCAGCGTAGCAGGGTCCTTCCTCAAGAGGACCAGACTTCCCCTTCATTCAAAGCGTTCTGGGTCTGTAAACTGGCTCAGGTCTGGGAATTGGTTGGGAAACTATGAAACTATAACGCCATGTTTTGATGGTTCAAGTTAGGCTTGACCTAGAACTCTTCTACTTATACAGATCAAGTAAGAAATTAGTAGATTATCATCTAATTCTCTTCTAGGGACACCATGATCAGCTAGCCAATATCACGGGTCTCTGGGATTCAGACTATTCTGATTTTTGCTTTGACACCACTATCTACTATGGTAACCACACCCACTTTGCCTTTAGTGATTTAAGTGCCACCAATTAACCCCTGCCACCCAAGGATCTAATTATCCCCATTGCATTTAGGGAAATGCTAATAGTTTGTTGGCAGCAATTTCCAAGTGTAATTTCACAGAAGAGTGACCACAGAGCTCTTCAGGGATGCTGGAGCATCCTCACAAATTTGAGATCTCCTTGGATATATCATGCCTTCAGCCCTATGCCTGCTGTCATCACTGTTTTGTGTGGCACTGAAGTCTCTCTGGCTGCTACTTGAAATCAAAGTAGCCCCTGTTGTTCTGCCTATCATTGTAGGCATTGCTCTTACTGCCGTGGGTATAGTGGTCCTGACCGGAAGATGCTTCCATATCATTTCTACCCGGCCAGAAAGCACCATGGTGCCAGTGCTGCAAGCCTGTATGGTGTTGGTTCATTTAAACTACTTTTTAGAAGAAATTTAGAACAACAGTGAAATCCTTGTTGTAGCCCAGCATCCATTGCTGTTCTAGTTAGTATAGCCCAAATTTCCTTTGGCAAACTTTCTCACCATTTTTTTTTTTTTTTTAGACAGAGTTTTCGCTCTTGTTGCCCAGGCTGAAGTACAATGGTGTGATCGTGGCTCACCGCCAACCTCTGCCCCCCAGGTACAAGCGATTCTCCTGCCTCAGCCTCCTGAGTAGCTGGGATTAAAGGCATGCGCCACCATGGCCAGCTAATTTTGTATTTTTAGTAGAGACAGGGTTTCTCCATGTTGGTCAGGCTGTTCTCGAACTCCCAACCTCAGGTGATCCGCCTGCCTTGGCCTCCCAAAGTACTGGGATTACAGGTGTGAGCCACCACAGCTGGCCCTCTCACCACTCTTAATCCCATTATTTGTGTAAGACTAATGCTACCCAAAGACAGACAAGAGGGTCCTGATAGGCTGAAGCCAGGCAAGGTATCCCATTCCCCTGGCCATAGTTAAGTGAAGAGAAGTACACAAAGCCCAGGCCTGAGCCAATCAGCACTCCATTCCCCTAGCCATGGTGATAGTGCAATAGTACTATAACTTACATAGTTATAATTAATAAGTTAATTAATAATCTACATAAGTTATATAATTGTTACATACTTAATAAGTTACAACAAATAACTTAAATAGTTACATAGATAGTCTTACAACTGGTAGTATGGGATTATCTCTGATCTATTATACAATCCAGTTAATCAGTGACAATCTATGAAATGGGATTTTAAAAATTACTGGCTTATTGTTTTTTCTGATTGGCCTGAAAATGTAGGTGTCCATTACTCTCTATTTTACAGGGATACTTATTAGTATGTCTTTTTTAATTTTATTGTCTAAGGGGAAAAAAAGCAGGGAGAAATTTTCTGTAGGAAAATATTCCATATTCTGGTTAAGACCTGTTTCACCTTTCCTATCCCTGCCCCAAGGCTAATCATAAATAAAATTTTAAGTGATACACCACATGCTCTTTTCATTGTCTCTTATAGTCTTTTTTCTCCAGTTAGGATCCAAAGGGCTGAGTCATGGACTGATTCAGATAATAATCATGCAGAGATAGCACCTCTGCACACACATACACACACACACACACACCAGCCACATGTTTGAAGGTGTGTATGCTGCACAAATCCAAAGGGCGCCTTTACATCCTAGGCCATCAGTGCCTCTGGTGCCTAGACTTTGGGGCTGCCTTTGAATCTCATGAGCATCAACAAAGGAAGGTCACCCCTGGAGTCATAGTTTGTGATTTTTAACTATGTGTGAACGGCTGACAGAAATATGGACTCTCTTGCAAGGAAGATGGACATGTGCACCTGCACACAAAATTTGTACACAACTGTGAGTCACTGACAAACCCTCTGAAACACATTCATGGACCAGAGGTTAAGAACACCTTCCTTGACTCGACAAAGCTCTCTTAGTTCTTCATGCTGATCCTTTAAAACAGATTTTAAAGGCTTTTAGTTCCATAAGTGCCCTATTATCCTTGCTGGAATCTACAAAAGCCAGAGCGGACATTTTAAAACATTGTATTAGATGCTAAGTCATTACTTCTTGTTAATCAATAACAAACTTCAATCATTTTTACAAGATTGAAGACAAAGAGACTTTGCACTCTAATAGAACATCTCGAGTCTTTTTTTTCTCTCCCACTTGCTTTAGGTGTTTGGGGACCTGTAAGTAGAGCCACATCAGAAGGTAAGGCAGCAACAAAGCTCTTAACTCTCTTTCCATCCTCACTTATTCCCCCTTGCTTCTGCAAAGGGTATTTGAAGGTTATGCTCATCTATGCCTAGCTCTTCTAGGGGAAGCATTTTCTTTTCAGTAATTTACTGAAAGTAAAGTGCCATCCATTACTTGCCTTTCTATTGCATGCAATGATTTGGAACTGCTGGATGTGTTTGTTTGTCTCGGTCTAATGGTCTCTAAAGGAATTTCTGATCACAATCATCACACTGCATTCTGTTTATTTTCACATACTGGCTGCACATCTAGCTGTTCAGCAGTGCATACAATATCTGAACTCAAAGTAATTGCCAGGTTTGTTTGCAGATGTATTACCAGGGAGATTTGCTCAGGGCAGGCATGGTAGACCCATGCCTGAAAGAGAAGAAAAGGACAAATCAAAATTGCATTTGAACTAAAGGATGGCAGCCCCAAAGGACAGACTAAGAGCTGTAAAACAGTTCCATACTCATGAGTGTGGAGACATCACTTATATCTTCTATTCCCCAACACCCAACATCCAACTCACCAGAAATTTTGATGGTTCTACTTTCCAATTTCACATCCAAAGCCTACTATTTCTCACTGCCTCACTACTGTCACACTGTTGCAAGCCAATCATGATCTGTCATCTGGTTTACGGATTATGGCAAATGCCTCCTAACTGGCCCCTTTGTTGCTGCTTTGTTCTGTCACTGTCTCATCTCCACACAGCAGCCACGGTATCCCTTTAAAATGGAACTTGGAGTATGTGACTTATGCACTCAAAACTCCAAACAGCTCGCCATCTCACAGTGAAAACCAAAAGCTTTTGGGCAGGTCCTGCCTGGTCTACCTCACCTCCTGAATGACTCCCTGACCTGGTCGCCAACCACTGTCGCTGACTCTGCTCCAGCCACACTGGCCTCCTGCGGTTCTCCATCGCAGGCCTTTCCCCGTGGGCCTTTGCACTGGGCTTTTCCTCTGGCTGGAATGTTCATTTCTCAGATAAATACATAGTTAACTCCTCCATCTTCAAGTCTCCACTCCATTGTCTCCCTACAAAAACCATCCTGAGCACTCTTTAAGAAACTGAAACCCATCTGCCATCCCACTTCTTTTCCTGATTAAGGAAAAAAGTCTCTCTTTACAACATAGTATATTGTTTACCTATTATTACGGGTATTGCTTATTGTCTATTCCACCACATTCCACTATAGCATTCCCTTAAATTTGAATGTAAGTTCCATGGGGGTGAGATCTTGTTGTGTATCCACATGTGTATCCATTATTTAGAATAATATGCCTGGCATATGGCAGGCAATCAGTAAATATAAGTTAAACAAATTGTATGAATGAATTTATTAATGAATAAATGAATTTATTAATGAATAGTCAATGTCAAATTGACCACACACACAATTCTTAGAGCACATAAAACATGACTCAGGTCATCATAGCTCCATTATTGTTTCTTTCAATATTCTTTAACATTTTTTTCCATTTTCCCTCCTCCCCCGTTATTTCTTAGACTTTTGTCTTACCTGATGCTGTTTTTACCAGATTACCTTCCATACCATAAATAAGGTTTTAAAGTGACATGTGGAAAGCTAATTTTTTTAATTTTTAAGTTCTGGGATACCTGTGCAGGATGTGCAGGTTTGTTACATAGTAAACATGGCCGTGGTGGTTTGCTGCACCTATCAACCCATCACCTAGGTATTAAGCCCAGCATGCATTAGCTATTTTTCCTAATCCTTGTGGAGAGCTAATATTTCTAATCATATAATCCCTACCCTCAGTTCCCAGATATTTTCATTCAAATGCTGATAAGCAGTAGAGTGAGGAGTGAAGAATGATGAGATACATTACATCATGGTCTCTCAACACCCTCTGTTAGAACTTGAGCTACTTTCCCTCATTAACTAAAGCATGATAATTCTTCTAAACTGTAGAGTCATAACTGACAAAAGTTAATCAGAAGTCATATCTTCCTTTAGGACAGTTCTTTTATGGCAAAATCAAAAGATTTCTACTAAAGAAGACTCTGGGAGAAGGCCAGCACGATTTTACATTGGAGATTCCTCTTCAGCTCTGAGGAAAGAAAAACGATAGAGATGGAGCTAGGCAGCAAGAAGCAGATGGAAATGGGTAGAGAGAAGTAATATGTTCTCTTCCTGAGTGGAAAATGTTGGGTAAGTTGCTCTAATGCCCTGGCAAGAACAATGGACTTACTGCTTAGTGAATTCTTGACTGTCAGCCAAGGTTGCTATTTCAAAGCAGAAAAGCAATGAAGGGAATGATGCAAGGAAAGTGCTCCTCTTTTCTTTTTAAAATGCCACAGAATAGAGAAATATTCAAATTAGCGAAACAACACATTTTAAGAATTTTTATGCTTATGCTCGGTCAACATGGCTGACTTGCTTTACCTGTAATCTGAAATTCTCAAACACAATATTCAAACTCATATTTAGGAACCACATAAGATTGTATTTCTTTTCTTTTTCTTTTCTTTTCTTTTTTAGAAACAGGATCCGACTCTGTCACCCAGGCTGGAGTGCAATGCAGTAGTGCAAACGTTGCTCACTGCAGCCTCAAACTCCAGGGCTCAAGTGACCCTCCTGCCTCAGCCTCCCAAGTAGCTGGGAGTACAGGCGTGCACCACCACTCCCAGCTAACGTTTTAATTTTTTGTAGACATGGGGGTCTCACTATGTTGCCCAGACTGATCTTGAACTCCTGGCCTCAAGCAATCCTTCCTCCTCAGCCTCCCAAATTGTTGGGATTACAGGTGTAAGCCACCTCACCTGGCCCTTATTTCTTTAATATATAAATAGTGTCTTATTTTATTCAATAGATGTATTAGAGAAATCTCGTGTACTTAAAATGAATTGTCATATAAAGTAATCCTACTGCAAATATTTTTCCCCCAAAAAATGTGTTAGTTGAAAAACCTTTTCAACCAAATAATAGTTTTGAAAAGTGGGTACATACGAATCTAAATTATGCTTTCTTGATTGAATTCATCAGCTATAAAAAGTATAAAATTCCCTCCCTGGTCAACTCAGTGAGGCTAGAAGTTTATTGATTTTATCAGAATTCTCCAAGAGTATGCTTTTCGTTTCAATGGTTTTCTCTATTGCTTTTCTGTTTTCTGTTTCATTGATTCCTGCTCTGAGCTTTGTTTCCTTTCTTCGGCTTACTATGCATTTCATTTGCTTTTCTTTTTCTAGTTTATTTGAAAAGAAGTTGAGGCCCTTAGATTTGAGAACTTTCTTCTTTTCTAATACAGGCATTTACTGTTACAAATTTCTCCCACGTACAACTTTAGCGTGATGCAAGTTCCCAAGACCATCTCTAGGTTCAATGATTCACCAGGAGGACCCACAGGACTCAGCATATATTCACGCTCCTGTCTGCGGTTTATTACAGCCAAAGTGAGAGGTGAAGATGGTTGGGCTTCTGGGTCGGGTGGGGACTTGGAGAACTTTTCTGTCTAGCTAAAAGATTTTAAACACACCAATCAGCACTCTGTGTCTAGCTAAAGGTTTGTAAATGCACCAATCAGCACTCTGTAAAAACGGACCAATCAGCACTCTGTAAAATGGACCAATCAGCAGGATGTGGGTGGGGCCAAATAAGGGAACAAAAGCTGGCCACCTGAGCCAGCAGTAGCAACCTGCTCAGGTCCCATTGCGTGGAAGCTTTGTTCTTTCGCTCTTCACAATAAATCTTACTGCTGCTCATTCTTTGGGTCCGCACTACCTTTATGAGCTGTAACACTCACCACAAGGGTCTGTGGCTTCATTCCTGAAGTCAGCGAGACCACGAACCCACCGGGAGGAACAAACAACTCCAGATGCACCACCTTTAAGAGCTGTAACACTCACTGCGAAGGTCTGCATCTTCACTCCTGAAGTCAGCAAGACCATAAAACCACTGGAAGGAAGAAACTCCAGGCACATCTGAACATCTGAAGGAAAAAATTCTGGACACACCATCTTTAAGAACTGTAACACTCACCACGAGGGTCCACAGCTTCATTCTTGAAGTCAGTGAGACCAAGAACCCACCGGAAGGAACCAATTCTGGACACAAAAGGATAGCAAAGGGAAAAGGGGCAGAAGTCAAAGTCTGAGGCCGGGTGCAGTGGCTCATGCCTATAATCCCAGCACTTTGGGAGGCCGAGGCAGATGGATCACCTGAGGTCTGGAGTTCCAGACTAGCCTGGCCAACATGGTGAAACCCCATCTCTACTAAAAATACAAAAATTAGCCGGGTGTGGAGGCGGGCACCTATAATCCCAGCTACTAGGGAGGCTGAGGCAGGAGAATCGCTTGAACCTAGGAGGTGGAGGTTGCAGTGAACCGAGATTGCGCCACTGCACTCCAGCCTGGGTGACAAGAGCAAGACTCTGTCTCAAAAAAACAAAACAAAACAAACAACAAAAAGAAGGCAAAGTCTGGAGGAAAGGAGGTGCAAACTTCCAAGAGTCCTCTCCTAGCAGAGTCACACATGACACACATAATACCTCCAGCAGGAATTTAAAAGTGTAATATGTTGCTAATCAGGGAAGCTAGTTAAGAGACTCAGCACCCACAGTTTTTATTAGGAACTGGCCACATCAGCACTCTCTGCCTGGCACCCAAATTCCAGATTTCCAGAAGGAAAGTGATGTTCACTATAAACTATATTGTTTGCACAAGCAGTTTAGGTACAGTCAAGCACCCTGATCAGTTAGGTTGGTGGGAACTCTCCCAAAATCCAAGTTCTCAAATGCCAGCCAGAGCCCAACCCTGCTAGCAGGCCTTTCTGAGGACACCAGCCTCAGGCCTGCTGCAATTTCTCTTTTCTGCCCAAAGGGTTTCCTGAAAATTTTGGTATGTTGTGCTTTCATTTTAATTGTGTTCAGAATACTTTCTAACTTCTCTTTTGAGCTATTCCTTAATCCATGGGTTATACAGATTCAAAGTACTTGAGGATTTTTCCAGAGATCTTTTTGTATTAATTTTTAACTTAATTCTCTTTTTTTCTCTCTTTTTTTCTTATGACTCAGATCACAGAAAATTTTCTAATTCTATTGTGGTCAGAGAGCAGATTTTATATGACTTGAATCCTTTTAAATGTACTGAGTCTTGTTTTGTTCTGTGAAAGGGCTATATATGCAAAGTGGCCCCCAAATGCCGAAGGAACCAAGAAACCAAAGGAGGCGGCAGACATTTAGTTTTTCAAGAAAGGATGTTTTATTGGGGGAATTTACAAACAGAGGCATGGTCTTGGGCAGCCACAAGACAAGCATATGTGTGCTCCAGCAAGACAATAAAAGGCAACCCTCTAGAACAGGCAAGAATGATATATGCATCATAGCCTATAATTTGTGTGATAGCTTCAAGGTTGATGTGTTCTTACACCAGGGACAGTAAATAAAGTACAGTACTGGGGCTACTCAGAAGTCAACATGGTGGATTAGCATCCAAGATGAAGTCACTTTTGTCTCCACGTGTTTATGACCCAGAATATGGTTTTCCTCAGTAAATGTTCCTTATGTACTTGAGAATAATGTGTACGCTGCTGTTGTTGGCTGAACATTGTGTAAGTGCCAATGAAGTTGGTTGATTATGTTGTTCAAGTCTGCTATATCCTTACTTTCTTTTTTTTTTTTTTTTTTTTTTGAGATGGAGTCTCACCCTGTTGCCCAGGCTGGAGTGCAGTGGCACGATCTCGGCTCACTGCAAGCTCCGCCTCCTGGGTTCACACCATTCTTCTGCCTCAGCCTCCCAAGTAGCTGGGACTACAGGCGCCCACCACCATGCCCAGCTAATTTTTTTTTTTTTTTTGTATTTTTAGTAGAGACAGGGTTTCACCATTTTAGCCAGGGTGGTCTCAATCTCCTGACCTTGTGATCAGCCCACCTCATCCTCCCAAAGTGCTGGGATTACAGGCATGAGCCACCACACCCGGCCTATATCCTTACTTTCTATGTACTTCTATAGACTATTGAAATTTCTAGAAGGAAAGATGTTCACCATATCTACCGTGGTTTTGTCATTTATGGATTTGTCTGTTTTTCTTGCAGCTATATCAGTTTTTGCTACATATATTTTGAAACTCTGTTATTAAGAGCATAAAAGAACAAAGCTAGAAGTCTTACACTACCCAGTTCCAAGACTTATTTTTAAGCTACAGTAACCAAAGCAGTGTGGTACTAGCATTAAAAATATTGATACATAGATCAAAAAATAGAGTCCAGAAATATACCCACATATATATGGTCAACTGATTTTCCACCAAGGTGTCAAAGCAATTCATTGAGGAAAAAATAATATTTTCTAAATGATGCTGGAACAACTAGATAGCCACATATAGAAAAAAAAAATGAGCTCATTCCCACCACACATCACAAACAAAATTAATTTGAAATGGATGACAGACCTAAATGTAAGGGCTAAAACTATAAAACTCTGAGATGAGAATACAAGAGAAAATGTTAGCAATTTGGGTTAGGTGAGCATTTTTTAAATAGGACACAAAAATCTCAATCTATAAAATTTTAAAAATTGATAAACTGGACTTCATCAAAATTTAAAATGTTGGCTCTTCAAAAGGCATTGCTAGAAAAATAAAAAGGCAAGCCACAAACTAGGAGAGAATACTTAGAAAATGTATATATAATAAAGCACTTGTATCCAGAATACTTATAGCTTAATAACTCATTAAAAAGGAGACAACTCAATTTTTACAGAATGATAAAATATTTGACCAGGCACTTCACCAAACAAGATACACAAGTGGCAAAATAAGCATATGTAAAAATGCCCCAAATCACTGGTCTTTACGGAAATGCAAAGTAAAAGCATAAAAAGACCATTACACACCAACTAGAATGTCTAAAATTAAAGACTGATGACCTCAAGTGTTGACAAGGATATAGAGTAATTGAATTCTCAAACATTGCTGATGAGAACGCAAACTGGTAGAGGCACTTAGGAATATAGTTTGGCCATATCTTATAAAGTTAAACATAGACTTACCATATGACCCAGGAAGTCAACTCTGAGGTATTTACCCAAGAGAAATGAAAACCTATGTCCATATAAAAGTGTGTTCTCAAATGTTCATAGCAGTTTTTAAAAAACTATTAGTTCTAAACTGGAAGCAATCCAGACTAGAAATGGATAAATAAGTTGTGATATACCTTATAATAGAATACTATTCAGCAATAAAAAGGAACAAACTAATGATATATGCAAGAACATGTATGAATCTCAAAAGCATTGTCCAATGTGAAAAAAGCCAGACAGAACTGTCTACTAAGTATATTCTTCCATTTATATGATATTCTAGAAGAGGCAAAAGTATAGCAATAGAAGGCAGACCAGTCTTTGCCATAGAAGGAGGGGACTGATTGAAAGGGGCAGGAGGAAACTTTTTGGGGTGATGGAAATGTTCTCCATCTTGGCTGTGGTGATGATTACATAACTATATTTGTCAAAACTCATCAAATTGTACAGTTAAAATTGGTTAATGTTATATGCAAATTACACCTCATAAAAGCTGACATAAAAATATTTTTAAACATTTCAACTGTTAATTTAGAACTTTGTTATAAGTTGTTTTAAATTTTGTAGCTTCTAATATAGATACAAAAAGTATAAAAATCATAAGTGTACAACTCAGTGGTTTATCACAAAGCAAACACCATTTTAAATACCACCCAGTGAAAAAAAGAGAACATTGTGAACATCCAAGAAGACCACTCATTGTCTCTAACCAAAAGCATTACTTAGCCTTGTAGAAATATGCTTTGATATTACTGGGTTTTGAACTTTTACCTAAAGGAAATTGTGTAGTAGAGTTAACCTTATCCAAGAGAGGTTGGACCTTTGCCCTGGGTTCCTGGGAGTTGATCTCTAGCCCTTGGAATATGCTGCCTGATAAGCAAATCTGTTTACCTGGGGACTCTGGGCCAAGCAGTATCAGCTTGACTTCCAGAGGGACTGAAGACTAAAAGTCAGCCACATGTGTGGTCAACCATGTCTGTGTGACTGAGTCTCAATAAAAACTCTGAACACTGAGGCTTAGATGAGCTCCCCTGGTTGGCAACACTGCACCTGTATTGTCATACGACATTGCTGGGAGAAGTCAGTTTTGTCCACAATGCCACTGGGAGAGGACAACTGAAAGCTCCATGCATGGAACCCTCCTGGACTGTGCCCCTGCACCTTTTCCATTAGCTGATTTTAATTTGTATCCTTTCATTGTAATAAACTATAACTGCAAGTATAACAGTTTCACAGAGTTCTGTGAGCCCTTCTAGCAAATTATCAAACCTGAGGGTTGTCTTAGGAACCCCAAACTTGCAGTTGGCATCAGAAGTGTGGGTGTTCTTTTGGGGACCCTGAACTTTGTAGTTGGTGTTAGAAGGGTGGTCTTGAGGACTCCTAAACTCTGCAGAAATCATATGGTATTATTTTGTATATGGCTTCCTTTACTCAGCCTTGTTTCTGAAATTCATTTATATTACAGCTTGTAAGTATATTCACTTTAATTGCTTGTGTAGTAATGTACTGTATGAACTGACTATAATTTACTCACTCTACTGTTGATGGACATTTGGACTTTTTCCAGATTTGTACTATTGCTACTGACAACCCTATAGAGAAAAACAGAGAAATCCATCATCATAGTGTCAGATTTTAAAACATCTGTCTCAACTTATAAGAATGAGCAGACCAAAAAAAGTCAGTAAGAATATAGATTTTTATTATACAATTAACAAATTATATTTGGCATCACTTAATACCTAAAACTCCTCTGGGAGTAATAATAATGAACATTTCTCAAAGCCATACTATATTCTTACACTATCCTATGATGTATACAAATATACTTTCAGTGAATTTTCATAACAACTCTTCCAATTTTACAGCTAAGAAAACTGAAGCACAGAAAGTCAAGAAATTTGCCCAAAATCCCACAGCTAATAAATGGCAGATCTAGAATTCAACTCTCAGGAAATCTGATTCTAGAGCCCAGTTCTGAATTCCTATGCTATTTTTCAACATCTTCCATTTTCTCTCCCTTCTTGAGTCAATTTTGGTATTTTTCATCTTCATAGAAAATCATCTATTTCATTTGGATGTTAAAATTTATTGGCATGACTTGACTTCAAACTTTGGTGTCAAGTACCAGAATTTATATCAGAAATAAAACTATTTTTAGCCCTATATTCCTTTTCCTATATCATGAGCCTTATAAATTCATCCCAGAGGGACCAGTACACCAGGATGTTGGACTGAAATTCCATGAAAAAAATAATCATCCTCTCATCTGAGACCCATTATTGATCACTATAGGTTTCTGAAAACTTGATGCTTCAAGATTAAGTATCACTAGCATTAATAACAGTAAACATTAATTAAACAGAAAGCAATTTTTCTTTAAAACAGTCTTAAGCATTACTACTACAAAAGTAATGCATACTGGGAGTAAAGTGTTCAAAAAATTTTTTCTTTGAAAAAAAGCCTTTTCCTTCTATGTGATAATTTGACCTATGGTTGAATTTCTACCTTTGTTCCTCCAGGAAATCTAACCTAAGTGGTAAGTTAACTGGGTTACTATTATGCAATATTGTACAGATCTTAAAAATAACCCGATTGAACCTGGATTGGGACAAACTATGAATCAACTAGAAATAACCAATAATGACACCACAGCTTTGGCTCTAAGGGCACAGTTAGGTCTGAGTGACCACATTCTAACTTTTGTCATTTAAACAAAGGAGTTAAAGGAGCACATTTGGGTTGTTTTTAGCACCCTGCTCAATGAATTTGGAATACCAATTAACTCTTGATAATAAATTAGTCAGGATTAGTAGTTATTTCAGTCACTTAAAAGTAATCTTTTGCTCCAAGGTGAATCGTCTCTCATTTTATGTTTTTCATGGCATTTATCACTATCTGGCACATAGTATCTATTTATTGATTTGCCTGCTGTCTGTCTCCCCGTCTAGAATGTAAGCACCATAAGGGCAAGAGCTTTGCTCTTTCTTATTCACTGCTTCATTATCAGTACTTAAAATAGTAACTGGTACATGGTTGGGTTCAAAAAATAGTTTTTGAATGAAACTCCTACTAAGTTCTGGGTATTATCTGATTGACTAAACGTTATTGGACACCCGCTATACGTCCAGCCCTGGGCTAGTCAGGCATGGAAATAGAATGGTTATTGTCTATGATTTTACAGAGCTAAAAATCATAGGTAAAACTTCAGACAATTTTCTATTGACCAGGACTATTTTCTGTATTAACATATAATTACATCCCTAAAATCCTACATGATTTACTACATTTAGTAGCACTTTACTAAAAAACTATTATCTTCAAAATCCTGGGCTCTTACCCAAGAATTACAAACACTGCACAAACTGCTTCAATCACTTTTAGAAACCACCTCTCCTAGGGAAGTAGGAGGAGCCAACACCACATCTGTGATGTCAGCCAACAGGAGACATTTGAATGTCTCCTAATGAATCCCTACTTCCAAATTTTTCTCAGCTTTCCTTTGGTACTTTCCCACAAGTTTTCTCTTTAATTAAAAGGGTAATTAATTTATTCTCTCTTTTTTTTTAAGTGAGCATTTCTTCTTTATATATGATGTGTTCAGGTAAATAATCAGGCCTTTTGAAGAATCACACACCAGTTTCCTTGATCGTAGTAGCTTTGCAGAATTCTGACATCACTCACAGTCCTGCAGGCACCTTCCAGTTCTCCCTCACGGAACACATGGTAGTAACGATGAAACACAGGACTTGGGTCCTGGGATCCTATGGGACCAAATGGCTCAACAGGTTTGCCTTTATCAGGATTTCCCTTAAGGTGCCAGGGAACCAGTACATCTTGAGAATAAAAAGAAGTCCTGTTAACATGAACAGGCAGCTTGGAATTAGAAACTTGCCTTGAATTACATCCTCCTTCCTGAGAGTCATTAATGCGGGGGACAGAAGATGCCGAGTCTCGACTGCCCATGTCACGCATTTGCTCCACAAGTGACCTCTGCACTGAGGTATCACTGTTCATCTCCTCTTTCTTTCCTTGGCTATTTCTGTTTCCTCTAAGATACTTGGACTTCTGCTTATTATATTCTTGTTCCATTGCCCAGACATAAATGAGTGCCTTCCCACCTGGTCTCAGGAGTCGAACAATTTCTTGGAGAGCTGCCACTCTACGCTCCTAATGAAAAAAAACAAAACACATGATCAACCTGGAAGAGACAGGAAATCAGAAAATAAAACTGACCATAGGACTGTTTTCAATTAGGATGAACAATAAGAATATCTAACAAAATATCTTATGTAAAACAAAAAGGAAAAAAAGAAGAAAGAGCATTCTGTTCTGTGATTAAGAAAAAAAGTGTTCAGGAAGGAGGAAGTACAGAAAAGCAAAATTTATTTCTGTTAATCTTCCCTGTGACTTTTCCTTAACTGTCTGGCTAGGATACATGAAACAACTGATGACTTCTTCTAGGGCTATAAGCGGTAATATGAAGCACTTTGACATTAATCATTTATATAATGCTTTTACAAAGGAATCGTGTCAACTATACTATGGAGACTTCTACTTATAGCCTTGACGAAGTTGTTTGTATTAATTCTCCCACTGAAAACAACCAGAAAGGCTGGGTGAAATACATAAAACAGCTGCTTAAGGCACTGGAGAGTAACACTGCAGGCAGGCCTTGAAGGGCTGTAATCCCTGAGAGAAGGGAAGTAAGCCAAGGTGAGCTCTAGATTCACTCCAGCTTTTCCCTGAGATTATCTGCAAATTCATAATGTGGGACAACAGAATATGAGCAGAATGCAGAGGCCTTAGTGGCCTGAACAGATAGGGCTCAGAGTACAGGGAGGTCAAAGCAGCTGAGGGACAGAGTCACAGATAAAGGAGAAGCTGCAGGAAAATTATTCTGAAAATCTATATGCAAACACCCTTTGAAGCATTTGCCAGTTTCTAAGCAGCATGTACACAGGGTGAAATTCCAAGAAACTCAGCAGAGTAGCAGCTGGGAAGTTAAAATGCTAAACAAAAATTTTAGCAGCCAATGTTAGAGAGACAGACATTGGAATTTAAGATCTGCCAAGGTATAAAATAGCCTTGGAGTACATTCCAGGCTTTCACTTGAGACCCAGAAGGGCTACATTACAGAAGTAGGAACAAAAATAAAATAGATATAAATCATCCCCAATAAAGCATAAAACCAGTTCTCTGCAGAATGAAAGTGATCTGCTTATACTTTATCTGCTTCTCCTTAGAAAAATTTAACTTCCTTCAGAGAAAAAGTACCCAAATCTTTTAACATAAAATGCCCAGCATACAGTGAAAAATTATGAAGTATGTTAAAAATGAGGACCAAAGGACTGAAAAACAGAGAAAAAAAAAAGACCATAGAAATAAATCCCCAGACAAAGCCTTTTTAATAACTATGGTTAGTATGCTCAAAAAACCAGAGGAAAAGATCAAGAATTTCAGTAATGATAAAATACATTAAGAAGTCGGAAATTCTAGAAAACAAGATGAATTTAAATTTTTAGCAAATTAGATACATTTACAAAGATAAGTATTAAACTATAGTTCAAGTCAGTATAAGTTACCCAGATTGAAGCACAGAGATGAAAAAGAGGGGAAAATACAGAAAACAGTGTCAATCGAGAATTTAATACCTACTAAAAATATAATTTGTAAGATGAAGGCAACATAAAGAGGTTTCAGATACACACAAGCTGAGAGAATGTGTCACTAAAGAAAACAGCACAGAGAACTCTTCGAGCAAAAGAAACTTACTTCCTCTGAAACTCTGAAGATGTAGGAGAAAAGGAAGAATACCAGAAAGGGTAAATAAAGTGAAGAAATATAAATGAAGGTTGAGAGCTTAAAACAATAAAACAGTAGCATATAATAATAATGCAATAAAGGGCAGAAGGGGTTAAATGTTATTAATGAAGTCTTACATTGTCAGGAAGGGGTAATCATGCCAATTTAAGGTAGACTATAATGTCAGAGATACATGTTGTCATGTCTAGGGTAACCATTTAAAAAACAATGAAAGAATATCTAGTCAGCAAGCTAACAAAAGAGGAAAAAATGTAATTATAAACTACATTATGGAAATAAGGCTGGCAATGAAAGAGAACTAAGATACATACAATATTTGATAAACAGAAATTAATATTTCCAGTTCCACAGCTCTCTTAGCCTTAGATAATGCCTTCCTTAATTGTCAAAGTAACACACATTGTATTGTACACCCAAGTAGCCCATTCAAAATGGCCAAAAAGCCCAGGAAATAATCTCAGGTTATATGTTAAAATAGGAGGAAGCATCTTCAGCATGACTGATACATAGAGAAGTGAATTAATAGGAGGAAACTTTGTGAGGATTTTTCCAAGTTGGGTTTAAGGAGCTGGGAAATATCGGGAAATTAAGCTAAAAAATAAGACGAGACCATTTTATAAAAATGGTTGAAAAAAAGATTATTAAAATAATAATAACTAATATTTTCTGAGCTCTTATTATGTATAAGACACTATAACAAGTACTTTATGTATTGTCTCATTTATCCTGACAGGCCTGTGAGATTGTTTTACAGTTGAGCAACCTAAGTATTCAGAAATCACTAAAAATGTTTGTTCAAGGTCACAAAAGTAAAAAGAATGTCAAATAGTCGAAGCAGTGGTGTCAGGGAAGAAGAGACTGACACTAGAATGTAAACTGGATTAAAATAGAGATATCCTGGGATCAGTTGAAAAGAACACTGCAGTAGTGAAGGGATGTGGCACAGGTCAGTAGACTCTTTTAATTCCCTTACCTAGTTGTGTCCATATACTTGGATGAGATTTTCCACATAAAATCTTATCTTCTACCCTATATCATCTTTCACAGTGCCATAAAAATGATCTCTATCAGGCATTTATTTCATCAAGGTATTCCCATGTGTTAGACCTTTCAATGACTCTCTAAGTCCAAATTATAACTATGGCATTCAACCAACAACACATAAATCCAACAAATTATAAATAAATAAATAAATGCTGCCTCCTCCACTAAACTATGAGCTCTATGAAGCAGGGACTGGGTCTTCTCCATCTTGTGCCCAGCTATTTGCTTAATAGCAGTGTGTAACTGATTTTCAATGCCTTTTTTTTTTTTTTTTTTGAGATGGAGTCTCTGTCACCCAGGCTGGAGTACAGTGGGCACGATCTCGGCTCACTGCAACTTCCACACCTCCTGGGTTCATGTGATTCTCATGTCTCAGTCTCCTGAGTAGCTGGGATTACAGGCATGCGCCAATCAACCCAGATAACTTTTGTATTTTTAGTAAAGATGAGGTTTTGCTTTGTTGGCCAGTCTGGTCTCAGACTCCTGACCTCAAGTGATCCACTCGCTTTGTCCTTCCAAAGCACTGGGATGACAGGCGTGAGCCACGACAGCTGGCCTCAATGACTTATTTTTATTGTGGTAAAATATATGTAACAAAATTTGCTATTTTAACCATTTTTAAGTGTACAACTGAGTGACATTAAGTACATTCATACTTAATGGTTGTGCAACCATCACTATTATCCATCTCCAGAATTTTTTTCATCATGCCAAACTGAAACTCTGTATCAATTAAATCATAGCAACTCCCATGCCTCCCTCCCACAGCCTCTGGTAACAACTGTTCCACTTTCTGTCTCTATGAATTTAACTATTCTAAGTAGTTCATGTAAGTAGAATGATATAGTATTTGTCCTTTTGCATCTGGCTTATTTCACTTAGCATAATATCCTCAAGGTTCATCCATGTTGTAGCATGTGTCAGAATTTCCTTCCTAAGGCTTAATAATATTCCCTTATAGGTACATAGCATGTTTTGTTTATCTATTCATCCATTAATGAACATTTGAGTTGTTTGCACCTTTTGGCTGTTGTGAATAATGCTGCTATGAACGTAGGTGTATAAATATCTGTTCAAGTCTCTGCTTTCAATTCTTTTGGGTATATATCTAGAAGCAGAATTGCTGAATCATGTGGTAATTCTATGTTCAACTTTTTGAGGAACCACTGTACTGTTTTCCACAGTGGCTGATCCATTTTACATTCCCACCAGCAATGCACAAGAGTTCCAATTTCTCCACATCCTTGCCAACACTTGTTATTTTCTATATTTCCGATAATAGCCATCCTAATGTATGTGAAGTGGTATCTCATTATGGTTTTGATTTGCATTCCCTAATGATTAGTGATGCTGAGTATCTTTTCATGTGCTCATTGGCCATTTGTATATCTTCTTTGGAAAAATGTCTATTTAAGTCCTCTGTCCATTTTTAAATTGTTTTGTTATTGTTGTATTTTTGTTGTTCTTTATATATTATGGATATTAATTCCTTATCAGATATACAATTTGCAAATATTTTCTCCTATTTTGTGGGCTACCTTTTCACTCTGCAGATAGTGTTGTTTGATGTACAAGTTTTTAATTTTGATGGTCTAATTTATCTATTTTTTGTTTTGTTGCCTGTGCTTTTAGTATCATATCCAAGAAATCATTGCCAAATACAACGTCATGAAGGTTTTCCTCCTGTTTTCTTCTTAGAATTTTATAGTTTTAGCTCTTCTGTATAAGTCTTTGATCCATTTTGAGGTTTTTCTTTGCATATGGTGTAATGTAAGGATCCAACTTCATTCTTTTCCATGTGGTCAATGAATTATTTTTTAAATAAATGACAATAGATATGTAGAGAAAGTTGGACATGACAGATTTCTAAGACGATCATATAGAACTTCATAGAGGGGAGGGTATCCAACATATATTTGTGATTGCAAAAAATGGATATAGATATATTTGTGTACATTATTGTCTTTTATAACTTGAAAATAAGTTATAATACAACAACTGAGTTGTAGCTGAAGCAACCAATATGTGCCAAACATTTCTTCCAAATGAAGCGGATTTTTAAATTTACTGGTATAGCTGCTCCTTTCAAGCCTTCCTCTATTTGCAGTCATGCCTCTGAAAGCCACTGAGGCCTAGTGGCTTTTGCTGTAAAAAACCTAATATTGTTTGCTGCAGCCCAGCAGAATCTCTTGGTTACTATTAAAAGTAAAAAGACTAAAGACGCAGACAGTTTTCTGATTTGTTTTGATTTGTTTTGAACTCAGTTAAGGTCATAAGGTCTACTGAAACTGCTGGTGACCCATAAGGTGAGCTATAAAGCTATTGCATAAATCAAGGGAATGACTGCTGACACCCAAGAAAAATAAGTGGTCTTTTGTTCTTTAAAGAAAGAAAGAAAATATTAAATATTAAATTCATTTATTTTAAAACTAAGAACATACTAAGAGTCAACATACTACTACCAGCTAAAAAAGACAGAGTTTTGAAAAAAAAGAACAGGAAAGGAAGAAAAACAGAATGGGAAAGAAGTAACACTCACATGTCAGGGATAAAACTATGGGTTGAGAAAGAAAAGCTGAGAAAGAAATACAGAAGGGACTCATAGAGTCTGAGGAGAGAGTATACTCAAGAAGCTTGGAGCTGATGATCTCAAATTCTCTTCCAGCTAAAATTCTGTGACTCTGGGTTTAAAGGAAGGCATTTAGAAGTGAATGAGACTTGGGGTAGGAAAGGGGCGAAAGCATGCAGCAATAAAGGGTAGAGTCCCATCAGGCCTCTGTTTAAGTAGAAGATACTTAAACAGTTGCCCATCTTTATTCTGCATGCTCTCTTACAAAGAGGGAAAACTGTGACAAGAAAAGAGAACGGAAAGAACTGAAAAGCTAAAACAGGGTCCAAAATCAGCAAAATTCATGAACTCTTCCTGCTGCTTTAGCTACAAGTTCTTAAGAGAAAGAAAGACCATACTTACTGCTGTTGCAAAATGATGAATAACAGCAATGGAGATGCAGGCATCACAAGACCCACTGCGGACTGGTACTGCCAATGCATCACAGACAAAAGCCTGAAATTGCCTCTCTCTACAAATGTCCACAAGGTTTTGGCTACGATCACAACCAATCTGTAACAGAGAAGGAATTCCATAACATTTTGTTTAAATTTCACATGAAATTAAGAACTATGAACTTATTCCATACCTTAAAGTCATTAGACAGATACCATATTCATTGTGAAATGGTCTGAGACCATGATACTATCGGTTCTTACAGCCAGTATAAAATCAGAATATATAATTGTACAGGGCAGCATTTATTACCTTAACAGATATCAAACAGAACTCCAATTAGTGAAACAAAAAGACTGGAATAAAAATGATAGTGGTGGAAATGGGAGGTCCAAATATACAGCTAATTGATGACCATTCTGAATCTGGATGTTTCTGTAATATCACACATTTAAAACTGGAAAGTATCACATAAACACAGACAGTCTTTTAGGGGGAGCTGCAAATAAGATGTTCTAAGATATCTCTCATTACCGTATATACTATATTGTGATGTCCCAGGTAGCAGAAGGATAGGCAATTTTTTTTCTGCTTCTTTATACTTTTCAACATGGATTACTTTTACAATCAGAAAATAAAATCCCCCCCAAAAAAAATCAAAATAATTTTTTTTTGAGATGGAGTTTCGCTCTTGTTGCCCAGGCTGGAGTGCAATGGCGTGATCTCAGCTCATGGCAACCTCCACGTCCTGGGTTCAAGCAATTCTCCTGCCTCAGCCTCCTAAGTAGCTAGGATTACAGGCATGAGCCAACACGCCTGGCTAATTTTTAATTTTTATTAGAGATGGGGTTTCTCCATGTTGGTCAGGCTGGTCTCGAACTCCCATCCTCAGGTGATCTGCCCGCCTCAGCCTCCCAAAGTGCTGGGATTACGGGTGTTAGCCAACACGCCCAGACAATTTTTTTTTTATTTTTTAAAGCTACTCTTTTTCTGCTAAATGTCAAAACTTATCAAGAATAAAGTGCTGAATTCAAAATTTATAAAATGATATTTAATTAAGTCTTTTCATATACCCAAACAATCCTACAGGATTGATGGCATGGTGGGCAGCTAGGAGTATGCTTTTCTCTCCCTCAACAGGTGAGACCTAGCATGCCTTATGTATGCATCTGGTTCTGTGAGAAGTTTTTAGGAGCTGGGATTTCCCATCTTCTTTCTCTTTAGTTTTGTTGTTGTAGTTGTTGTACACAGTTTTGCTGCTTAGTTCTAAGAATATCACATATATATGTAATATACAGACACACACACACACACACATTTTGTAATGTGCCCACATAAATTGGGGAATAAATGGGAGGGGCTTAAGACTTTTTTATTTTAAGGGTTTTTTTTTGTTTGTTTGTTTTGGTTTTGAGACAGGGTCTCACTCTATTACCTAAGCTCGAGTACAGTGGTGCAATCCCAGCCCACGGCAGCCTCCACCTCCCAGGCCCAGGTGATCCTCTTGCCTCAGCCTTCCAAGTAGCTGGGGGTACAGGTGCGTACCACCATGCCCAGCATTTGTTTTATTTTTTGTAGAGATGGGGTTTCACCATGTTGCCTAGGCTGGCCTCAAACTCCTGGGCTCAAGTCATCTGCCCGTCTTGGCCTCCCAAAGTGCTGGGATTACAGGCATGAACCACTGCACCAGGCCACAAGAAATGTTAAGTCACTGATAACTATCCCTGGATAATTTTTTCTTAGCCAAACTCTATAATACAGAAAAGAATTATATAAGCAGATTTAGTCAAACAGAAGTGGCCACCTAAAGTGTATATTTACTCATTTAATTTTTTGATATAATGAGCACTGATCCTAGGGCTGATCCTCAGCCCTTCTGAGAATAAAGACTATGAATGCTCATATCAAAACATGCTGGGATAACTGGCTAGCCATGTGTAGAAGATTGAAACTGTACACCTTCTTTACATTATATATAAAAATCAACACAAGACTGATTAAATGTAAAACCTAAGACTACAAAAACTCTGGAAGATAACCTAGGAAATACCATTCTGGACATAGGCTCTGGCAAAGATTTCATGACAAAGACAACAAAAACAACTGCCACAAAAACAAAAATTGACAAATGGGACCTAATTAAACTAAAGAGCTTCTGCACGGCAAAAGAAACTATCAACAGAGTGAACAGACAACCTACAGAATGGGAGAAAATATTTGCAAACTATGGATCTGACAAAGGTCTAATATGCAGAATCTATAAGGAACTTAAACAAATTAACATGCAAAAAACAATCGGTCCCATTAAAAAGAGGGCAAAGGACATGAACAGATACTTTTCAAAAGACATACACGTGGCCAACAAGCATATGAAAAAAGCTCAACATCAGTAATCATTAGAGAAATGTAAATCAAAACCACAATGAGATACCATCTCAGACCAGTCAGAATGGCTATTTTTAAAAAGTCAAAAAAATAACATGCTGGTGAGGTTGCAGAGAAAAGAGAATTCTTATACACTGCTAGTGGGAATGGGTTCACCCACTGTGGAAAGCAGTTTGGCAATTTCTCAAAGAACTTAAAAGAGAATTACCATTCGACCCAGCAATTCCATTATTGGGTATATATCCAAAGTAATATAAATTGTTCTACCATAAAGACATATGCACTGATATGTTCACTGCAGCATTATTCACAATAGTAATGACATGGAATCAACCTAGGTGCCCATCAAGAGTAGACTGGGTAAACAAATGTGTTACACACTATGGAATACTATACAACCATAAAAAAGAATGAGATCATGTCACTTGCTGTATGCAACATGGATGGACCTGGAGGCCATTACCCTAAGCAAACTGATGCAGGTGCCGAAAACCAAATACTGCATGTTTTCACGTATAAGTAAGAGCTAAATGCTGAGTACACATGGACACGAAGAAGGGAACAAGAGACACTGGGGCCTGCTTAAGGGTCAAAGTGGCGGGGTGGTGTACAGATAAAAAAAACTACCTATCAGGTACTATGCTGACTACCTGGGTGATGAAATAATCTGTACACGGAATCCCTGTGACATACAATTTACCTATATAACAAACCTGCACATGTACGCTTGAACCTAAAATAAAAGTTAAAAAAAAAATTTAATCTGGCCTTTTTTTAGACCAGCAAGCATATATAGATTTCAGGCAGGCTTTTGAAATTTACATGAGTATGCAGTGAAGAATGTAATATTGTCTCTGATACTAAGTAGTGACATTCAATTTACCAAAAAAAACAGTATTTTTATTAAAAGTTCCTTAAAGTGCTATGTTATTAATTCCTTAGAGGAAGAAAAAGATCTTAAAATGAAACATTACATTACAGAGTTTATGTTATAAATTCACAATAAAAGAATGGAAATTAAAAAAAATTCTTACTGAGTTAAATCACATTGCCATACTAGTCATACTTAATGAGTTTGCTCAATTTGTAATCGGTATTAAACAGCTTCTATATTTTATCCTGGAGCTGCTTTAATTTTAAAGTGAAATAAAAGATATCAAGCTAGAGGTAAAGTACAGCTATTTATCTTTAATATATTTTAAGATAAAAAGTACTAAGGGCCTATTAATAACAATAGTGACATGATTCCCAATTAATTGCTCCCTTTACCTGTGTAAGATACATGCCTGGATTCTTACTTATTATTTATTTTCATGCATATTCTATGCCATCAGCCAACAGTCAGAATATCAAGATGACAATACCACTCAAATAATCTGAACATTATATTTTGGTGCTTGCCTCCTTTTTTGTTACATTTAAATTCGGTTCATAGAATTGGAAGTTTCAAGTATGCCCCAACTCTGAAAGATAGCTATACCTTGCTAAAAGTCAACAGAAAGAAATCCAACCTGCCTATTAAAAAAAAAACCTCAGGGATAGGGCTCGATAGTTACTCAAAAGAGGAAAGTTATTACCTGAGAGCCACAGATAAGACAGAACATGGAGAACAACAGCCAAACAAAACAAGAGATTTCCCTCTCCTTGCCAGGCTCTTATAGCTATTTGTACACAGCACTCCTTTTCACCAACAAGAAAGAGCAAGGCCAATTTTAGCAATAAAGCATCAGATCTGATGTAGATTCCCCACTGACCAACGACCTGACTCATGCCTGGCTCAGTACTTTCATCTTTTACTTTTTTTGCCTGTCTTCCATATACTATAGTCATGCAGTCACTATTTTTTCTCCTCTTCCCTCTTTCCATTTTTAAATTTTTTAAACCAAGAATAGTACAGTGTTTGAAAAATCTCCCTAATAATGTTGCATCATGTCAACAGGACAGAAAATGGCTTGATAAAAACCCACATATATTCAAGGACTTGCGTAAAGCTACATATTTCTGTGTGCTGGGTGAAGATCAATGACATTAAAACATATACTGGGCTTAAAATGTATACTCTTTTTTTGGAGACAGGGTCTCACTCTGTCACCCAGGCTGGAGTGCAATGGCACAAACACAGCTCACTGCAGCCTTGGTCTCCTGGACTCAAGTGATCCTCCCACCTCAGCCTCCTGAGTAGCTGGGACTACAGGTGCACGCCATCATGCCTGGCTAATTTTTAAATTTCTTTGCAGAGTCAAGGTCTCACCATGCTGCCCAGGCTGGTCTCCAACTCTTGGTCTCAGGCAGTCTTCCCACCTCGGCCTCTCAAAGTGCTAGGATTACAGGTATGACCCACGGTGCCCAGCCTATACTTTTATATAATTTTTAAAAACCTCAACAAATATTAAATATGTAATTGTGGAAGTACAAGTAAACATAAAAAAAATTCAACCTGATAAGCAAAGGTGCAAACTGAAACAAGGTTCCATTTTTCTTCCATTAAACTATCAAAAATATTTTAAAACTAAAATATACCATGGCAATGTCAGTATGATAGAACTTCCTCTCATACAAAATACAAATTGGCTCAACCATTTAAAAGAGCAATTAGGCAAACCATTTTTTAAGGAAGAAAATAAGGTTTATAATTTTTGACCAATAGTTACCTTTCTAAAAATTTATCCTAAGAAAATAATTCAAAATAGGGAAAACACTAACCAGGCTAATAATAACCACCTTTTCCTGAGTACGCATATAGATTAAAGCAGATTCTTTGTAGCACTGCACTTAAGCCACATAACACACTTGGAGTTAGGTACTATTTTCACCACATTGCAGATGAGAAAACTTCCTTTCAAAGAAAATAAGTAATTTGCTCAAAGTTGAAAGTCGTTAAATGGTGAAACAAAAATTTAAAGCCTGGTATTTCTCATTCCAAAATCCACATTCTTCCTTCTTATCCCATTGACTCTCAATATACATGTTCATTACGGTGTTATTTAGAATACTTCCAAACAGAACACAACCAAATTTCCAGTAACTTCTGCCTAATGGAATATTAATAAAGTCCAAGTCTTTTCAATAAATGGTGTTAGGGAAACTGAATATTCACATGCAGAAGAATGAAATTAAATGCTTATCTCACACCATCTACAAAAATCAACTCAAAATGGATGAAAGGCTTAAATGTAAGACCTGAAATTATGAAACTACTAGAAGAAAACATACAAGAAAAGCTCCATGATCTTGGCCTGGGCAATAATTTTTTGGATATGACCCCAAAAACAAAGTTAACTAAAGCAAAAATATACAAATGGGATTAGATCAAACTAAAAAGCTTTAACTTGAGGAAACAATCATCAGAGGGAAGAGACAACCTACAGAATAGGAGAAAATATTTGCAAACTATACATGTGATAAGGAATTAATATCCAAAATATATCAACAGGCTGGGCACAGTGGTTCACACCTGTAATCCCAACACTTTGGGAGACAAAGGTGGGTGGATCACTGAAGCCCAGGCCTGGATCACTTGAGACCAGCCTGGGCAACATGGCAAAACCTCATCTCTACAAAAAATACAAAAATTAGCTGGGTGTGGTGGTGCATGCCTATAGTGCCAGCTACTAGAGGCTGAGGTGGGAGGATCAATTGAGCCTGCAAGGTCAAGGAGGCTGTAAGCTGTAATCATACCACTGCACTCCAGCCTGGGCAACAGAGCAAGACCTTGTGTCAAAAACAAAACAAAACAAAGCAAAACAAAAACAAAAATATATAAAGAACTCAAAGAACTGTATGGCAACAAAACAGATAATCTGATTTAAAAATTTATATTTCTTTAAAAAAGACATACAAATGGCCAAGTACATGAAACAATGCTGAATATCACTAACCATCAGGAAAATGCAAATTAAAACAATGAGATTTTACCTCACACTTGTTAGATCTGGCCATTATCAAAGAGACAAAAGATAACAAACGGCGTTGAGGATGTGGGGAAAAGGGAATCCTGGCATACTGTTGGTGGGAATGTAAATTAGGACAGCCACTAGGGAAAACAGTATGGAAGCTTCACAGACATATTAAAAATAGAACTACCATATGATCCAGCAATCCCACTGCTAGGTATATATCCAAAGAAAATGAAATCGGTAGGTCAAAGAGATATCTGCACTCCCATGTTTACTGCAACATTATATACAATAGCCAAGATACAGAATCAATCTAAATATCCATCAATGGATGAATACAGTAAACATGGTATATATACCCAATGAATGCTACTTGGCTATAACAAAGAAGAAAATCCTGCCATTCATAACAATATAGGTAAACCTGGAGGACATTAGGTTAAGTGAAATAAGCCAGACACAGAAGGCAAGTATTGCATGATCTCACTCATACTTGGAATCCAAAAATGCGACTTCATAGAACTAGAGTAGAACAGTAGCTACCAGGGACTGAGACAGTTGAAGTATGGGAAGCTGGGGAGATGTTGATCAAAAGATACAAAATTTTAGATAGGAGGAATAAATTCCACAGATCTACTGTACAACATGGTGACTGTAGTTAACAACATGTATTGTATTCTTGAAAAATGCTAGGAGAATGGATGGTAAATGTTCTCCCCACAAAACGGTAACTTTGTGAGGTAATGCATATGTTAATTTGCTAGATTTTGTCAATCCACAATGTATATATACTTTAAAACATCATATCATATACAATAAATACACATAATTTCATCTGTCCTGTAAAGACATTTTTAATAACTTTAATTTAAAAATAAAATACAGAAAAAATACTGTATTATAAAATTCAGAAACATTTTAAGATTATATATCAGAATATAAATGAGATAAATGAGTTATCAAATTATTGCACATTCATTATTATATAAAACATTAATAGGAAAAACATTAGAAGGATATTCATTACAATAAGGTGATAGGATTATGCAAATACCTCTCTTTTCATCAATTTTCTAAATGATAGTTATTTATGTATGTATGTAGGTATTTTTAGACTCAGAGTCTCACTCTGTCACCCAGGCTGAAGTGCAGTGTGCGATTATGGTTCACTGCAGCCCTGAACTCCTGGAGAGCTGGGACTACAGGTGTTGGGAACAGGCCCCCCAAAATCTGGCCATAAACTGGCCCCAAAACTGGCCATAAACAAAATCTCTGCAGCACTGTGACATGTTCATGATGGCCATTATGCCCATGCTGGAAGGTTGTGGGTTTACTGGAATGAGGGCAACAAACACCTGGCCCGCCCAGGGCGGAAAACTGCTTAAAGGCGTTCTTAAACCACAAACAATAGCATGAGCAATCTGTGCATTAAGGGCATGCTCCTGCTGCAGGTAACTACCAGACCCACCCCTTTATTTCGGCCCATCCCTTCGTTTCCCGTAAGGGATACTTTTAGTTAATCCCATTTCCTATAAGGGACACTTTTAGTTAATTGAATATCTATAGAAACAATGCTAATGACTGGCTTGCTGTTAATAAATACGTGGGTAAATCTCTGGGGCTCTCAGCTCTGAAGGCTGTGAGACCCCTGATTTCCCACTTCACACCTCTATATTTGTGTGTGTGTCTTTAATTCCTCTAGCACCACTAGGTTAGGGTCTCTCTGACCAAGCTGGTCTCAGCAACAGGCATGCACCACCATGCCTAGCTACTGTTTTTGTTTTTTAGGAGATGTGATCTTGATATGTTGCCCAGGCTGGTCTTGAACTCCTGGCCTCAAGCGATCCTCCCTCATCACTGGGATTACAGGCATAAGCCACTGTACCCTGCTGGTTATATTTTTTGTTTTGTTTTCTTTTTTTGAGACAGAGTCTCACTCTTATTGCCCAGGCTAGAGTGCAATGGTGGGATCTTGGCTCACTGCAACCTCCGCCTCCCAGGCTCAAGTGATTCTCCTGCCTCAGCCTCCCATGTAGCTAGGATTACAGGCATGCGTCACCATGACTGGCTAATTTTGTATTTTCAGTAGAGATGAGGTTTCTCCACGTTGGTCAGGCTGGTCTCGAACTCTCAACCTCAGGTGATCTGTCCACCTCGGCCTCCCAAAGTGCTGGGATTACAGGCATAAGCCACTGTGCCCAGCCTATTATTTTTATTTTTAAAAATATACAACATTTTTAAAACTATTAAGAAAATATGCAACTGTAGGAAAATCAGACTGGTAATATACAGTTTAAAGTGCAGAGAAATAAACAGAGGCAGTAAAGTACATTGAAAAGAGCATACTACAGGTTGAATATCCCTTATTTCAAATGCTTGGGACCCGAAGTATTTTAGATTTCAGAATTTTTTGGATTTTGGAATATCTGCAGAATACATACTGGTTGAGAGTCCCTAATCTGAAAATCCAAAATCTGAAATCCTCCAATGAACATCTCCTTTGAGCATCATGTTGCTACTCAAAAAGTTTCAGATTTTGTAGCATTCGAGATTTCAAATTTTCGTATTAGGGATGCTAAACCTGTAAACTCTGAATTTGAATTCTGGTTTCAGCAATAACTAGCTGAATAACCTAGGAGAGCTACTTACTATCTCAAAGCCTCTGTTTCCTCATCTAAAAAATAAAGAGAAAAATACCTATTTACCAGGGTTAATATGAGAATCAAATGAAATGATCTATACTAAATATTTAATTAACCATTGAAGTGCTATGCAAATGTTAGTTATTATAACATAAGGAATAAGGAGTACCCTGGATCCTACATAAAAAGAGAAAGCTAGATCCTAAAGGTAATTTTATCCTGCGGTAAGTCCCACCCATTTTGAGGTTGTCACATTCCTCCAAGGCTGCCAGACATAGCACTGTATATATTTTGGTTTTCATGTAAGAAGCTGAAGGTAAATTCACAGGTTTGCTCCTCACCATTCAACAAACCATTAATTAGTAAGCTTCTACCATGTGCCAAGTACCGTATGCCTGGAAATCAGGCAATGCAGTAAGCTCCAGGGAACAACAGACAGGAAAGAATTATGTACGGACTGCTGCTGATAAACTGAGTGAGTGTACTTATGATTTTCTAATCCTTCCAAATATATTCCCTCTGGAATCAGCTGCAGATTGTGTTCGTTTTCTGTTTATCAAGAAATCATTCTTCTCAATTGCAACATAATAATGTTATCACTATGACTAAATCAGTGTATTTGATTTCGACCTAGTTTCACTGTCACAAATGATACCTGACTAGATAAAACCATGGATTATCAACAAGAAAGTGCAAAAGCAGAGCCTACTGAGAAACATTTTTGGACGTATCTTTAGATTAAAACACTAGAAAATATCACCTTGTTTTGAACTGTGGTTTGTTGTGATTTTAAGTGACACAATCAAAGATCTATTTCCTCTTCAACATGAACAAACTTAACTCACTAGGCCTTATTCTTTATAAATTAAAATTTAATTGTAAACATGGTAACAATATATGAATATCAATGTCTTATCTTGATGAAAGGCTATTCTTTTATCCGCCTCTTAATGTACAAACTCTACATTTCCTAAGCTGTAATACAACCAGCCCTCCGAATCTATGAGTTGCACATCCAGGGATTCAAGCAACCCCAGGTCAAAATACTAAAAAAATAAAAATTCCATCTTTACTGAATATGTATAGACTTTTTTCTTGTCATTAGTCCCTAAGCAATACAGTCTAACAACTATTTACACAGCATTTACACTGTATTACATATCATAAGTAATCTATAGATAATTTTAAATATACAGGAGGATATGTATAGGTTATATGCAAATACTACATAATTTTGTATCAGAGACTTGAACTTCTACAGATTTTGGTATCCACAGGGTCCTGGAACTAACTCCCCACAGATACCAAGGGACTAATATACTTATTTTGAGGTATTCTTTGTACTTCCTCAGTAGAATCCTAGGTGATTGTAACTAGAGGCATTTGAGATGTATGGCCCCACAAAGAACAGCCACTGTTGCTCATGTAGGGGTGATAAAAATGTAATCTCTTAGAAGAATGGTATATCACTTTTCTCTTATATGCTAAATCTTTTATGATCATTAAATATGCATTTTATTTATTATTTGATTTAGCTTCAATTTTATATACCAAGGGACAATTGTAGTAACTTTCTTCATGTAGGTGCACAATATCTAGGATGGAGTAAAAATAAAGATGAGAAGTAATCTGACATACTCCAACAACCCAGGAATGTCAGCTGCTCTCGTTCTTTTTACCTACTCCCTTACTCTCATCCTAAATCCCCTAATCTAGAGAAACGGAAGCTCCAGTCCTCACAGAGCAATGTTAAAAAATGATTACTTACAACAATACACTAAAACAAGAATATCCTACTTCTTAGCACAGCAGAAAAAAAATGGCTCATAGAAAAAAATAGTAACTGAAAACAGACATTCTGGAATCAGACAGAAATGGGTTCAAATTCTGGGTCTAGCACTGTAACCTTGGTCAAGTTTTTAATCTGTTTGAGACTTCCTTTCCTCAACAGTAAGATACCAATAAATAGAAAATTTTTTTCTACTATGAATAAAGTTTGGAGTAGAAGATATAGGTTCAAGTTCCAGTTATGTCCCCTAATTATATGACATCAGGAAATTAATATGATCACTGTGAGCCCCAATTTCTTCATTTACAAAAGATGGATGAAAATATCAGCTTTATCTTCTTCATACTTAGGGGGATCCAAGCCAAAAAATGATTTCTATAAAAATCCTTTCTAATCTGTAAAGAGTTTTATAACTATAAGATAGTTTTACTGATAAAATAATATGGTAGAAAGCAAAATCTAAAGGGAGAAAAAAAATTATATAATGATGGTGTGCCCATAAATTCCTAGAGGAATAAGAAAGAATAAAAAAAATCATTAATTTTCAATCTGTTGGTTATAACTTTCTGGCAATGATCTAAAAAAACAGGATTATATCATGAGGAAGAAAGATGATGATAACCACTGCAAATTAAGCAAAAAGAAAGTCAAAAGCAACATTACTTGCCATATATAACTCCTTATTGATGCCAAGATACTTTCCATTACCACATCCAATATCAGCCACTATTGAACCACTTGGCAAAGCCTTCAAAAACTCCACAATGTGCGGCCAAGGGGTATGTCTTGTGCTGCTGAAGTGCCCAGCAATCTCTTCATAAACCTGATGGACGTACTCTTGCTCCAGCCGTGAGGCTTCTTTATCACTCTCTGGAAATGAGGGGGGAGTCTCTTTCCTCTGGCTATCACAGACCAACGGGTAACCTTAATGAAAAAGCAATACACACCTTTCCTTTTTATCAGAATAACTCATAAGGTATCAAGTTTTCTTAAATGAAAAAAAAAAATCAATGCAAATTTGGTGGGTAGACAGACTCTGATTTATCCGTTAAAAGAAAAAGTTCTTCCCTAATAAGTCTACTGAGGACTGCTTGAGTCTGGGGGGCCAAGGCTGCAGTGAGCTATGATCGTGCTATTGCACTCCAGCACAGGTGACAGAGCAAGACGGTCTTTAAAAAAAGACAAAAAAATACCTAGTGTTGGTGTGGATAAGAAGAGAAGGGAGCTCTTGCACACTGTTGGTGGGAATGTAAATTAGAATGGTCATTATGAAAAACAGTACAGAGGTTCTTCAAAAACTTAGAAACAGGGGACTACCTGCCTTCGGGCCCCCTCTCACACAGAACCCACTTCAGGTTCAATCCCCTCTCGTATCAAGAGCTGTTCTGTCACTCAATAAAACCCTTCTCTGCCTTGCTCAAAAAAAAAAAAAAAATTAAAAATAAGTACTATCTTATAAACCAGTAATCCCAGTATGGGGTATATATCCAAAGAAAATGAAATTAGTACGTCAGAAAGACATCTGCACTCACATGTTTACTGCAACACTATTCACAACAGCCAAGACATGGAATCAAAGTGCCTATCAGTGAATGAATGGAAAAAGAAAATATGGTACATATACACAACAGAATACTATTCAGCCACAAACAGAAGGAAATCTTGCCATTTACAACATGGATAAACTTAGAGGATATTATGTTAAGTGAAATAAGCCAGACAGAGAAGGCAAATACTATACAATCTCACTCATATATGGAATCTAAAAAAAAGCTGATCTCACAGAATAGAGAGTAGTAGAATGGTGGTTACCAGGGGCTGGAGCAGTTGGGGTGGGAGCCGGGGAGATGCTAATGAAAGGATACAAAATTTCAGTGAGATAGAATAAGTCCCAGGGATCTAGTGTAAAACATGTGACTATAGTTAATAATAATATATTGTATTCTTGAAAATCACTATGAGAATAAATTCTTTTTTTTTTTTTTTTTTGAGACAGAGTCTCACTCTGTTGGCCAGGCTAGAGTGCAGTGGCATGATATCGGCTCACTGCAACCTCCGCCTCCTGGGTTCAAGTGATTCTCCTGCCTCAGCCTCCCGAGTAGCTGGGATTACAGGCGTGTGCCACCATGCCTGGCCAATTTTTGTATTTTTGGTAGAGACAGGTTTCACCATGTTGGCCAGGCTGGTCTCGAACTCCTGACCTCAGATAATCTGCCCACCTTGGCCTCCCAAAGTGCTGGGATTACAGGTGTGAGCCACCGCACCCAGCCGAG
This sequence comes from Homo sapiens, assembly GCF_000001405.40. Taxonomy (NCBI): domain Eukaryota; kingdom Metazoa; phylum Chordata; class Mammalia; order Primates; family Hominidae; genus Homo; species Homo sapiens. Next base: position 107,523,905 of record NC_000011.10, read on the forward strand.
AATAAATTTTTAAGTGTTCTCATCACAAAAAAGTATAAGTATGTGAGGTAATAATACATGTTAATTAGCTCAATTGAGCCATTCCACAATATATATGTATTTTAAAACATCATGTTGTACATGATAAACATTTATAATTTGGGGGGTTTTCTGTTGCTGTTTTTTCGTTTTGAGACAGGGTCTTGCTCTGTCACCCAGGCCACAGTGCAAGTGGCGCGATCATAGCTCACTGCAGCCTCAAACTCCTAGGCTCACACAATCCTCCCGCCTCAGCTTTCCTAGTAACTAGGACTACAGGCACACACCACCATGCCTGTCTAAATTTTGATTTTATTTTTTTGCAGACAGGGGGTCTTCCTATGTTGTCCAAGCTGATTTTGAACTCCTGGCCTCAAGCAATTCTCTTGCCTCAGCCTCCCAAAGTGCTGGGATTACAGGCATGAGCCACTGTGCCAGCCACAATTATTATTCATCTTAAAAAAAAATCTGTAAACTGAATCCCCAATAACAGCTTCTTACATTTAATAAATGCCCATGATAAACATTTGCATAAGAAAACTAGCTTGTCTCTCCAACTACACTTTAAGTTCCTTAAGAACAGGAGCCATGCTTTATTTTTCTATACCATGTAACTCACTATCTGCAATGTTCAATATTCATCAAATAATAAACATTTTAAATTTAACTTTTAAAATTTGATATTTTAAGGCTTCAAGGACACTTTTAGTAAAATAAAAAGCTCTTTTAAGCTTCAGTAACATCAGGATATAAAATATAGAAATTTCAAGTTTTCTAAAAGCATAACATTTTGTAGATATAGTAAGAGTTTTTAATTAAATGTTTTCAAGATTATGACTAAATCCAAAAGCTGTTGGTAGATACCACCCATAATTAAAACCCCCAAGATATAAAAAGGATTTTATTATTACTATCATTACAAAATATTATTTACAAAATGAAAGAGGTGTCTGTTAATTGAGTCAAAGAAATCCAGAACATGATGTACTTGTACAGACGATTCAAAATAGCATCCTCTTGACAAGTTTTTGAGCAGTTTTTATTCCCTTCTGAGTTTTCAAATTGACTAAAACATAAACTGTCGCTTATCTCCCTAGAGTTATGTACTATAGAACAATTTGTCATCTCCAACTTCCCTGTTGGATTAATAAGATATAATTTAGAAACTTGACAAACCATTCCCAACAATACCCGTTTTTAAACAAGTAATATTTTATTGCCCTTCAATTGTAGCACTCTTAACTGTTACTTCAATAAGTAAAACATTTATTGGGCACCCAACTCAAGTACTAAGTTTGGAAAAAATAAAGATGAGAAGATGCAGACCCTTGCCTTCAAAGAATGTAAACTCTAATGAGGGTCGTTAAGAAAAGTGCATGAAAGTGCAATACAAGGCAAAATACAGGAAATGCCATTAGAGAGATTCAGAAAAAGCTCTCCTAGGTGTTGACAGGACCTTAAAGGACTTTTATATTAAACTGACTCCATTTTACAGACGAGATAAGAGTATATACTTACTACAGTTACAAGGTGTTTGCCTCACTTTCCTAAATGTAAATGATGTTCGTAGTCCCCTCTTGCTTAAAGTTAAGTCTCCAACATCACTGGTGATAATTCCACTTTTAAGACTCTCAGATGCTTGAACAGTATCAAATTTTCTGCACGTGATTCTAAAAACAATAGTCAAAAAAATTTACTTAACATTGTATTAATAAAAATATTTCAGGCCTTTAAAAATGTTAAGTGAATAGAGAAAATCTAGAAGAATTTATTACAAATATCTATTGGATTCCCTGAATTGTTAGACATTGTGGAAAAACAAAGAAATAAAGGTATTTAAGGAAATTATCTTCATGACAATAATATTAAAAGAATGTACAACAAATTATTCCATGGGAAAATAAAATAAATATTTAATTAACACCAATTCTAAAAAAAACAAAAAAGAACAGATGATGCCAAGAGGAAACAAATAGATGGTAAATTTAAATTCATTATCAGTAATATATTAAACGTAAAAGTATTAAAAACTCCAATTAAAGAACAAAGATTACTGGACTGGATTTTTAAAAATTAAAAATAACTACATGGTAATTACAAGTCCACAGTTTGGGACTATTACAAATAAAGCTTCTGTGAACATTCTTATACACATCATTTTTGGATATATAGTTTTATTCCTCTTGGGTAACTACCTAGGAGTCAAATTGGTGGGTTTTAACAGGTAATAACGAGTGAAATTGGTGGGTCATAAGGTAAGAAACTTCTAGTTTTCCAAGGTAGTTGTAAAATGTTACACTCCAACCGGCAATATATGAGAGAGTTCCAGGCTAGTTAACATTCTCACCAACACTTGGTATTTTCTGAGTTTTAAATTTTAGCCATTTTAGTGAGTGGCATGTGGTATGAAATTGTGGTTTTAAGTTATTATTTATCTAATGACTAATGATGCTATACATCTTTTCATGTGCTTATTAGACACACATAGATCCTTTTTTGATAAAGGATCTGTCCAACCCTTTTGCCCAATTCCTTGTTAGATACAGATAGATACAGATATAGACGTAAACATAAATAAATAGCAGGTATTTTCTCTCCATGTGTGGCTGCCTTCTCGTTTTCTCAATGGTATCTTTAGATGAGCAGAAGTTTTTAATTTTGATGAGGTCTAATTTATTATTTCTTAATAGTGTGTTATGAAATCTCTCTTTAAAAAAACTTTGGCTACCTCAAGGTCACAAAAACAGTTTTTTATAAAGTTTCTTTTAGACCATTTTACACTTTTTGCTTTCACATTTACATCTATGATCTACCTCACATTAACTTTGTGAATGGTATGAGATAGATTCAGGTTCATTTTATTTCCATATGGATATTCAGTTGTTCCAGCACCATCTGATGAAAAATTTCCTTTCCACATTTAATTACATTGGTATCTTTGGCAAAAATCAACTGACCTTGTATGTATGGAGTTATCTCTGGACTGTATGCTGTCCTCCTGATCTATCTGTCTATCTGTACAACAATACTATTTTGATTATATAGCCATATAGTAAGTCTTAAAAATCAGGCAGAATAAATCCCCTAACATTGTTTCAAGATTGTTTTGACAATCACATTTCCTTATAAATTTTAGAATCGGTTTGTCAATTTTGTCAAAAAAAGAAAAGCCTTCTAGAGTTTTGACTGGAATTACACTGTCTCCATAGATTTTGGGGACAACTGATATATTAACCACATTAAGTTTCCTAGGGATAGCAATAATTTTTCTAGAATTTTCAGTCTATGTGTGTTGCATATCTTTTAAAAACTTATTCCTAAGACTCAGATCTTCTTGATTTACTCCAGGCAAGGTTATCTCTCTATGGAAGTGGGCTTCATATTCGCAGGGAATGTGCTAATCCTGAAGGATCTCAGCAAATTATATAAAAATATAATTTTTTACTTAAGTTGTTGATACCTCTTTACTATAATAACAGCCAGGTGATCTAGAAAGAGAAACGTCGACCTAAGATGGATTTGATCCTAAAATGAAAAACATAATGTATTTCAATTCTCAACTTTCATTTTGTCATTGCCATATTTCACTCCATCTGTTGTAAGAAACAGAATTCTCAGGCTAATTGCTTTTTAAACAACATCTCAATAAATTAATTCTGAGTACTGGAAAGGAAATATTTATGAGTCTTGATGCTATTTTAAATAGCATTTTTATTTCATCTTCTAAAAATTAATTTCTAAATATTGACCTTGTATGTCGCTAAATTCACTTATTAGTTCTGGAACTTGTATTGTAGATTCTCTAGGATTTTCTATATCCACAATAATGTAATCTACAAATAAAGAATTTTACTCCTTCCTTTCAAATATTTATGATTTTTAATTCTTTTTCTTGACTTCTCATACTGGCTAAGATATCCAATATAGCATTAAATAGAAGGAGTATGAGCGGACATCCCTGATTTGTTCAATATCTTTGGAAAAAACGTTCAATAGAATACCATTAAGTATATGATGTCAGCTGTGGGTTTTTCATAAATACCCTTTAACGCAATGAAGAAGTTCCCTTCTTGTCCTAGTTTGCCGGGCTTTATCATGAATGGGTACTAAATTTTGTCAAATATACTTTTTGCATCAATCAAGATGATTATGCTTTTCCTCCTTTATTCCTTTAACGTGATGAATTACATTGATTTTTGAAATGCTAAACCAACTCTGAAATACTGGTATAAACTCCGCTAGGTTATATTTTCTTTTTATGTATATTGCAGGATTTGACTTTCGAATGTTCTGTTATGGGTTTTCTCATCTCTGTTATGAGAGATGTTGGTTTGTAATTTTCTTTTATTTAATGTCTTTCACATGTTTTGGTGTCAAGGGTAATTAATGCCAGCCTCATAAAACAAAGTAGGAGAATGGCTTTTTTATTATTATGATTATTATACTTTAAGTTTTAGGGTACATGTGCACAACGTGCAGGTGGCTCTTTTTAAAAAGCTTGTCTTAAAGGCAATTTTGTAGAGGCAAAAAAAAGCAATCATTGCCCAAATTTACATTACTTTTGTTCTAAGAGCTATACATGATTAAAACTATGGTAGTGAACAAAGTCAAGGTATTTTAGAGGAATAAGTATCTTGAAGCTCTTGTTAGCAAGCTAATTCCTCTTTTGAAGAGTAAATCATTCTCTATTATGGTTCTTTTAAATCAATTACTTCACTTGCCTAAAGTTACACTTTAAGCAAAGGCCAAGGAGTTCCTAACTGCTTTTCCAACAATCTCAAATGTTTAAGAACAGGTAATCCATATGTTAAAGTAATGATTTATTTAAATACTGCTAAACATCTTTTTCCCCCTGCACTCAAATTATAATCAAATTGGGACAATATTCAATAAGAATATAAAAACAGTTTTATAGATTTAAATAATAGTTCAATATAATAGAAGAGACATCTCAAGGTAGTAGGAAACAATACAGACTTTAAAAGTTAAGATAAGGAATAAATTATTTCAAGTTTATGTAGTCAGGAAAACTTGATAAATTATGAAGGAAGTAAAAGAGCTATATGTTAACAGATACAGGGCTGGCAAATGTGTGAAGGTTAGAAGGTACAGGATAAGAGAAAAGGGAGCAAACAAATTTAGCCATAATATCATTGGTAAGAGCACAGATTCTGAAACCAGAGTGCCTGGCTTCTGATCCTGGCTCTGCGACTTACTGCTTCGTGACTTTGTACAAGTTACTTAACTTGTTTATGCTCCAATTTCCTTCAAAAATAAGGACAAAACCATGGAACAAACTTCCCACTATGATTGTGTAAATTAAATGAGTTAATATATGTAAAGTTTTTAGAACAATGCCTGGCACAAGGAAAATGCTCCAGAAATAATTTAAAAGGAGCATTCACATAATCTCATGAAATAATGCTTCCTGGGGCCAGTCAGATGGCATAAATAAATGAAACAGGTGAACTTGTTTAGAAATATATTGTTTATCATAGGATTAATTTTCATTTCAAAAAAGCAGAGTGCTCTGTGCCATTTTTCTTGAAACATACATTCTCATTCAGGCTAGCTTTCCATCTCCTACTTCTTTTTTTTTTGATATGGAGTCTCACTCTGTCACCCAGGCTGGAGTGCAGTGACGCGATCTTGGCTCACTGCAACCTCCGCCTCCCGGGTTCAAGTGATTCTCCTGCCTCAGCCTCCCGAGTAGCTGGGACTACAGGCACACGCCACTATGCCTGGCTAATTTTTGTATTTTTAGTAGAGACGGGGTTTCACCATATTGGCCAGTCTGGTCTCGGACTCCTGACCTGTGATCCACCCGCCTTGGCCTCCCAAAGTGCTAGGATTACAGGCATGAGCCACCGCACCCGGCCCTGTCTCCTACTTTTAATACAGACACGAGTTCAAGAAATACTCAATTTTCATGTAACTCTAAGATAAAAACAATAGTACAAGCACAGTGTTAAATGACAACTGATGCTCAGCCTTAGATCAGGGAGTAACAGAAAGGGGTAGGAACTGTAGGGAACTAGAGAAGTAGGCCCCCACCTAAAGAATGCTAGTGACACACAGTTTCAGGTACTGCTGCCAAGCAATACTAAGGTTCAATGTTATCAGATCTTCTCAATTTTCAAGAGAAGCTGAAAATTCAAATTTTTATGTGAAAACTCCTAATTTTTATATGTAGAAAACTGAAAAAAATAAACTGCCACCATGTGGACAACTATTGCATCAGCCAAATAGAAAATACCTGACTGTTAAGTTTACCCCTATGCTGCCCGTCTTCCACCTTTGATTTAAGGTATGATGGCTAGAATAGTAAATTTGAACTTGAACAAATAAAAGTTAGATTGAGGTATCTGGAATTAAAATTACAAGGCAGTGTTAACTTTTTTCAATCCATGTCCCTCTACAATGCTTTCTAGTGCTTTTGTTTCTTCAGCATAGAAATCAAAAAGTTTTATCAAGGCTTATTTCCTGTTATTTATACATGTTTTAAGTGTATCAAATATGCTTTTCCAATCTATTCTCTTTTCCACCCAAAGATTCTGATAAACATCTCAATGATTGGTGTATCATTGGTTATCTCTCTCTCTCTCTCTTTCTTGCCTCTGGTCTCTTTGCCTCCCTCCCTCCCTCTCTCCCCCATTTCCCCATCTCTCTCTCTTCCTAACACACACACACACACACACACACACACACACACACACACACACACACAGAGTGATGTTACAGGCAATGTGTATCAATGGCAGCCTTCAAAAATAATACTGAGGGTTTTTTCCCCTAAAAATACTGTAGAGAATTCTGATTCCAGAGCGAACATTAAAAATAAATATTACCTATAATCTAACTTTCCAGAGACAACTCTATTAACATTTAATAGCATAACATGCTTTCAGTAAGACAATAATGTGATCAAATGTTGTTTTAGGAAAATTAACCTGTACCATTATCAGAATAGATTAAAATATTTTCACAATATATCCATGAAAAGTAATTTCTTATTTTGTATTTGCTGTAGTAATACTATTACTTTTAAGAAGTTTAAACATTAGTGATAGCAAAAATGCTTGAACCCAGAAAAGAAAATGTCATTATTCTCAGAAGTATAAGAAGACCTGAAATTAATGGATCACATCATCATTTTTTTTTATTTTAAGTGCAAATATTTTAATGGCCATGAAAAAAAAATCACATAAATTTAAGCCCCAGTGCACAAAATCAGGTCATCATTTTTTAATGGCTCACATTTAGGACAGGTTATAAATTCTTTTACATGTTCATTTCCTTGAGTTTTTATAAAAATATGTCAGCTAAAATCTCTAAGCAGAACAGAATTAATAAGTACAGAACTCAGCAGTATTATGAGGGACAGTATATGTAAATTGCAGCAGTGTAATGGTCTCTCCTCAAAAGGCTAGAGATGTATCCCTAGCAGAAGCACATACTAATTTCTTTAGATTTTGATTAAACCAAACAAACTCAAATTGCAAAACATTCTATAACACAACCGGCCTCCTCAAAAGAGTCAATGTTATTAAGAGCAAAGGAAAGTTGAGAAACTCTTTCAAATAAAAGACTAAACAGAATTGACAAGACTTAAACATAATGTGGGATCATAGACTGAATCCTCGATCAGAAAGAATGCTTAAAGCACTATAACATACAACTAGCAATATTTGAATATGGATTGTATAAGAGTATAATAAGAGTATTTTATCAATGTTGAATTTCCTGAATTTGAGCACTGCACTGTGGTTTTATAGAACAGAGCTTGGCCAACTTTTTCTGTAAGGGGCCAGAGAGTGAATATTTCAGGCACTGAGGGCCACACATAGTCTCTGTCAAATATTCTTCATTGTTTTTTTGTCTTACAACCTTTAAAAATGTAAAAACCATTCTTAGCTCAAGAGCTGTACAAAAACAGCCTGAGAGCTGAATGTGGCCCACTAGCCATAGCTTGCCAATCCCTGACATACACAATGTCCTTGTTCTTAGGAAATACACAATGAAGCATGGAAGAGTAAGCCATGATGTCTATAACTTACTCTAAAATGATTCAGTAAAAATAATAATGATAACATATGTGAGAGAGAAATAAAAAATGTCCCAAATATTCAAAATTAGTAAATGAAGGTGAAAGGTGAAGGGAGTTCACTGTACTATGCTTGCAAGTTTGCTATAAATTAAGAATTTTTTCCAAGTAAAAAGGTAATGTTTAACAAAAACGAAACTAGATAGATGCCCCTAGGAGTTCTGAACCCAGAAGCCTCAATCTGCAGGCACAGGGCATGGTCCCCGTGGCTCAAACACAGAAGAATGAGAAGTCTCATAAAGAAAAAGAATCCTGTCATATTTCAATACATACCCATGGGTCCAAAGGTATCTAGATTCTCCTGTCATCACCAGCAAACTCCGACGAGGCAACATAACTGGCACTGCAATGCCATCTGGGTGCTTAAAATCCATGACAATCTTGAAGCAAAGATAAAAGCATAAAGATCAATCCAAAATTTCATATACTCCAAGGATAAGAATGATTAATAGAGTTTGGCTATTTTTCTAGGCTAACAGAGATTAAAACATAATAATGCTTGCAGAAAAGCATAGCACAGTGGTTCTCAAACTTTACTGTACATGAGAATCAACTGAATGACAAAAAAAAGGTATTTCATCCACAGAGATTCAGAATCAGTAGGTCTGGAGTAAGGCTCAGAAATCTCCACATCTAATAATCACCCCAAGAAATTATGAAGCAGGTGGTCTCAGGATCACACCGTAGAAAACAGCAGAGTAGAGGTCAAACACAGGGACTTTGGAGCTGAAACACTCATATCCTGGCTCTTCCATTTATTAGCCACGTGACACAGGACAAGCCATTTAACCCCACTCTGCTTCTCAACTCTTACAGTATTTTACATAAATTATATAGACAATTATAAAGATAATCACAATAACTGGCATACAGTATAATAAATACACAAAAACTAGCTATTGTTTTTATTATTCATAGAATATTAATAATTAATAATCTAAGAAGAAATAAATATTAAATGCACCTTTAAAGTAATGTAACATACTGGGATTAGAGGCTGATTAATAAAGAGACAATCAAAAAAAAAGGAACATTTTCGGCAACTTTTCCTAAGTTATGCTCAAATATTATTCTGAATAGCAACCTATAATGACAAAATATCCAAGAAAATGCTTGTGCCCTAGGAACCCATCAAAAACCAAAGACTTCAGTCTAAAAATAGCAGCAGCTGACAAATATGAACTTAAAAGGCTTACTATAGGGCTGAAAACTATTCTTTTAAGGGAACAAATCAATCCATTTGAAAAATAGATATGACAACCAACTGTAAGTGGGACGAAAATAATTCAGCATAGTACCTTCCTTAAAGGTAAACCTGCATAGTACCTAGTACAAAGTAAGCATTCAATAAATGGTAGCTACTATTACTATTAATAGTAATATTGGATCAAATGAGATAATACACATGAAAATTCTCTGTAAACTATAAAAAAGTATACAGAGCTAAAGTAGTTTTCTTCCTTTCTAACCTATCCTTCCAATCTAAGTATGGAAAATAAAGTCATGTGATAGAGTTTAATTTCCTAACAGTTATCTGTTCCAGATGTCTACATATAATTTCATATAGTCATACCCTGAAAGCATTCGAAACACCGGAGATTAATTCTGAAGTTTTTAGAGATGAAGTGTATTGATACCTGCAACCTTCTTAAAATGTATACATAAAAGATGGACCAATAAACAGATAAAGGGATGAGAAGATGGTTAGATTATTTGGTAAAGCAAGTATATTAAAATATTAATTGTAGAATCTAGCTAGTAGACATATAAGTATTTACTGTACAATTCTTCAACTTTTCTGTATGAAAATATTCATAATTGGCTGAGCGTGGTGGCTCATGCCTGTAATCCCAGCACTTTGGGAGGCCGAGGTGGGCAGACCACTTGAGGTCAGGAGTTTGAGACCAGCCTGGCCAACATGGAGAAACCCTGTCTCTACTACAAATACAAAACATTAGCCGGGCATAGTGGTGGGCACCTGTAATCTCAGCTACTCAGGAGGCTGAGGCAGGGGAATTACTTGAACCCAGGAGGCGGAGGTTGCAGGGAGCTGAGTTCACGCCACTACACTCCAGCCTGGGAAACAGAGCGAGACACCGTCTCACCAAAAAATAAATAAATAAATAAATAAATTCATAATAAATTGTTGGGGGGAAATGGGAAAACCACAGTGGCCTCTTTTTAAACCAATTTATATAGGTTTCAGTTTTGTTAATAGAAGCCAAGGCCCACACCTCGAAAGAATAATGAGCATATTTATTATTAGAGACAATTATCTGTGGCTTAAAGGAAATCCATGCCCAGATATCCAGATGAAAACTGTCATGATGGGAAAATATTCTAGAAGACTAGACTCTAATTTGTTAGACAAATTTTATTAATCGTTTGGTGAGATATCAAAGGCTACAAGAGTGAAGAGAGACAAGCTCTATATCCACCTAGAAGTTACACTTTTTGGCTAATATTGAACATGTTTTACAAAGGCACAATACATACGTATTTGTGAAATTCAAACTTATTCCCTCCCATCAACGGACAGTAGTGATTTTCAAATAGGAAAATTTCAGCTTAAACAAGTGATTAGAACTCACAAGAGATATATGAACATGATATTAGTTAATTTTGAAACACCTGTCCTGGCATATACAAGCCAAGTTTCAAGGAGGAAAAATATACAACCAAATAAGCTAAATGTTTTTCTTTTTCTGTATCAAATTGACCATTCCTCATCTTTTTTTTTTTTCTCAATAGGTTTTTGGGGAACAGGTGGTGTTTGGTTATATGGATAAGTTCTTTAGTGGTGATTTCTGAGATTTTTGGTGCACCCATCACCCGAGCAGTGTACACTGTACCCAATGTGTAGTCCTTTACCCCTCACCCCCGCAACTTTTCCCCAAAGTCCCCAAAGTCCAATGTATCATTCTTATGCCTTTGCATCCTCATAGCTTAGCTCCCACTTATGAGTGAGAACATACAATGTTTGGTTTTCCATTCCTGAGTTATTTCACTTAGAATAATAGTCTCCAGTTCCATCCAGGTTGCTGCGAATGTCATTATTTTGTTCCTTTTTATGGCTGAGTAGTATTCCATTGTCTATATATACCACATTTTCTTTATCCACTCGTTGATTGATGGGCATTTGGGCTGGTTCCATATTTTTGCAAATTGCAAATGGTGCTGCTATAAGCGTGTGTGCAATTATCTTTTTTGTACAATAACTTCTTTTCCTCTGGGTAGATACCTGGGAGTGGGTCTGCTGGATCAAATGGCAGATCTACTTTTAGTTCTTCAAGGAATCTCCACATTGTTTTCCAAAGTGGTTGTACTACTTTACATTCTGACCAATAGTGTAAAAGTGTTCCCTTTTTTACCACATCCCTGCTAACATCTTTTATTTTTTAAATTTTTTTATTATGGTCATTCTCCCAGGAGTAAGGTGGCATTGCATTGTGGTTTTGATTTGCATTTCCCTGATAATTAGTGATGTTGAACATTTTTTCACATGCTTGTTGTCCACTTGTATATTGTCTTTTAAGAATTGTCTATTCATGTCCTTAGCCCATTTTTTGATATGATTGTTTGTTTTTTTCTCACTGATTGAAATTCTTAACTTTATCTTTGAACTTGTGTTAAATGAAGTCTGATGTAACAATGGAGTATGGGCTTAAGCAAGGAGATGCACGCAATATGCTTGTCCACAGTTCCTTGAGGCCCATTTGGGTAATGTGTCCACAATGTCCCATGAACACAGAAAGTGTGAGAGTTCACCGAGACTCAGAGTACACAGTAAGCACTTTATGTCTACCACTGAGTGAGTGAGGGTACACTGACAGCCTAGAGGGTCCTCCAGAACTTGCTTCAAATGTAGAAAGAAGACAATGGTGTTCTAAGAAACACAAGCAATCAAGTGTTAAATTAAATTTAGCCTAAAGTTAGTTGCCTCCTTATAAGTTCAGCCTAAAGGTTCTTCATACATAGTGAACTGTAATCTAACTGGATGTCTAAACAGACTGCTACCTACTATTTTACCAATCACTGAGTTTCACACAATAAAGGTGGCCATCTGTTCAAACCATGTCCACATAAGGCAAACGCCAAGCTGTAACTAATCCAGGTGTTTCTGTACCTCACTTCTGTTTTCTATATGTCACTTTACTTTTTCTGTCCATAAATTCTCTCCAACCACTCGGCAGCACTGGAGTCTCTCTGAACCTATTCTGGTTCAGGGCATTGCCTGATTTATCAATCATTCATTGCATAATTAAACTCAATTAAATTTAACTTGTCTAAAGTAACACAAGGAACCCCACCATCATATCCTTTCTTATTCATGTTACTTCCCTGTGTTAGCCAACTGCTTAACAGTGAAAATGATGATGTAGAAGAATACGGAATGACAGGACAACCTGAAGGCTGAAAGAAAGAGCTCAGAGTAGTGGATTAATGCAATAAGCCAAAAATGAAAGTTGATCACTTATTGTGATATAATAGCATAAACAAAGGTCTAAAACCAGAGGAAGCACCAACTCCCCCCAGTCCCATTTTTCTCCACTGAACACTGCATGACTTGAGGTTGAGGTGGATCATCTTGAATGTGGGGATTGTCTCACTGCTGAGGGAACCCTGAATGAAAGGTTCCAGCAGTGTTATAAACTCAGCGGTAAGGGGAAGGGTGAGTGGGAAAGACTAGGAATTGAAAAGTAGCTAGTACCAAGTCAGAGTAAGGAAAATGTCTTTGAGGTTTCCAACTCCCTCCTCCACAAAAAGGCCTCGGCAGAGGTGCCTGAAGAGGACGTCAGCCAAAGACCTCAGATAAAGAGTTCGAGGAATGAAGGTGTCTAGGCTAGGAATGCAAATAGGCATAAGAGCATAACCAGCCAGGGACGTTTGACCCCTTCATTACAACTCCACTTAGACTGTAATGCACTGGCTGTGCATCAAGTCTACTATGAGGAGGGCAGCTTTTTCCCCCATGAGGCCACCAGGTAAAGCCTTTGTCATCACCTATGGTGAGGCCTGAAAAATCACATAGGGTTTCAGCCTGGAGCCAGACTCCTGAAAATTCATAATTCCATTTCCTTCCAGTCCTTCTAGAAGACAGACAATGTTAGCAGAAGGTGCACAAATCAAGAAGTGAAACAAAAATGGTTATTGTTGGGTTAGTTTTGTGCAGTGTTTCCACTATTCTGGTAAAAATGATCACAAATGAATGTACAAGTACAAAATACAAATTGTTTAAGTTTGGTGATTCCCAATAGCAAAGACATGGAATCAATGTAAATGCCCATCAATGATAGACTAGAACAAGAACATGTGGTACATATACACCATGGAATACTATGCAGCCATAAAAAGGAATGAGATCATGTCCTTTGCAGGGACACAGATGGAGTTGGAAGCCACTATCTTCAGCAAACTAGCACAGGAACAGAAAACCAAATACCACATGTTCTCACTTATAAGTGGTACCTGAATGATGAGAACACATGGACACATTGAGGGGGAACATCACACACTGGGGCCTGTTGGAGGGGGTGGTGGGGGAAGGGAGAGCATCAGGAAGAATAGCTAATAGATGCTGGGCTTAATACCTAGGTGATGGGATGATCTGTGCAGCAAACCACCATGGAACATGTTTATCTATGTAACAAACCTGCACATGTACCCCTGAACTTAAAATAAAAGTTGAAGACAAAAAAAAAAAAAAATTTGGTGATTCCATATGAGTTACATGTTCTTACATTTGCATTTAAAACTAGTGTCACACAATATGAAGACAAATGGTAAAATTCATGCCAATAAATCAAAATTTAGATTTCTTTACACTGATGGCACTAAATAGAAAATAAAAACCACTTTGACAAGATGAGAAAGACCACAGAAGGAAAAGCTTTATACTTTAGTGCCTTTCTGGTCCATTTTCCTATGTTTTGAATAAGGAGTCTATACTTTCATTTGGAATTGGGCCCCACAATTTAGATAGCCGGCCTTGGAAGTTCTGAATTTTTTTTTAATGTTGTCAATCTATTTTATGACTACAAGACACAAAAACACAATTTCTTCATATGCTTACAAAGCCCCCATCTTGATCAGATAAATATTCGCTCCTATTTTATTACAGATTTTCTGTTTTTTTTTACACATTTTATCCTTTATATCTCTGAAACTTATTTTGGCATATAATTTGACAGTATATTTTTTTAAATTTAGATATAATTTTACTTATAAAATTAAATGTAGACTTCCTATGAAAATTACATTTTTCCTACAACATTCCATCATCAAAATAAAGTATTTTCAGTATCATCATATTTAAACTATCTGTACTTTAACTAAATGCTTGTTAAAAGACCACAAAATAAAAAGACTTTAAAAAAATATTCAATCAATAAAGTTCCCCTGAAACTGCTGAATCATTCTGTTATGTGAAAATTTTGCTCCACAGGAGCTTTTTCCAATTATTCTTTTTGTTTTTACCTATTTTCTGAGATGGCAGAGTCAATAAAGATCAAGTGCCCAGCAAGCTTATAGGGCATGACTGAGGATAATGTTCAGTCCTAAGCAAACAAACCCTTAGACATTCTCATCTTATACAACTTTCACACATCCAAAATACAAGAGAACAAAAATGCCAGACACAGTTATCAATCTATCAACGAAGAAAAGTTAACATTCATAACAGAAAAGCACATGAAGGAATAAACAGATCTCCATGTTGGCTAAATAGGATAAAGAAGAATATACGCTACTGGGAACACTTCTGAGAAAGAAGACAAATTTAATCCTGATCCTTAATGGTTAGAAAGAGGCCGAGATGATTAACCTTTTTAGAGAAATCCCTAAAGAATAGCTGGACAGGGGACAATATGATGTGAAAAACGATGTGTGATTCATAGAGAATGATAAAAGCTAAGAGGGCAGAACTTACTATATTTAACTAGAGAAAATATTTCATAGCTGAAAGTTCACCTGTTTCCCACAGTCTACCAAACAGAAATATTCTATAGTTGTGCTAACAATTTCATTTGACCCAAATGAAGTAAGAGTTTCCTTTTTATTTTAAACAGCAAAGAGGAAATTCCACAAAAGGTGATACCCGCAGAAGTACACTTTGCTAAGCTGAAAAGTAACTGGAAGAAAAGCTTGCTGGTATTTTCCAGGGCAGAGGAATTGACAGTAATTTTGCCCTGGAGACACCTTGGAGACTAATGGCTGATGCTAGTGACCTTTAAACCTTCTACCTATGCCATATGGCCTCCTCCTTTAGAATAGGTTAAAATCAAGGCCCACTGGCTAGGTGTGGTGGCTCACGCCTGTAATCCCAGCACTTTGGGAGGCCAAGGTGGGCAGATTACTTGAGGTCAGGAGTTTGAGACCAGCCTGGCCAACATGGTGAAACCCCGTTTCTACTAGAAATACAAAAAATGGCCGGCATGGTGGTGGGCGTCTATAGTCCCAGCTACTTGGGAGGCTGAGGCAAGAGAATCACTTGAACCCAGGAAGTGGAAGTTGCAGTGAGCCAAGATCTCACCGTTGCACTCCAGCCTGGGCAACAGAGCGAGAATCCACCAAAAAAAAACAAAAACAAAAACAAATCTAGGCCCACCACAAACCTGTTTCCCTTCCCTGATTCCTACTGGTAAGGGATGTTTAAAAAACAAAACAACAACAAAAAGCAAAAACAGAAAACAACCCCCACACACAGGAAACTTAAATCCATTGGCTAAATGTCTTGAAAGTTAGAATCCCCAAATTACAAAGTCTTATGAAGCTCGAAGGAAAAGTGGCAATGTCACCAACACATCCTGTAATCAACATACAGGACCTCCCATTTGAAAGTGACTAAAAGAAAACAAGTTCTATTCCCTTGTTCTGAAGCCAGCGGCAATTTCATAAAGTACAAGCCTCAATAATCTGGTCATGAGAGGAGAAAAACTGCACACATGAGCACAGGATGGTGCCCTATGGCATCAAAGAGTGGGCGATGAAGTGTTACGGGCAGCAGCTAAATACCACTGTGGTCCAAAGGCACTTATTTCTCATTGCTACTGAGAGAAAATGAGAGGCAGAACATCGTTTGCCTCTCTGGTGTAGAAGCTTTCCTAGTTATCAGGTACCATGCACACATTTAGGGTATATACATCTGGGAATGTGCCTGCAGTACTGCATATGTGAAATAGGCAAAATTAGATCCAGCAAAAAGTTAAAAAGAAAACACCACAAAAAAATCTATTGTATAGCAAAAGTTGGCAAATTCCACCTTTCAAATACAACCCTGACTTCCAAAACTAGGCCTCAGCTGCTGAACAAATAGATTCTGCCCTCTCTTACTCTTCACCCCCAAATACAGATGGCTTTGAACTGTTTTGTCTAGCTAAGCTCAAGTGTAATGTAAAATAAAAATAAAAGGCATCTTTCTGGCTAACGGTCTAGACACACTGTCAAATGTTACAATACAGAACAAAATATATGTTGCATAACTGGAAAATCAGCTAAAAAAGAAAATGCTAAATTGGAGACACTTTAGCCACCATTGCACATCCAATATTATAAATGCTTAGCTTAAATGCCTAACAGATAATATATTATGTTGATGTGTTTACACTGAGACCACTTGCTTTGAGCTCTCACTTATATACCATGGCTTCATTTATTTGCTTCATTTGTTTGCAGGAACTATGAAGTGAAATCCACCAACATTCAAAAATGGGCTCACAAACCACTTCGATAAAATTAAGTTTTACTTTACATATGAAAAGGTTATAGAAGAAATAAAATATTTTAGCTTAAAAAATATTTTAAATTGTATCTTTGTTTACTTGTTACAGTCTGTCTAGTAAATTATATTCAACAAATATTTTTGAATGAATGAATGAATTCATCATAAATAATGTATTTTTACAAATAGGGTGGTGTATATTTTATATTTGTACAGAAGACTTCCTAAATTCTATTTGTTTATTTTCTGGGCTTTCCTCCTTAAGCAAAGTAAACCATCAGATTCACAAAGAACCAAAATGAGACAGCTAGAGTAATAAGAACAACAGTCATGGGTATATCTATTCCTGAGGCCCTAGATTGCTCCCCATGAGGAAAAGTTCACTTAATATAGCATCTACCACAGTCTCTAGCACAGAATAGTTAGCTGTTGGCGATAATGATCATGGCAATGGTAGTGCTGATGGTCAAAGGAGTAAAAGCCATAGTAGCTACTATTCATATTACTAACTGTGTATCAACTCCTGATGACAATTAAAATGCAAGTATTACATGTCAACTTCAATTTAAGACAGAAAGCACCGAAATTGTCTCCATAGTCAATTAAAAGTTACTAATAGGGATAAGCTAAAACCCAAGTCCCCCAACTAGTCCAGTATTTAATTCAGCCCTGGTACAAACATCCCAGGATCTGAAACCAATACACATAGTCTTTAACTTCTTCAGTTTCTAGTATTGCACTGGAATATTTAATTGAATGATGATTAGAACTACCATTGGGGGCCTATATTAATTTCTATTTATTCTTTGTCTTAAAGAACAAAGCTAAAATCCCACTGTCCTTGGAGTTGATACTACACAGCTTTAGCATTTCAGCATTTTCTAACTCAATGGTATAAAATCTAGCTAAATAACAAAATCACCTGTGAGCTTTCTATAAATGTAGAAAGCCAGCCTCCATATCAGACATTCTGAATCAGAATAAGACACAGTACCTGCTCTGGAAAAAGATAGCCTAGCAGGGGAAACAGAAAAAAATCACAGGGACCTCAAATATTCAAATATCAGAAACAGGCTATAAAACAAAGATGCTTACCATGTTTAAAGATATAAATGCTAAGCTTGAACATTTCAGCAGGGAACAGAAACGATAAAAAAGAGACCCTGTAGATATAAAGAAAAACCAGACATTCTAAAACAGAAAAATGCCGTAACTGAAATTAGGATATCAATGAATGAGCTTAACAGCATATTAACACAGCAAAATAAAGAATTAGTGACAGAAGAAACTATTTAGAGTAAAGCATGGAGAGACAAAAGATAGAAAACACAGAAGACAGGATAAGTAAAATAAAAAATGTAGAAAAAAGGTAAATGAAGAAAGAATGGGGGCAGGGGCAAAATCTACAGAGGCAATTACTAAGCATTTTCCAAAATTGATGGAAAAACTCAATCTACAGATTCAAGAAACCTGGTAATTCCCAAGCAGAATAAACAAGCCAATCAAAATAAGCAGAATAAGCAGGATCATAAAAATAAAACAAAAGATAAAAGCAAAAAATCTTAAAAGAACCTAGAGAAATAAACAAAAGTCACCCTCAAATGTAACAAGAGCAATAACATAAGCCACAAAAAAGTAGATGAAATCTTTAGTGCATGAGGAAAAATTAGTGCATGAGGAAGCTTGTGGGAATGATGGATATGTTCATTATCTTGAGTGTGGTGAAGGTTTCATGAGCTTTTTATTAAGTATGTGCAGTGCTTGGGACGTCAGTTATATCTCCACAAAGCAGTTTTTAACAGAAAACATGGGATGCAATAAAGCGGTACTTAAAAGCAAAATTTATAATCATTGAAATACATTTCAAGAATATTTGACACCAACCAGGTGCAATGGTTCATGCCTGTAATCCCAGCACCTTGGGATGCCAAGGTAGGGCAGACTGCTTGAGCCCAGGAATTCAAGACCAGCTTGGGCAACAGGGCAAAACCCCGTTTCTACAAAAAATACAAAAATTAGCTGGGCATGGTAGCTCGTGCCTGCAGTACCTGCTACTAGGATGGCTAAGGTGGGAGGGTTGCTTGAGACTGGGAGGTCGAGGCCGCAGTGAGCCATGAGTGTGCCACTGCACTCCAGCCTGGGCAACAGAGCAAGATCCTGTCTCAAAAAACAGGAATATTTGCCATGTTCTGAATGTTCTAATGACAGTGGGGTCATTAACCAGAGCAGGAAACCCAGAAAGAGCAAAGATTTTGTTCCGTATGGGAGAATGACAGTGGACGGTGAATCGCTGAAAACAAAGACAATGAGCTTTGATTTAGACAAGTTAAAATCCCTTTTAGAATGTTGGATATAGGCCAAGGCGGGTGGATCACAAGGTCAGGAGTTCAAGACCAGCCTGGCCAAGATGGTGAAACCCTGTCTCTACTAAAAATACAAAAATCAGCCACGCGTGGTGGTGGGCACCTGTAATCCCAGCTGCTTGGAAGGCTGAGGCACAGAATTGCTTGAACCCGGAGGCGGAGGTTGCAGTGAGCCAAGATCACACCACTGCACTCCAGCCTGGACAACAGAGAGAGACTTCGTCTCAAAAAAAAAAGAAGAATGTTAGATATTCAGGTCTAATATCTGAGGGGAAAAAAATCAAGGTTGAAGGTATTTCTGTATCCCCTAGAATGCACAGGACAATGCTGGTCACATAAGTAAAAGTTCTTTTAACCAACATCCATTTAACCAACCAACATGCTCCATTCCTTCTATAATGTGTACCCATGCCCTGAATATTTGTTGATGATAGACAACTCTCCAATATGTCCATGCACTTCTATTCTCACCAGTAGAGCTATATGCTTAACAAGTCAAATTGTGTATGTTCCCAAATCACTGTGCCAGTTACCCTTATCATTGTAATTATTTTATTTAATTTAATATTACATAAATGAATGAAAATTAAGCGAGAAAAGATAGCATTTTTCTATAGAAGCCAAGTTGAATATTGTAGAATGACTCAATAAAGGCAAAAAATAAATTTAATGTTCCAATAAATGTGAAAATTTGATTATAAAATATTGGAAACAAAAACATCAAAATGTAAAACCCCACATTCAGATGGTTTCATGTCTTTAAACGTTTGCTTCACTTTAAAGAAATGAAATTGGAGAGACAAAGCAGACTGTGGCCCCTCACAGATGCAAAGACTTTGGCCCCGCAACAAAATATTGATGAGTGAATTTATATGTGTTAAAATGTCTGCAGTATGTACATATCTTTTATTATGACTATTCCCTAATTTAAGTGCAGCCAACTGGTAGTTTCATCTATACCACTTAAGCGGGCTTCTACTGTAGTTTTCTGAACTCTATTGATTTTTCTGAATTTTATTCTAGTTCTACAATCCAGATGGAGTGATATAATGCTGCTTTCTTGCTACAAAGTAAATGCACATAGTTCTAACTGAAAAGATGGAAGAATCAGTACTCCAAAGGCTCCAAATACAGCAGCATGTTCTATTTTATGATGTCATGCCATGAAACAGACTTTGTTAGCAGACTGCTGGCTGAAACAGGTATACTTCTTTGACATTATCCTTATTGAAGGGGCTTGACTAAAGAAGCTCCCACTCCACAGAAAAAAGATAAAGAGTGCCTGTTAAGAACTGTCAGCATTGAGTCTTATTTGACCAATTTATGCAAAAGAGAATGCTGGCTTCCAAGAGATCCTGAAAGATGAGAAAATTACATAAAAATAGAAGAATCTTCAGAACTTAAGTTACTAAGGAAAGTGCTTAAAAGTGAAAAATAGAATTCAATGTATAAAAAATGACATGATCAAACAAGGTAGACCATTTATTTATTTCTGGCCCACAAACCAGCAGATCTACTTGTCTACTCCAGAAGTTTTGAATGTTAGAGACCCACAGGATAAAAGGAAAAATGAAGATTGGCCCAATGCCACTTTAATTATACTATGATGCAACTAAAGAACCCACATGAGAATTACACTCTTTTCCCACATCTACATCAATATACATATAGAGCCATACAGAAGTCACCATGGCTTTAGATACAAACCACACACACACACACACACACACACACACACACACACACACACACAAAGAAGGAGAAATACACACCCACCAGGATGGTAGATCACTATCTTTTTAATGCTAAAGGCACTACAGAGACAGAGTAAAAAAATCATAAATAAGCTATAAAGAATGAGAGAAAGGAGAGAGGAGCTACACAGCAGAGACAATCCATTTTTCAGAACTTCAGGAAATGAAAATATTCCAAGGACTCTCAGATAAGAATAAAGTATGGGGCCTGGAATCAAGATAAAAACTAAAAGAAGAGATTGTTTGGCTTCTGAGGCTGTAAACATTGCTTATATAGGCAAATATTGAGGGCTGAATTTGAGGTTGGAGATGAAGCCAGTATGTCTGCGGTCCAGACTGTATTGTTGTTTTAAGTGGTATAAAGAAAATGTCTGGGTGTTTTTTCCAGTTTGTGCTAAAGATCTGAAAATAATGAAACATTTGTCCATTAAAACAATAAACTCTTAGAACAGAAGTACCCTGTGAGTCATTCTGATTGACCAGACTGGGAATACAAAACAAAAAACAATGACTAAAAAAACCCATTCAGCTAGGTATTTCAAGATACTGCATAAATAATTTTTACTCAGTACCCTATGACTCAACATAGGAGTCAGGCAGGACTCAACAGGTATTTGCTGAAAGCATGAGCCTGGAAAGAGAGCAGGAAATATACTGAAAGACGTGGCCTTCTATAGCAAACATTCAGCAGATGGGGTCTTTACTACCCAACTATCCAATTATCCCCACCCACTGAGTTGCAAAAGTCATCATAATAAGAAATATTTACTGATGAACGGACTTCCATAAAATTAGTACTTGCCCAAATAGCTCTCTCTCTCTTCAATATCAGCAGCTATCTCTGCCCATTATGGTAATCCCTTTGGTCAGTCTTTCAGTGAATGTTGATTATATAAATACTAGCCAGTGCAATGCAAACCCAAAACTAATTGAAATTGCAATTCTCACAAAAGATGGACTTCCCGAAATTGATAAAAGGGATGTCAGAGGACCATTTAAATCACATGCAAATCCATTAAACATCTGAAAATCTGGCAGAGTCAGGACTTTCACAACGAAGAGAAAAATAAAGCAAATAACACAACAACGCACTCTTTATAATCAAGCTATAAAAGTCAAATAAAGGAATTTTTATCATGCTACCATATTTTATCAGAAAAACAAGACCAAAAACAAAGTTCACGTGACTCATTCTTTGTTCTAAAAAATTAGTACATAGTTGTAATATAACCTAAAAATTGTTAAATAAAATTTTTCTTTAAAAATCATCTTCATAAATTTTAGTTTCGTTTTCCCAGATAAGTCCTAATCAAAAGTTTTCTTCCTTATTTATAATAGAAGTTAGGTATTGGTTTTAGGGAGATGCACATTAAATAGTTATTTTCATTATCAGCTGACCAACTCTTACGGTACTTGATGAACTGAGTTATCTGCCCAACAACATTACTAGTTTATTATCATAAAAGGTTATAGCAAGGGCATCTCTCAAAACATGCCTGGCCAGCAAAGGCAGGCTGCAATTTACGGCAGGACAAATTCATCAGTGAAGGATTACCTAAAAACAAAAGCCTAGTAGACTTCACAGGTATATGTTATTGTCATATAACCCGATGCAGCCTACTCCTTGGATATTTCCCTAAGCTCATCCTCAGTTAGGGGAGCACTGAGTATTTGAGATGGAAAGAAATTGGTTGGTTCCTTGATGAAATTACCGACCTGAGCCAACAAGTTAAAACTTTTGGAACCAGCCTTCCTTGAGATATCTTGTTATATGAGATATTAACTTGTTTTGCCTTGTAATCATTTTTATTTGGGTTTTCTGCTGTTAATTGCAGCTAAATCATCCTCACTTATACACATATCATACATATTTCGAAGGTACAAAAGCCTTAAAGAAAATCACAACTTAGTTGTAGAGGGAAAACTAATGTATTTGAAAAAAACAAGACTATTTTTGCTTAATATAAAATGTACACTATTTTTAGACATACTATAAGAGCTTTAAAAAGAATATGCTCCAGTAGTCATACAAATAAAGCATTTTAAGTAATAAAGCATTGAAGAATTATATTAAAGTTAAGAATACCTCATGGGAACACCATGAGTTGGAACATTTAAGAATTGAAAGAGATCTTAGAAATTTCCTGGGAAAGAGAGAAAAGTAAAGTATTAAATATAACGTCAATGACTTTAGCTGAGTCTTTGACATTATATTTAAGCCAAACAAAACGAAAAAGCATTACAAAAAACCAAAACAATAATGCCACTGACAAAATTATTACAATGAAATGGAAGCTGCCATAGGCATTACAGGAAAGTTCTTAAAACGACTGAGGATGTCAAAGATAAGAAAGTAAAGAAATAGGGCCAAAGGTATAGTACTCAGATTCTAGGTGTGGAGTAAGGTGCTAGGAGAAATTCAAGTAATTACACAGCATCAATCAATCAATAAAACAGAACAGCACAAGTTGCAAGAGTGGAAAGTCATCTCTCTCATGACCACTTGAAATCCTACTTCTAGGCTGTGGGAACATGAGCTTCCTCCTGTTACAGAAGTGAAGGCTTTAAGTAAGGAGCCCTAGAACAGATACACCTGAAGGAGCCTTTACACGCATGGATTACTCTGAATTTGAAAAATACTTTCACATACATTACCTCATTTTATTTCTATCACAATCCTTCAGCCAGGAAAGAAATATTATTAATCTCATTTTATAGATGAAATAAAGGCCCAAATTTAGTGGACTGTTTTAAATAGTATTATAAGCTGAAACAAACATTATAAACTTAAAATTATAAGGGTTTTAAGAATATGTTCAAGTAATCATAAAAATAAACTTCATTTTTCAAAATTACAATGATTCACTTACTCTCAAAGGTATTTTAAAAGAAAATCTACTGTTCCTGTCATAACTTATGCACACTTTCCAGCCATTACAAAGATGGCTTTAACCAAACGTCATTCAAATTGGCAGCTGAAAATTATATGCTTCCAGAGACACCAAATAGAGATAATGAATGCAGCAGATTTTCAGTTCAACTAAAGGGCAAATTTTCCCTTCTTCATAATTTCTAATTAAAACCTGTGCAATGATCTTCTAGGGCGCTGGGGGGGATATTGAGTCCTCATTTCTCATATCTCCCTGGGAAGGAAGGGAACTTCCCTAGGAATAAAAAGTAGAAAGCACACTCCTAGTTTTTTTCCACCCCTTCACTTACAACTCTCCTGAAAACAAGGAATGCCTTTGCTTATTGGTTACTCTGAAGCCAGGCTCACTTGGCTCAGCCCTTTCCTCTCATTTTCAGAGCCAGCTGGTTTGTAGGAGCTAACACATGTCCTGTTAGAGGAGCTCCTTCGTGTCCTGTTATACGAACAGCCTCTGCCTCCATGGGGAAGGTCTCCAGTTGTCCAGCTACGCCAGTGACAAGGTCAGTATGTCTCTTTAATTCAGAGGTGAAGTATTAACAAGTTCACTTGGCTACAGATCTAAAGTCATGTTCTGCCATCAGTTTTCTCAGTAGTAAAGTTAACACTCTGATCTCGAATTATCTTTTGTCTCATTTCTCAGTTGGTTACACAGTTGGGAGGAAAATGAGAAGATGTCCTTTACTGGTCCCTAAAGCTAGAAGCAAGGATGGGGGGTAAAAATAAAAAAGAAACCAGAGAGAGAAGAGTGTTTTTTCCTCCCCGATCTCATTATTTTTTAAAGCACCTGTATTAAGAATCTACATACATAGTTAATAAGATGGTTGTGTCATATCAAACACCACTAATTGTCAAGTGACAGTATCAACATGACTACACAAGCTCGGGAAGGGTTAAGAGGCCAAAACACTGAAGATCTAATGATGGAAACTATACAAATACGGGAAAACAAAAATGAATAGTTTTTGCCTCCAGGAACAAGATCAGAATTTGATACAGACTCTAATTAGATTAGATGACCTGATGTTTTAAGGACTCTTCCAGATTTAAAATTCTGATTTTCTTTCTTTTTTTTTTTTTGAGTCAGAGTCTCACTCTGTCACCCGGGCTGGAGTGCAGTGGCGCAATCTCGGCTCACTGCAACCTCTGCCTCCCAGGTTCAAGTGATTCTCCTGCCTCAGCCTCCCGAGTAGCTGGGACTACAGGCACATGCCACCATGCCCGGCTAATTTTTTTGTATTTTTAGTAGAGACGGGGTTTCACCGTGTTAGCCAGGATGGTCTTAATCTCCTGACCTCGTGATCTGCCCGCCTCAGCCTCCCAAAGTGCTGGGATTACAGGCATAAGCCACCGCACCCAGCCTAAAATTCTGATTTCTATCCAAAAATCTGCTTGTAGGTTGCGTGGATCACTTCACATGTAATATTTTCTTTTAGTGGCTCAAGCAAAGTGCAGCTACAGAAACAAATCAATGAATAAACATGAACCTCTTATTCTTCATCTGTAAAAATGAAGATATTACCCTCTACTTCTCAGAGTTTTTGAAGGGATTGAATCAGGTAACATACGGAAAAAGTTCATCAAAATTCAGAACACACATTTTAATTTGTTTCCTTTTTCTATGGCATGAAGCTACTATCTTTTGCCACTAGATGGCAATGCTGCACCAGTAGGTCAGAAATGGGCCACATTGTACCAAGGAAAGTCTAGATCTTATTTAACTGCTAAAAGTTTCGTGTAAAAAATTAAATTTCAAGTTGTTTTCCTGGCATCTGATGAGGTGACAGATAAAATTTTGGATATTTAAAAGAAGAGGACATTTAAAAGAAACCAAAGTGCTAATGGTGCCCTTATTTTTCATTTTTAAATCTTAATTCATTTTCATTAAGAATGTGGATAATCTTTGAAAAGGGCATTGTACAAGGTAAGATATATGATGATAGCTAATAAAAATGACCATTTACCTCTGACCCCAAACTGAGAGAAACGATCTCATCCTCAAAAGCGGAATGTGTATCAATATGAGCGGGAATTCCTGAGATGGAAAACAGGACAACACGTCACTTCATTTTTTCCTTTAGTAGATTTAAGATGGCTATAAATGTAGCCTTATGCTATTAAGGTGAAAACATTGCTTGGTAATCAGGAAGGTACTATAATTTTGGTTAAAAGGAAACATTTAGGGTGAATGTGACTAAAACATACTAAAATAAACTAAAAATATCTTAACTTCAAGTTAAAGTGCCATTGGGGTTTGATCTAAAATCAAGGCTCAGGAGTCACTGATTAACTAGGACACTTAACTCAATTCCAGCCCAAGAGGAAAATGTGAAAGACAAATACAAAAGTCATTTTTACCTTCAAACACTGGATTCCCAAGTACTTGCAGAACAAAAGCAATAACCAGGTATAAAGACTAGGCGTATCAATAATTACGATATGGACTTCTCCACTGATCTATCAATTTACATTAACTCAGCACCTCTTAAGTAAAAGAAATGTTGCTACACGGTGAGGGTATACAAAGCCAGTAGGAGGGTCCCTGTCCTCAAAGAGCTTACAAGCCAATGGAAAGACAGCTAGGTAAGAAAGGCAAAGAAGAAATGCCCTGGCTGACTAGTTAATCTGGGGTCAAGCTTACTTGGCTCAGCCCTTCCCTCTCATTTTCAGAGCCAGCTGGTTTGCAGGAGCTAACACATGCTCCTTCACATTTCATCCTACAGGCCTCTGCGTCTTTAAGAGTGGCCCCGGCCTCTGTGCTCTACAGGAACGGCCTCTGCTTCAGCTTCAGTTGTCTCGCTGTGCTAGAGACAAGGTCAGCATGTCTCTCTAATTCAGAGGTGTAGTATTCACAAATCCACAGCTACAAATCTAAAGCCATCAGTTTTCATTATAATAAATGTAGAAAAGAAAACAAAACTCCATAACTCCTGCCGTTAATAAAACCCTTAAATTAAAGACGTCATAAGTGTGGGGCCCTAATCTTACACGTGGAAGCTCGCTCTCTCTCCATGCACATGCACACACAGAGAAAAGGACATGTGAGGACATTGAGAGAAGGTGGCTGATGACAAGCCAGGAAGGGAGGCCTCACCAGGAACCCAATCAACCAGCACCTTGATCTTGAACTTCCCAGCCTCTACACTGTGAAAAAATACATTTCTGTTGTTTAAGCCAAAAAAAGTAAAAAATAAAACCCTTAAAATCATTTGATTGCTATAAACGTCAGATGAAGATGCTGCTAACAAGTATAAGAAATCAGTATCATAAAGATTTTTCACCAGAATGTCATCCTGCAATTGTCTCCCATATTATCAAATAGAAAGAAGAGAAAGATCATCCAACCAATCAGCCTTCTTCTATCTATAAATTATTTGGTTTCTTCCATTACACGTCTCCTATGTTTTTCAGACCAATGTCTTCCCTCTCTAAAGGAAACGTTGAAAGGGAAACAAACAAAAAAAATCACAAACAGTGATTTGTATCAGTGTGTTTACACTTTGAAATGCAAGTTCCTCAAGGGATTAAAGTGTAGATTTGCAAAGACTGAAGTCAACACAAGTAACAAACATAAGCAAGGCAATCTGACAGTTAATTTGAGCTTAAAAATAATGTATTTGCTTGGCTGGGCGCGGTGGCTCATGCCTGTAATCCCAGCACTTTGGGAGGCTGAGGCGGGCAGATCACCTGAGGTCAGGAGTTTGAGACTAGCCTGGCCAACATGGTGAAACCCCATCTCTACAAAAATACAAAAATTAGTTGGGCCATGATGGTGTGCGCCTGTAATCCCAGCTACTTGGGAAGCTGAGGCAGGAGAATCACTTGAACCCAGGAGGCAGAGGTTGCAGTGAACCGAGACCACGCCGTTGCACTCCAGCATGGGCAACAAGAGCGAAACTCCATCTCAAAAAAAAAAAAATAATAATAATAATAATAATAATATATCTGCCCTTAGAGAATTATATCATCTACTCAGTTCCAAAATATGTGACTAAAATTTTTGAACAAGAAATACTCACCTTGCCCAGGTTCATACTGATTTATGGTCATTTGATCAGGTTTATGTTTAATGTAACCTTTCCTCAACCATTTCTCCAAAAAGCTTTCACAAATGTCAGGAAGACCTACAATGAGTAATCATAAAGACAAAACATTAAAATATTTACTTTGCTTGTTTTACTCAACAATTTTAAAAGTCACTGTGATATAAATCTCTGAGCTTTTAATTTAGCAGTCAGGTCCATTAATAAACCCACAAGCAAAACAAAATTAAAAAATAAAAAAATTTAGGAATCTTTTAAAGTCATTTCATTGATTTTTTTTCAGATAAAAAGTTTAAAAGAACAATTCTAACAACAGTTTTGGTATTTTATAAAATAGCAATAAAATTATAAAAATATACTATATATTGAAATTGTCCACTTTCTTTTTTTGTTATTTTAAATTATACCATTTATTTTAAATTTAATTATTTTAAATTATTTCCCTTAAAAAAAACACATCTTCCAAAGTGGAACTAACTTACTTTTATTGGAGTCATAAATGTTGTTTCATGATGGAAGAAAAGCCTTAAGTGAGACCAAAGTCATTAAAAAAATAGATAAATTTAACTCCAACAAAGAATTATACCAATTATATCAATGGATTAAAAGCCAGAATATACAGTAAATTCTTAATCAATTAGACACTTCATTGGGAAAAAACTGGCAAAGAATATAAAAAGGAATTCACAGGAAAGGAAATACAAATGACCAACCTTACCAGTAATCAAGAAATTATAAATTTAAAAGCTTTACAACACCACAGGTTGGGGAATGGGGAAGTAGGTACACATTTGGTGAGAATATGCTGGTACAACTGTTTTAGGAAGCAATTTGTCAGTATCAATTAACGTTTTTTAGTGAACATAAACTTCAACATGACAATTCTACTTCTTAGTAGTCTCCCTTGAGAAACTCTTGCACAGGGCACAGAGGCATGTTCAAAGATATTCACAGCAGCATTACTTATGAAAGCTAAAAACCAGAAACAACCTAAATGTCTATCGATAGAGAACTATTTGAATAAGCTATTATGGATCATTCAGTAAAATGAGAAGCAGCATGGGAATAAGGATAATAATGATGAACTTCAGCTCTATCCAGTTTGAAATTTTTTTACAACAAAACTATACAATTTATCTAATTAAAGTGTTTTAAATAAACTGTTCAGAAAGTTTATCTACAAATGACAAAAGAAACATAATCCCCCAACTATCATATTCTACTAATATATTAATATTTTTGAGCCAGAATTTATTATGTATTAGCAATTACTTACCCCCAGATAATGGCTTATCTTTATCTACATTGTTGTTCTCATAGTGGAACTCATAACCAAAATGCTTTACTCTTCTGTGTTTTAAGGATTTTTGAGCTGTGTGAAGAGAACAAAGTAAACAATTAAGAAGGAAAAGAATTACATTCCTTTGCATATTTCAGTCAACTTTTTGAGTAAGGATTAGTTTAGTAATGGCAACTTCTGTTAATTGGTAAATTATGGTCTTTAACAAAATTAACCATTTTGCCTTATATTTGTTGTTATTTCAAGTCTAAAATTGTAACAAACTCTTCAAGAGTTTTACCCAATCAATCTGAAAACTAACATGTACACTACCATTTACAACATTGCCAATGAGCTAGAAAGAGTCAGAAAAACTCCAATTTGCAAATATCTCCAGGAAGCTCTCACTATATTATAATATTGTGGTACTGAACTGCTAATTCCTCAAGGAAAACTTGCCTTAGGGTGGGGAGGAATGAATAAAATAAGTGAAAAGGCTTATAAAAGCTATATAAATGTTGGATAATACTAATCAGTTTGGAGTTAAAATTTGATAGCTATATAAATGTTATTTATTATTAATGTTCCTAAGAATTGTTGGTATGACTTGCCTAACATTGGATCCGGGCTAGTTTCAGTAATTTTGAGGAAATATTAATAAACCATGAAAGACAGAGGAAAGGAAGAAGAGTTTTGCAGAAACTTTCAAATATCAGATTTTGAAAGTTTTACTTACAGTTTTGATTGTCTGTATCTTCTGTCCAATCAACACTTTCCAAAAGCATTTTCTCCTCCTCAGAAGAAATTATTTCTTCTACTACCATGAGTCCTGGTGGTAAGGCTTGAGGCCTCAACTCCTTCCACTGCACTATGGGAAACCAAATTAAAATAGTCACATGCAAAACTTAAAGTTCCTATATACAAATAATTCTGCCCAATAACTCTTTATCAGTTCACAAAACTTCAAATCCTCATTTTCGGAAACAAGATTGCTGAAAGGCACCCAACATATTAAAAGTGCAGAAACAAAGACCAAGATCAAAATGATGGTACACTTTATCCACTGCAATTACCAACAGCAAACAGAACAGTATTTATTTAAGTAGCCGGTGTGAACATGATGAAGTCACTTTTAAAATCTCACAAGGTTTCTCATAATATCCACAGTATGCATCTCCATTAAAAAGTCAGATAGTCTAAATAATGAATACAAGAATTTAAATACTCATTTTTGCTCTTAGGCTCTTGATACTATCTATAGTAAATAGAAATAGAAAATATAATAGAGAAATGTAAAATAAAATACAACTTTCTAAAGAAATACAAAATATCATTTATGAAGAATTATTTAGCAGATGTTAAAATAATTTAAGTTCCTGTGTCCTTCAAAGTTTCAGATAGGTATAGCTCTAGAAGGAAAAGAAAAAAGAATCTGCTATTAAACAAAGGGAATAGTGTATTCACATTTATTGTTAGAGATCTGATCATTCATGTTATACACATGATCTCTGAAGCTTTTCTGCTGGACAGTTTTCTGCCAGGCAGATTAAATCTTTGAATTATTTAATTCACAAAAATAGCAACTATTTACTAGATTCTATTAATAACATTTCAGAAACATGAATAGTAAATCATTTGCTAAATACATACCACTGCCTACTATGTGCCAGACATTATATTATGTATTCAAATTATGTAAGGAAAACTTTGCAAAGAATTCCTTAAAGAAAAGTAATTTACAGTGTAAGTAATTTGGATTTAGTTTCCGAAATATGTTGTTTTAAAAAGAATTAAAAATATCTCTTCTATTTGTTATTCAGTGCTGCCTGGTAGCAGATATCTAAACAAGCATTAAACTATTTGTGATGGCTGGGTGCGGTGGCTCACACTTATAATCCCAGCACTTTGGGAGTCCGAGGTGGGCGGATCACGAGGTCAGGAGATCAAGACCATCCTGGCTAACACTGTAAAACCCCGTCTCTACTAAAAATACAAAAAAATTAGCCGGCCGCAGTGGCGGGCACCTGTAGTCTCAGCTTCTCGGGAGGCTGAGGAAGGAGAATGGTGTGAACCCGGGAGGTGGAGCTTGCAGTGAGCTGAGATCGTGCCACTGCACTCCAGCCTAGGTGAAAGAGCAGGACTCTGTCTCAAAAAAAAATAAAAAAAACTATTTGTGACACACTTCTGTTCTCAATTAAAAATGACTTTCAAGGTTATAAATGTGATTGCCAGAGCCTTAAAAGTACATATGGATCTAATGAAGAATTTCAAATAAAGAGCACTCCAAAACTTACTTTGTGCAATTTCTTACTGAATATTCACCATGGAGGACGGGGGTAAACCCAATGACTATTTTCTGATTAAAACTTACTCCTCAGCCACTCAGTTTTCAAAAACTGACCAGAAACATGTAAAACATGAGGATAATCTAGTTTCCAAAATATGTAAAGCTTAAGTCAGATTTAAAATTAAATGCATATGAGCACTGAGAAATATAGTTTCTAAAATATACCTTTAAAAGAGTCTGTAAAAGTTTTCCTTCGAGTCTTATTTTACAAAAACATAAATTTGAGCAGATTATAGTCACCTACCCACTCCTAGGATATCTAAAACAGGGCTCTTTTACTGCCTAAATAGGTGGCAAATGAATATATGATTAGATGTTTAAATCTAAGTTCATCTCAATACATCTCATTTTCATGGGGCAGAAGTAATAATTCCTGTACAATTCTGTAAATCAATATATAAAGCTATACTTATTTAATTAAATTATTCAGTTCCTCAATCAGACTATCCAGTGGCTATTGAACTGGGCAGCACAGACAGGAACATTTCTACCATCACAGGAAGTTCTACTGGACAGCACCACCATAAAGTTTTAGGAATCAGCCGGGCACGGTGGCTCACGCCTGTAATCCCAGCACTTTGGGAGGCCAAGGCAGGCGGATTACGAGGTCAGGAGTTCGAGGCCAGACTGGCCAACACGGTGAAACCCCATCTCTACTAAAAATACAAAAATTAGCCAGGCATGGTGGCACATGCCTGTAATCCCAGCTACTTAGGAGGCTGAGGCAGGAGAATTGCTTGAACCCGGGAGGTGGAGGTTGCAGTGAGCCGAGATTGTGCCATTGCACTCCAGCCTGGGCAACAAGAGCAAAACTCTGTCTCAAAAAGCAAAAAAATAAATAAATAAATAAAAATAAAGTTTTAGGAATCTTTGGTAGCTACAGGTGTTCTGCTATAAATATGAAGATTGGTACATGATCATTTGGATCACGATTCATTCTTAAGTGATTAATTCAAAGCTCCTGGGTAGATATGTGAAATAAACTAGTAATGCAAACCCTCATTATTAAATTTTGAAAAACACAATTAGGCAGGAGGGTTCCAAAATAAGCCATGTGCCTAATAAATATATTGTTGACTGGTGGGACTAGCTTTGTAAAGGCAGGTTGTATCTTATTCACCTCTGTACTGTCAACTACTTGTCCCATGCCTGGCACAAATAGGTGCTTAAAGAATGTTTGTTAAAGTAAAAGGAGCTGCTAACCTGCTTCCTCATTTTGTTTCACAATAACTGAACCTCCCAACTTAAGTCTATGAAAAGAAAACACCCAGAAGAATCATTTTTTAAAAGATAATTGTATGATAATACCTTTTTCCACAAAATTCAAATACAGAGTGATCTTTTGTCCTAAATCATCCACTACTTCTTTTCCATTGAGGGTAACATAGGCTCTCTTAGATTCTTCTGTAGTTCTGTATCTTGCAAATGAGTACGGCTTGTTAGGTGGCATTAAGAGAGCATCCACCAGTCCACATTTCTCTAAAACCGGGAGCAGCTGGTTCCGACTCACACCATTACCCAAACCACCATTGGCAACAACCAGGCTCTTAAAAAACAAACAAACAAACAAAAAGAAAGTAACATGAGCAACTGATACCAACCCATTTGTTTTAAAATAAGATTTTTTTTAAAAAAGATGTAATTAAGAAAAAAAAAGCATTTCCTTGTAGTGGTTGTTTGGTTTGCTAATTTCATACAAAGTATGTAAACCAATTTACTAAAAATTTGGGGAATAAAAAGGACTCCTATATTGTAAATTGTGTTGTTTAAATAGCCAATTTCACAAAATATTCATTTCTAAATGACCATAAATGCAAATTAAAACATGACTATTATTCAGAAATATAAATTTAACATAATGAAAGAGGTGGAGAGGAGAAAGGACAGTTACATAACACTTGCTTTTTGGCAAGACTGTTCTATAAGCTTTTATCTACTCAATCCTCATTAACATAATCTTCACAACATATTGAATTTATTTGGGTAATATCAGCCCAATTTCATAGAAGAAGATCTGACAAATTAGGTTAAGGTGGTGATTAGGGGTGGGTTTAAACCTATTTCTGTCCGTTTCCAGGATCCGCACTTTTAATATAACCATTATACAATGTTTACTAAAAATTAAAAGTAAAGGTACTATTACCTCAAAGAAAAACCAATTATAGCTTCTATTGAACATAATTAGGAAAAAATTTTCCTCTAAGGAAATTCAGACTAAGTAATTCAGTCAGTTCACAATGAAAACTTTTTCCTTTGTAAGTTTCACGATTACTTCCTGCTGTTTGCATAGTCCTGCACTAAACTTTATTCAAGGAAATTTTGCAGGGATGAAAGAGGAGTCTCTTATTTTTATTCTGATGTTCATGGTCTAGCACCCATATAGTCTCTATACTTAACCATTCTATACAATGTAAAGATTTTTAATTTATGTTCTATGACTTCTAAAAACATTTCAATATAACAAAAGAAAGCCATGGATGGCCTACTCTCATCAATTTCTTCATTTATACCAGGTGTTGATGACGTTTTTCTGAGAAGAGGTAGATAGTAAATATTTTAGGCTTGGCAGGCCATAAAAGTTTCTGTCAGATAGTCTTAGTATTATTTTTTAACACTTTAAGAATGTAAAACTCATTATTTTGGTCACAACCCTGATTTAGTCTAAGGACAGTAGTTTGCCAACCCTTAATTTATACTAAGCTCAGTGATAGTACATTGTGTATTGGTTTATTACACAAAATAAGAATACCTAGAACTTTGTTTGAAAAGGATATAAAAGAATTATTATGAAATTGGACAATAAGGAAAGTAAAACTGTTTTGTCATGGGACAGCCAGTACTTTGTATGCATGCAAGCATATACATACATAATAAACAAGCCCACTAATACAATACTATATGATATGGAGTAAAATGGAGTCTCAGATGGCTTGCCCTGGACCTCACTTAATGAGGTTTATTAATTAAAATACCAAAATAACTTGGTTATATGTGGCCATAGTTGCAAAAACATTCCCATATTCCTAAATCTATGGAAGAGCAAAGGTTTCATTGGTGTTGAGGGTCCACTACCCCATCTAGGAATGGAAGATGATGAAGTATGACTTCAGGAATACTAGAAGTCCTCTAAGATGCCGTCTGAGTGTTTTGTGGGCAACTCTAAAGGTAAACCACACAAAAACAAGTGCGGTAGAAGAGGAGAGGAACTTATTTTCCATTAAATGTGAGATACATATAATTAAATGTCATAACTAAATGTAATATAATTAATGCAATAATTAAATGGAACTATTATTTTATTTATAATTGTTCAAGCAATTTTCTAAATAAGGAGGAGTATGTATGAAGTAGAGAATGTGAATTTTTTTTAAGTTATCTTTGGTCCTGACAATTTGAGGATCATTGCTCTAGAAAAATCTGTAATGCCATAAATTTGTACAAAGGAGCCTAAAATTATAATACATCCGATATGGTTTGGCGTGTCCCCACCCAAATCTCATCTTGAATTTTAGCTCCCATAATTCCCACATTTTGTGGGAGGGACCCACTGGGAAATAATTGAATCATGGGGGCCATTTCCCCTATAATGTTCTCGTGGTAGTGAATAAGTCTCATGAGATCTGATGGTTTTATAAGGGGTTTCCCCTTTCGCTTGGCTCTCATTCTTTCTTGCCTGCCGCCATGTAAGCCAGGACTTTCGCCTTCTGCCACGATTGTGAGGCCTCCCCGGCCACGTGGAACTGTGGGTTCATTAAACCTCTTTCTCTTTAAAAAATTACCCAGTCTCGGGTATGTCTTTATCAGCAGCATGACAACAGACTAATACAATATCATTAAAACAATATTTGCTCTCCCCTGGAAAGATAAAATATAATTAGAGGTCCATCTACAATTTTATTCTTTTCCTTTAAGAATATGGAGAAAAAAGAAAGCCTAAATAAAATGCTACTTTGGAAGCCATGAAGGACATCAAAGCTTCTAGAGATCCTAAAGAAAAGGCAGACCCAACCAGAAACAAGCTTCAGAGGGGTCAAAGAAATGGAGCCTATTTTTTTTTTCTTGCTACTTCTCTTCATAAACCCTGTAAGGAAAGGAACACAAGTCACTCTTGGAAAGTGATGAGAGCAGTGTATGTCAGTTTAATCTTCTGAATGTCTCACAGCCTCAGTGGCTCTTGACTGAAACAGTAAAGTGTATGCAAACATATTAATTCTAATCTATTATCTATTTCATCCTTGCTATAGGAATGTGGCTTAAATTCTCTGAAGACATTAATATTTAACTCCAAGTATGGGCCTTTTACCTCCTAAATTCAAATGTGCCTCAACAGACTGCTCATTCTCAAGCTATGATGTTGTACAGAAGACAGCATAGTAAGCATTAAGGCAAGAGTATTGGTCTGAGAGTTGAGAGGCCTAAGTTTTAATCCCTGCTCCACCTTCTCAATTGTATGTCCACCCCTCAATTAAATGATATCTAAAGCTTACTTTCTACTTTTATTCTATAACTTTATGAGCCAAAAAGATAAGAACTCCTTATATTCATGGAGTAATTTAATGTCCAGTAAGTACAATTAGATTCTCTGGAATCTAACAATCTAATGGGGTTAAAAAGGTATGCAATACTATGCCCTGCTTAAAAATGAAGAAAGCTGAGGTCAGAGGATACTACTACTCGTGTCCAGAAAAGCTAAGAGTTAAACTGAGTTCTCCTAATTCATAACCCAGGAAATCTCACGATCCTCACATTTATCATCTCATTTAATTATTGTCCGCAGATAATGAAAAGACTTTGTTAATAAGGTCTAATAAAATAAAAATGTTTAACAGCACATAATCAAAATACTTTATAAAACAGGTTAAGGTTGGGAAGAGAAGAACAAGGGCTGTAGTAGGATATGGAAGATCTAGCTTTAAGTTTCTATTAGCTACTTACTAGCTTATATCAATGGAGACATATCATAACCTCTCAGAACTTTAGTTTTCTCACCTATCTCATAAGGACTTCTAGGGAATTAAATATAATAATGAATATAAGTATGCTTAGGAAACTGAGAAACTTGCACAGTATTATTATTAATATATAACTACAACCTCTTCTAGTTCAAACAACAAAATAAATAGAAATGCAAACTATAGGCTATGGACCAAAATAGAAAGTTAGCAGTTCATATCATATGTACCTCTAATATGGATGTAACACATGACTGAACAATTACAGCCTTAGGCAATTATTAGCAAATATTAATATAATACATTAACATGTCAGTACATTTACATTCTAATAATAATAGTAGTTTTAGGTCACCTGAGTGGCATAGGATACTGTCTCAATGCCTTCATGTCTCAGCAAAGTATGCTTGGCTTTAATCTGTTTCCTTAAGAACTTCTTCTCAGTTTTACTGAGTTTGTAATTACTTTGATGGTTGCTGTCCATAGCAAACTGTAAAAAAACAAGACAGTAAAAAAGTCAACCTTAAGAGTCCTGAAGGAACAATTATAATGATGTTATTCATACATTCTATAGTTTATCAATATTTCTGTGACAATTTTTTAAAAATGCTTCATTTACCTTGTACCAACTAAGAGAAGTGAGAACAGATAAATAAAAAATGAACAAATATCTAAGAATATCTAATAGCATAGCTCTGATGGTTCTAAAAAATGTTCCAATGTGGTAGCTCCATTAAGTGTGCTATTTTACTCATAGGTGATGAATTCTTTACTTATGAGGTCCTAAGTAAAATGTGCCATACACAAATTTCACAACTATAACGTAAACCAAGGCAAGGAGCAGGCAGGGGAGCGGTGGGGGGAGAAATAACACACAAAAAATTAGCAGACTCTACAGTATGATTCCATTTACATAAAGGTCATAATCAAAAAGTAAGCCATATATTATTTAGAAATACATACATAGCAGTGCCAAAAAAAAAAGCAAGGAAATTATAAACACAAAATTCAGGAGAGAGGCTATTTCTGTGGGTGAAAGGAAAGGAAATTAACATGAAAGTGACACA
Source organism: Homo sapiens (assembly GCF_000001405.40). Lineage (NCBI taxonomy): Eukaryota > Metazoa > Chordata > Mammalia > Primates > Hominidae > Homo > Homo sapiens. Next base: position 107,561,477 of record NC_000011.10, read on the forward strand.
TAGGAGCATCAAAGGGTGTTTCTTCAGTTACATGGTAGGTGTAGGTGTTTGTTTTACTATTTTAAAAACTGTATGTGTCATATATTTTATATCTACAATTTTTTAAATAACAGAATCCCAAAGAGGTCTCTATAATCACACCATCCAAATCAGCACCCAATATCATGCTTTATCACACTTTATCACAGTAGTCTTTTATTTTGTTCACAAAATGTAACATAATTTGTGATGATTCATCTGTTAGCTTAACTCCTCCATCATGATATAAATCCCAAGAGAGCAGGAATGCCAGCACATAGTAGTTGCTCAATAAATATTTGATGGTAGGGCTAAATGAATAATAAATGAGTGAATACACACAGTCTCAGCACCCTGCAGCATGCAACCATAATAAAGTACATAGTTTATGCTTTCAACAAGTTTGTAACTTAGTTGTGGAAAACAAACACTAAACAATAAGACTATGACACATCTTTATATAATTTAATGCTGATGGTACAGTCTTTAGGTATGACACAAATTAGAGACAAAAATAAGATGGATGTGGGCTGGGAGCAGTGACTCACACCTGTAATCTTTAGGAGGCCAAGGCAGGCAGATCACTTGAGGTCAGGAGTTCAAGACCAGCCTGGTCAACATGGTGAAACTCTGTCTCTACTAAAAGTACAAAAAATTAGCCACGTGTGGTGGTGGGCACCTGTAGTCCCAACTACTTGGGAGGCTGAGGCACGAGAATCGCTTGAACCCGGGAGGCAGAGGTTGCAGTGAGCCAAGATCATGCTACTACACTCCAGCCTGGCAACAGAGTGAAATTCCATCTCAAAAAAAAAAAAAAAGTATGTAAACTGGAAAAGTTGGGAAGGCCTCAAAACAGGAGATTTGTGCCATGTACTGAAGGATAAGAACACTATAGAATCAAATAAAAAGGAAAGTATTCAGTGAGGCAGTAAAGAGCAGAAGCTAAAACCAAAATGGACATGTTTGGCCAAGACACCAAGACACAGGCATAATTTTTTTAGACCGGTCCCACTCTCTGCGGACTTTAAAGTCTTCAAAGTCAACCAAATATACAAATTTGGGGGTTAAATAAAATCTTATTTATCTTATTTCACATGAAATCATAAACAGTCAAAATTCTAATTACTAATCTTTAGTATAGAAGACAAATGCCAAGTCTCTTAAAATGCCAGCAGTCCAGCTTCCTAGCACAGGGGGTACATACTAGGATGTAAGGCCAGTGAGGCAGGCAGGCTGGCTGGCAGCATAGCAGAGAGATGAGAGGTAAAAAAAATAATAATAATAATCCAGCTTGTTAATTAGAAATGCTGGCCTGATCTAGGCTGGGGGCAACAGAAAGAAGCGAAATAGGGGGAGAGGAGAAAGAGGAAGGGTGAGTGAAAAGTTCAGGCGGAATCAAGAGGCCTCGATGACTACCCAGATATGAGGGAGACAGGAATCAAAGATTACTTGTTAACCAGTTAGAGGCTGAGTGACTAAGAGATGAGTGCTACCACTTCAAAACTGGAAAGTCAGGAGGAGGTTCAGGAAGAGCTGCTCAGTATAGGAGGTAATGAGTCATATTTAGGATAGAATAATGTTTAAGGTATTGTGAGATACAGAGTTGCAATGTCTGGCTGGCAAGTGACAAAATAAAGTGGCTCCTAGGAAAGGAACTGAGGTTAAAAAGGTTTAGGAGTCAGTCGTCATTAAGACAGGAAGGGGATAAGTGAATGGACATGTCTAACATTGCATTAATTATAATTATTTGTTTTAGTATCTGTCCCCTTCCACTGAACTGTGAGCTTTCTGAAGGCGGGATTAAATCACACTTTTCTTAGTTACCACAGAGCCTCATTCAGTGCTATGAGGTAATATAATACAGTGTTTAGGAGTCCATGTTCCAGGTTCAAATCTCAGCTCAACCACTGATTATTAGCTGTATAATCCTAGATGAGTTGGTTATATAGCTCTGTGTTCCAGTTTCTTTATCTAGGAATAGGGATAAAAATAATAGTGCCTATCCCATAGCTTTCTTAGAATTAAATTTATTTATTATTATTTATTTATTACTGTTGATTTTCAGAAGCAGCAGATCAAAATGGCTTAACAAAACAAAGAATATCTGAGGCCCTTCAAAGGAGCTATTTTAGAGCCATTCCATTTCAAGATCTTCATCTGTGGAACAGCAACTTTGCAGTATGTCATGGAGAACAAGGGATGACTGCACTACAGAATTTTTAATATTTCACATGAGCAAACACTGCAAAGAAGGAATGAGAAAGAAACGATGCTAAATATATCTTTTTAAAATGTCTGCCACTAAGAGTCCAGCACCAGCAGGTGGAGCCTCATAACCACATTTTTGTCATCCCTTTCCTTTTTCTCTCCCTCAGTCATGCAATATTATTGCACGTGAAGAAAGACACTAAATGGCCTTTGAGGCTCAGTTTTCCACCATTCCAGTGGCTAGGCAATGTGCTGGCCCAACATATCTGAGTCATCTCAACAAGGATAGGCTGATACCAGCTGCTGAGGTCTGGAGGTGCCCCCTTCTGACAAAGCCACTTCCCTGGCCAGAGTTTCCACTAATGCACAGATACTTGGATGCTCCCTGTGACATTACTGGAGTGAAGTCACTATTAACTATGATACTAGCCATGCTGAGTCCGGTTCAGCCAGCTCCAGCCTAAGCGTACTCTCTGTGGGATAATGAAAGTTTGGAGATTATGCATGCTCTGCTACTTGCTTGTTAGTGAGTTTAAAGCCAATATATCCTACTAGATATTGCCCTACGTGGTAATAGTAGTATGTACATCATGCCCTCCTTGAATAATAGAGAGCCTATTATGAAACAAGCAGTATAGACAAATGTTCCTATACTTATATGTTTAAAAAAATGCAAAAACCATGATTACTTTTGCACAACCTAATAATTAATAGCAAAGATTAGAAAGAATCTAACTTCCTATCAAACGAGGCCCAATTTTAACGTACGGCACTGGTATACAGAGTTTACATATAAATCTTTAGGACACACAAGAAATTGGTGATATGGGTTGCCTCCAGGGAAGGAAAATGGATCGATGAGTAAAGGAATGAAAGGGAGCTTTCTTCTTTCATGACTTTTGAAGTTAGTAGCTATTTAAACTGCATCATCTATTTAAAAAGAAAATAAAGATTTAAAATTTTTAGAAAAAAATTCACCCCATCACTTGTCACGGCACCCCGTTTTAACTCTTTGAATAACACTTACTACATATTTTCTTACACTCTCATTAATTTGTTTATTCTGTCTTTCCCCATAACTGAATAAAGAACACTCACTCCATGAAGTAGAGATTTTGTCTCTATTGTTCACCCTGTAGCACCCAGCACTTAAACAGGATTTAGCACCTAGCAGCCACTCAATAACCATTTGTCGAATAAACCTAAATCGACTTTGCTGTCTTACCTCCTAAACCTCCCCTCCTCCAGAATTCTGAGTTTGGTGGCCTTCTTCAACGTTTTCATTAACACCTAGCATGGACCTCTATCTCTAGAGTTCTCACATGGTATTATAATTGCCTGTTTGTGTTGGGCTTCGGCCAGAAAACTGTCATCTATTTAAGGGCACAGACTTGGTGCCTGACATACAACTGACAATAAATATTCAATGAAATCTATCAAAATAACAGGCTGACGCTACCAGAGGTCCAGGAGTCGCAGGGATTGCTCAAATAAGAGCACAGGAAGACTCAGCTGCGCAAGGGATCAGATCATCAGCACTGCCTTTGCATCGATGCAATCAGACCGATTGTCACCGGTCAGAAAAGCCCCAGAAGCGCCACACTAACACGCCCCATGTTGCAACCGTCCTCTCCAACCCCAAAGAAAACAGAAGATTGACACAGGCACCACGTGAGCGCCCGAACCAAACACAAACACATGCACCCTAAACACTGAGAGAACCACCCAACGCAGACACCCTACTGCCCACACTGCACCAAGGGCGCCTCTGGGATCCATCCCCTTTCCCTAGGTTCTCAGCCCTAGCTGGCAAGGCGGATAGAGAAGACCGGAAGAGGCTGAAAAGAGGAAGCGGTGATTTGCTGCCCGTATGCCCGCCAGTAAGAAGTGCCACACACCTCCGCTTCGGCTCAGGCCGGATTCTCACCATGCGTGTGCCTTCTTCTTTGCCAGCCTCTCCACTCTAGCACCAGAACACCGCAGCGGATACTTGCACGCCATCTCCCCTGGGCGCGGCCATGTTGGAGAAAACTGCACTACATTTCCCATGAGCCCGCGGGACAACGAACAGCGCTCCCACAGTCCTCTTCGCCTCCCAGAGCCCGGGAGTGACCCTTTTTCGACCAAGTGTCTTTGTAAAGTGCTGTCTGTTACACTGAAAATTCAGTTGTCTTTTTGGGGGGAGTAGTAATAATTGGTAGTGCAGCTATATTTTTATCTGTTGCTCTCCAAATGGACAAGGTCAAACAGGTTTGGGCCCTTTGGTCTTTCAGCAATGTCCCCTGGCACCTTCTATTCTTCGTGCATATTTCCTCCTGAATCTTATTAGAGGTGAGAAAGGAAAATAAATCTTGGTGCCACAAAATCACTAAGCTAAAGGGAAAAGTCAAGCTAGGAACTGCTTGGGCAAACCTGCCTCCCATTCTATTCAAAGTCATCCCTCTGAGTCATCCCTCTGCTCACTGAGATAAATGCATATCTGATTGCCTCCTTTGGAAAGGCTCATCAGAAACTCAAAAGAATGCAACCATTTGTCTCTCAGCTGTAATACGTGCGACCTGGAAGCCCCCTCCTCACTTTGAGTTGGCCCGCCTCTGCTTCAATTTGTCCCTCCTTTCTGGACGGAACCAATGTTCATCTTACATATATTGATTGATGCCTCATGTCTCCCTAAAATGTATAAAACCAAGCTGTGCCCCGACCACCCTGGACACATATCATCAGGACCTCCTGAGGCTGTGTCACGGGCGGGCGTCCTTAACTTTGGCAAAATAAATTTCCTAAATTGTCTGAGACCTGTCTCAGATATTCAGGGTTCACAGAGATATGGGAGAGGATCCTGGGGTCTGAAAGATGGCATTGCATGGGCGGGAGGGAAGGAAGTGAATATGCATGAATGTGCCAGGGGAATGGTGAGTACCACAGAGTAATAGAAAGATGTGTGGAAGAATGGTGAAGGAAGCAAGACAGAATTCTGTAGGCCTGCAGAGTGGGAGTTGCAGGGAGGAAGGTTAGAGAAATGAAATGATATGACCAGAGCTTCTTGTGGCAAGTGGGAGGAGAGACTAGAAGATGACTGATGAAGTGAAAAGTAACGAAATATTAACAAGCCCAGTAGTGGCAGAGGGAAAGAAAAAAGAGCTGGTAACAGATCATAAGTAAAAGACAAAGGAGAGGGTGATGATTAGCAGTTGTTCCTGCTCTGTTATTTGTTATATAAATGTACCATAATCCTTCTACCTGCATTGGTTTATGAGCTATGTGAGTGCAGGGAGGGAAAGGTGTAGGGGAAGAGGAATCACCTTCCCATGTTGTTGATACAATGGCCCCTATCTGCAGTGCACCACAGTGGACTAACAATAAAATAGCTGGCTGACCAGGAAAAGTGGCAGTGAAAAAAGAGTGCTGTTGAGTGGCGGAATGATTTGTGTGGAGAATAGGTTACAAACATGAAAGAACAGAAGAGGCAGATAGGCAAGCATTGCAATAGTCTAGGAAAGAAAGGGTGAGACCAAAACTTAATAGTAAAAATGAGGAGGCAAGTGCAAGCTGGAGAGGTCAAATCCACCAGACATTGCAAGCTACATGAGTATAAGAGGACACACAGGAAATCTCCCCATTGCAATTCTGCTTCTGCACTACTGGATGCTTTCAAAAACACATCCCCATAGAGCTTTCTGCAATGATGGAAATATTTTATAGTTTGAGCTGTCCAACATAATAGACACTAGTTAACGTGTGGCTTATGAGCATTTCAAATGTGGCTAGTATGACTAAGGAAATGAATTTTGAATGTTTAAATTTTAGTTTCAATTAAACTTAAGTAGCCACAAGTGGCCGGTGTCTACCAAACTGGATAACAGTGTAAAATATCCTCTTATCTCTTACTGATCAAATTCAATTACTTCATCTCAGTATTTGTCCTGCTTTAAGGTGCTGAAGCTTTTAAAACTTTTTTTCTGCACCTCTCTTTTAATTCTCTTTATACGATCTGATCACTTACTTTCAGAATTTTCCACTAGTTTCTCTCACTCTGTCCGTAATTAAATATAGGCAATCCCTCAGATTTTGAGTTTGACTCTTTTCTGTTATTCTAGTCTCTTCCTGTCTGCCCTCCCCAGAGTTATAAAGAGATTTGTGAATCATTCCCTAATCTTTATCTTCAGCCCTGGCTTCTATTAAAAGAAAAACTTTAGCCAAATTAAATTTAAAGGAGTTTAATTGAGCAATGAACTTTTGATTCGTAAATCGGGCAGCCCCCAGAATCACAGCAGATTTGGAGAGACTCCAGCACAGCCATGTGGTGGAGGATTTGTAGACAAAAAAAAAAAAAGGAAATGATGTACAGAAATCAGAAGTGAGGTGCAGAAACAGCTGTTATTGGTTACAGGTTGGTGTTTGCCTTATTTGAACACTGTTCAAACAATTGGCTACATTTGATTGGCCAAAACTCAGCGATTGGCACAGGTGTGGGCTATGGTTGGTTTACTCCTCCACTTGTTCACGATGTACAGAAAAACCTTTAGGCTGAACTTAAATATGTAAGGAGGCAGCTTTAGGCTAAACTTGATTAACACTTCCCTTTAGAAACCAGAGTGGTTTCTAAAGAATATGGGGGCATTGGAGTATGACCTGAAATCAAAACTACAAAACAGCATTTATTTTGTTGAGATTTACGTGATAATTAATAAAACACCAAACAGAGATTAGCTGTTAAGTGATTATTCATTTATCTTCTTCTCCTGAGTTACAAGCCTTCATTTCCCATTATCTGCTGCCCATCCATGTCTCAATATCTCCAGAAAAAGGTGAATACATATACAATTTTGTGTGACATCCTTTGTATACAGACCCTTATCTTTTCTTGGAATATTGCATAGACCATTTCTTCTAAGGAAGATGATTCCCCAAAAGATTTTCAGGTACACTGAGACCTTGTTTTATTTATTATGTAACCACAATGTCTTCCATAGTCTTGTAATACTAGAAATTTAATAAATGTTGAGCTGAAAAGGAATTTTTATTTGAAGATATAATTCATCTTCACCTGTGCCAAACACTTTACATGGTGATCTATAATAATTTTTCAAAAGTATGAAATGCTGACCTGTTTCCTTAGTAAAACCTTAGTCTCAACTTCATGAGAGGTGAGTCCTCTATGTGACTAGTAGTGGGGTCAGCAAGATTTTACTGTAAAGGACCAGATAATAAATATTTTCAGCTTTGTGGCCAAATATTCTTTGTTTTTATTTTTTTACTTTTATTTTTTGGGATGGAGTCGCACTCTGTCGCCCAGGCTGGAGTGCAGTGGCACAATCTCAGCTCACTTCAACCTCTGCCCCCTGGATTCAAGCGATTCTTCTGCCTCAGCCTCCTGAGTAGATGGGATTACAGGCACGCGCCACCATGCCCAGCTAATTTTTTGTTTTTTGTTTTTTATTTTTTTATTTTTATTTTTATTTTTTTTTGAGACGGAGTCGCTCTGTTGCCCAGGCTGGAGTGCAGTGGTGCGATCTCGGCTCACTGCAAGCTCTGTCTCCCAGGTTCACGCCATTCTCCTTCCTCGACCTCCAGAGTAGCTGGGAGTACAGGCGCCCGCCACCACGCCCAGCTAATTTTTCGTATTTTTAATAGAGACAGGGTTTCACCATGTTGGCCAGACTGGTGTTGAACTCCTCACCTCAAGTGATCCACCCACCTTGGCCTTCCAAAGTGCTGGGATTACAGGCGTGAGCCACCGTAGCCAGCCTGTTTTTATTTTTTAACAACCCTTTAAAAATCCTTTAAAAAAAGAACCTTTCTCAGCTCCCCTGGCTTATGCTGGCAGGATTTGGCCAGTGGGCTATAGTTTTCCACCCTCTGGACCTTCCCTGAATTGAGAGCACCATCTCAAAGTACAGGTAAGATCAGCCCACCAATTAACACATTTATTATGAATTATAATAGAATATAAGTGAAATATAAGTGAATTTAATCAGATTAACCAACACTGCATTTTAAAGTATTGAAAAATAAAGTTCCAGAAATTAAGGCTAGGAGTAACATATTGAAAGGGGATAACTTCCCTTGTCCCCCTCGCAAGGCGTGCAGCGGGGGAGTGATTCGCTTCTTCAGTGCCCTGCTGCTCCAACCTCTAGGGGAGCATGCAGACGGGCAGGCTGTGGGGCTCTGACCCCATGGCAGTGTCTAGGGGTGAATGTTTACACCTACTGAAGCCCCAGTGGGCGTGTGTTACAGGGTGTTCTTATAGCTTAGCTGGCCATTAGGTGGCTTGTGTTAGTCAGCTCAATTAGACCCCCTTCCTTATCACGTGGACGGAGGGCTTTCTGTATCCCAGGGTTTCTTGCCTTGGTGTACCAGAAGAATCAGATCACACTGGGCTTGGAGAATGAGTGCAAGGTTTTATTGAGTGGGAGTAGCTCTCAGCAGATGGGGGAGCCAGAGGGAGATGGTTTTCCCCTGGAGTTGGGCGCTCAGTGGCTCAGGCTCTCCTCCAGCCGCCGTGGCCAAACTCTGCATAGTTCTGCCCGTTGAAGGCCTGCCGACCTGCCTGTGTCTGCTGCCTGTGTCTGTTGGTGTGCCCTTCCGCCGGTGTGCTCCCCTGGACGTCCTCTGGACGTCCAGCCGCTTGTGTGTCTGCCTGCTAGGGTCTCGGGGTTTTTATAGACACAGGATGGCATGCCAGGGTGGTCTTGGGAAATGCAACATTTGGATGCGAAGGCAGGAGTGCATTCCCTGGGCACAGGCCTGGGGGTGGAACCCTCGCCAGGGACCCGCCCTTCTCCTCCCAGCATTTCCCTGCCTCCCTTCCATATCAATGTCATTTAGAATTGCTTTTAGTTGCCAGTAACAGAAAACTGGGCTGATTGCTTAAACAAATAGTTGTCTTTCCTCAAATGACAAGCCAGCCAGACAAGGCAATCACTGGTACTGTTTCTGCTGCTGAAAAATGCCCTCTGTTCTTCTGCTCTGCCATCCTTGATGTATTGACTTGTTATCTTCATTCCTGATGTCTCCTGGTTACAAAGTAGCTGCTACAGTTCCAGACATCTTGTCCCCATACTGGCATCTCTAATTGAAAAAAAAAAAAAAAAAAGCAGTTTCTCAGTCTTTTCATCCAGGAAATACAGCTCCCAATGGACTTCTCTCTTTTTTTTTTTTTTTTTTAAAGCACACATGAGTTTCATACTATAGTAGGCAGGATAATGGGCCCCCAAAAACTTTCACACTCTAATCTCTGGAATTTATGAATATATGGGTGTAGTTAGGTTTGCAGACTTTAAAATAGATTATCCTAGTTTTGCCAAGGGCCCAGTCTAATCACACAATTCCTTAAAGGCAAAGCATTTACTCTAGCTATTCCAGCTAGAGAAGTCAGAGTGGTTCCAAGTGTGGATTCCAACACTAGCCAGCTCTGAGATGTAAGGGTCTATGTGCAAGGACATGGAGCAAGGCCTCTAATGAGCTAGGGGCCATCCCATCTGATAACCAACAAGGAAATGGGGACTTCATCCTGCACACACAGGAACTGTCTTCTGCCAACAACCTGAATACGTTTGGAAGCAGATCCTTCCAAGGGTATCTTGATAAGAGCCCAGCCAGTTGGCTTCTTGGGATTTTGTCTTTATGAAGTTCGGAGCAGAGAAGTCAACTGAACCAACCCAAACTTACAACCTACAGAACTGTGATATAATAAATTTGCGTTGCTGTGAACTGCTAAACTTGTGGTAATTTGTTACAGCAGCAATAGAAAACTATTACACACTCTCACCCCCATATCAAACAGTAGCTAAGGGAAGTAGAATTACCATGACTGCTATAAGGCCAATCATGATTCACTCTGTGGGGCTTGGATGAAGTGTGTCCTCCCTGAGATCAAGAGACCTTGACAGACTATGGGCAGGGAATGAGGGGAATAGGTTTCTATTAGCAAGAAAAAGGGGAGACAATCATTGGGTAGACCACTAACAGTGTGTCCCATAAGGGATGGAGCACTTATTTTTGGCCAGATTGTCACATTACGAGCTCTCCCCAAACCTATGAGAAAAGGATGCTAAAAGAATGGCCACTCTTCAATTAGCCAGACATGGTGGCATGCACCTATAGTCCTAGCTACTCAAGAGGCTAACATGGGAGGATCACTTGAGCCCAAGAATTCAAGGTGACAGTGAGCTATGATTGCACCACTGAACTCCAGCCTGGACGACAGAGTAATGAGCACTCTCATCAGCTAATAAAGCATCCAAAACTAGAATTCTTACAGCTATTGTATTCTAGTTCAAGAGTCTTCAATCAGAAAAAAATTGAAAATGGCCCCAATAGTCCTTGAAAATTGTTACATTTTTACTGTAGTTCCAAACTATGAAACTGTTTGACTGCAGTTTCAAACTCAATTCCTATGGTTATGAGGTTTCTAACCTCGCCCTTCTCCCTACAGCCCCTTTCCCCACCATCTGTTTCTGGCTACTTTCTAGTTTTTCTTCCAGTTGTCCCCTGTGGCAACTGTACTAGTTTTGCTTGTTTTTCTATTTATGGTTTAAAAAAAAAAAGTTTTATTTCTCAGTCTTTCCTCTCATTTACTCTTCTGCTACTTATTTTATTCCTCCTGGAAAAATGACAAATTTGTATCAAGTTTTCTTTCCAAAGTTGTGTCTTCTCTGCTGCTTCCCTGGTTGCTGGCTTCTTGAAACTTCAGCAAGAATGCATTATGTAAAACCATTTGATGTTCACTGTGACATTTCAGGACTGAATACATTATTCACGCTATGGTGATAAAAATTCAATGAAAAGTTTGCAGTTTTATAAGTCATATGGTGAAAGTATTCCCTGTACAGTAATTAGAGGCAAAAGGTAACCAAGAAAAAAAACAGAGGAGAAGGAAAAGGGTCAGCCTTTAATTTATAATACAAAACATAAAACTCAGCTTGGAGAATTCATTTATTATTATTATTTTTTTTTTTTGGTCATTTGCAAAGCATACAATTTTAGCTACGAAGCATTAACCTCCCCCAAATGGTCTATTTATTCTTGAGGCTAAAGGCCTGCTTACTTTGCAGAATAATTTTCTTTTCTACACAGATTTTTTAAATAGATGAGAATAAAGAACTAGCAGGCAACTCAGGGTGCAGGAAAATCTTTGGGGTGGCTAGAGGTGTGGGATTTGTGGATTTTAAAAGGTTATGATAAAATAAAACAAAATCTTTTAAAAATGTTTCCCTTAAATGTAGAAGAAAAAAGTATATTTTAAAAATGTATAAACATTTCATTTAAAAATGTCTTGCCACATTGATGGCTTCATTCTATCATTAATTTCTCAAAGACACAAAGATATTTGCCCAGAGAGGGCAAGCTTCATTATTAACTATATTTGTGATCGCTTCTAGTTTGGGGAGTAGACTTCTTGTCAGATCTGATTAGATAGTCTCAGCTGTTAGGTTGGGACTGAGAGCTCATACTAGGAGCATTAATTTTGCTATTTTCTGTTGGTTATTTGTGCTTGAATTATTGTCTATATTCATCTTCACTGTAGGGAATTCAGAGTTTTCTAACCCACTTGTCCATTTTGCAAAAAATAGTTTTTGGATTACATAATCCAAAAATCCATTTATCAGGCACCACAAAAAAATAATGTCTCGCTTAAATCAAAAGAGGGAGGATGCCAGAGGCAGCTGTCCTGCCTGTGAGCTCTCACTCCTCTCCTCTTCTAGAGCACCTCTCATAAAGTCTGTGACATGTAACATCAGACATTCACACCTAATGAAGCTTCCAGGATATTAAATGTGAATAGAGATTAATTTGTTTTAGATAAACATATAAATGGAATTTCTAGAATATTCTTCTAAATCCCACAAGCCATACACACTTCACTTTAGAGGCCACTGCACTAGGGCATGTTCCTCAAAGGCTGGTTCTTAGACTACTTGCATCAGAATCACTGAAGTGCTTGGTTAAGTGGTCTCCAACCCCACTAGACATAACGAGTCAACTTAAAGCACATATAAATTTTAATTCTCTGAACACCAGTTGGTTACAGTGTGTGCTCCAAAATCTCTGGGGCCAGGGCCCAGTAACCTGCATGTTTAACAAGCAATTTTGCTACTTTTGCAAGTGTTCAACCACTGAGGAAAAAGATTGTATGTTATTTGTCAACATAGACCTCTTTAAAAATCATCCCCAGAGTGAGAAGCTGCCAGATTTCTAGTATATTTGGAATTCTCATTTCAAGGGAAGTATTTTAATTTTATAAGGTGCAAGGACCAAGAAGCAGATGATTCAAATTTCAGATTATTAAATTATTAAAGAATAATAGATTATGTTTTATAATTTGACAAAAGTTTTTAAAAAATTTTTAATAAAAAATAAAAACAACTCTTTTTGGCATCTCTTATATCCCATTTTACAAATGTAACAACTGAGACTTAAAGACAAAATGTATGAGCTGTTTAAATATAAATTTTTTTATTTTTATTTTTGTATTTTTTTGAGATGGAGTCTTGCTTTGTTGCCAGGCTGGAGTGCAGTGATGCAGTCTCGGCTCACTGCAACCTCTGCCTCCTGGGTTCAAGTGATTCTCCTGCCTCAGCCTCCCAAGTAGCTGGGACTACAGGCATGCGCCACCATGCCCAACTAATTTTTTTGTAATTTTTAGTAGAGATGGGTTTCACCATATTGGCCAGGATGGTCTTGATCTTCTGACTTCATGATCCGCCTGCTTTGGCCCCCCAAAGTGCTGGGATTTAAATATAAAATATTTTAAAGAGTGATTTACATCCATGTCTGTTATCGCATGAGTAAAAGAGCTAGCTTTTATTTTATTTTATTTTTTATTTTATTTTTTGAGACAAGAGTCTTGCTCTGTCACCCAGGCTGGAGTGCAGTGGCGCAATCTTGGTTCACTGCAACCTCAGCTTCCCAGGTTCAAGCAATTCTCCTGCCTCGGCCTCCTGAGTAGTTGTGATTACAGGTGCCTGCCACCACGCCTGGCTAATTTTTGTATTTTTAGTAGAGACGGGGTTTCACCGTGTTGGCCAGGCTGGTCCCGAACTCCTGGCCTCAAGTGATCCTCCCGCTTTGGCCTCCCAAAGTGCTGGGATTACAGGTGTGAGCCACCGTGCACGGCCTAGGGCCAACTTTTATACGTTAAAACATGTACCTCTTTACATCTACCTTTTATTACAAGCACAAAGTGCTTAACATACACTATTCCTGAATCCTTCAATAACCGTACAAGTTTTATTCTCCCAATTTTACAAATGAGCTCTGAGGCTCAGAGAGTTTAAGCAACTTTCCCAAGATTGACACAGTTAGTGATAAAGCCAGGAGTCTAACCCAAAGGTTTCCCCTTTACCAACTGCATGCATTATTGCTGAGGGACACCATTGCAGAAAAGACGTGTCCTTTTTTATATTTTGAAGTATTCCAAGTATAATGAGACAAAAATATAGACATAAAAAGGTGAAAAATGTTTTGTTAAAGTGGGTGCATCTGTTATGCAAACACATACAGGGTAGTTTACATAGTATAACTTTTAAAATCTTTAAGAATGATAGTGTATACAGAGTCTTAATTGAAAGTTTAGATGAGATAATATTTCTAAAGGACAAACAGCATTGTCTTGTTTTCTTCTCTTGCCCCTGCTTTCAAAGTCAGAAATAAGATTGAGTATCATTATTTTCTCACCTATTTAAAATATGGCTTAGGGGACCACGTGGTCAATGGAAAGTTAACCAGACCTAGAATTTACTTTTCAATATCTCTAGGAGGCCTGTTGACATAATCAGGATGAGGAATTAACAATTAATTAGCGTTGATTATGACCCTCTTCACGAAACAACACGTTGCTATGGGCTGAATGTTGGAGTCCTCCGCTCCCCCACAAAATTCATAAGCTTAAATTTAGTCCCCAGTGCAATAGTATTAAGAGGTGGGTCTGGCTGGGTGTGGTGGCTCACTCCTGTAATCCCAGCACTTTGGGAGGCTGAGGCGGGCCAATCACCTGAGATCAGGAGTTTGAGACCAGCCTTGCCAACATGGTGAAACCCTGTCTCTACTAAAAATACAAAAATTAGCCGGGCGTGGTGGCAGGCGCCTGTAGTCCCAGCTACTCGGGAGGCTGAGGCAGGAGAATCGCTTGAACCCGGGAGGCAGAGGTTGCAGTGAGCTGAGATTGCGCCATCACACTCCAGCCTGGGGGATAAGAGAGAGACTTTGTCTCAAAAAAAAAAAAAAAAAAAAAAAGGACGTGGGTCTTTTGGAAGCCATTAAGTCATGAGAGGTCCACCCTCATGAATGGGACTAGTACCCTTAAAAAGAAGAGAAAGAAGTGCGTTTGCTCCTTCTGTCATTCTGCCATGCAAAGATGTAGCAAGAAGGTGCCATCTATGAGGAACAGATCTTTACCAGATGCTGAATCTGCTTCTGCCCTGAGCTTTAACTTCCCAGTCTCCAGAACTGTTTCAAATACATTTCTGTTGCCTAGACTAGGTAATTTATAAGGCATTTTGTTATAATAGCAGGAATAGACTAAGAAACATATCTTATTCAGAAAAGCTTTGAAAAAATTACTTGAAACAAAAAGTTTAGTGAAGTTGAATGTTTGACCTGGTAATACAGGTGGACCATGATCTCATATTAGCAAATGTTTTTCATACCTATCATTATTATTTGGGGCTTGTGAGTTTCTGACTTATTTCTTATGTTATCCCTCATATTACACATACCTCCGTAGTTTTAAATGGTCTTTCAGGCCAATGAATATAAATAAATATTATGAGATGAGGTGAGGTGGTTAGCAGTGACTTCACATTAATTGGTTTTAATCAAACCCAAGGAAATTGGGGTGAGGTGAGGTGAGGTGGTTAGACAAGCCTTGGCAAAGAATTCAGGAAACAAAAAATTAGGGACAAATTGTTAAAGACAAAAATCTAGGACCCAAAGAAAATACAAATTCTTTTCAGTGTATCAGGCACCTTTGACCAGGAGGTGGCAGCAGTGGAAGCAAGAACGTCTAGAAACAAAGTATCCTGGGGCAAATACCAACACTATTGAAACCACTTTTGCAAAATTATAACTGAGGAAATGATGACAGTGAAAGAAATCAGATCTAACTGTCTCTGTCTTGCTTCTAACCTTTAAGCTGTCCTTGTTCATTCCTGGGCACAGGTCAAACTAACTTTGAGAAGGAATTCAGTTCATGGTTTGACTCTGAAACAAAATTGATAACAGCCCTTTCCCAAAAAGACCCCCTTCTTGCCTGGGGACCAGTCTGCCTTTGCTGGACTAACTTAGCTACAAGATTGAAAATTACAGTTTAGGGGTCATACAATCTCTGGTTCCAAGAGTCTGAACCTTCCCAAATTGCTCCTGGGGATAACATCACTATTATAAAACCTAAGATCAGTGCTTGAGATATTTTGCAGACCCTGCACTTGACGGATCAGCTGACACCACACAGACTGGTAATCTGGCTCAACCAGTTCTGCCATCACACACAGGAGCAGAAGACAGCAAGAAAAACTCACTTCAACCCCCTATGATTCCATCTCCACCCTGACCAATCAGCACTCCCCTCTTCCCAAGCCCTTACCCACCAAATTATCTTTAAAAACTCTGATCCCTGAATGCTCAGGGAGACTGATTTGAGTAGTAATAAAACTCTGGTCTCCGGCACAGCCGGCTCTGGTGAATTACTCTTTCTCCATTGCAATTCCCCTGTCTTGATAAATCGGCTCCGCCTAGGCAGAGGGAAAGGTGAACCCACTGGGCAGTTATACGGTCTCAAAAGCTCCTGAATCACCAAAGGCTTCTGGCTGATAAGGAGGCCTTTAGAAGGTGCCACTTCCCTGAAGTGATGCCAGGCTCCTCCCATTCAGCATCCAAAAGAGGAGTCCAAGTACCAAAGTCAAAGGTTAGGAGTTTTAAGTAGATGTTACTAAGCCTTAGTAACAAAGAATCTCTCAAAAGTCAGCGCAGTTGATATAAAAAAAAAAAATCAACAAGAATTAACAGAGACACCGAACCACCTTAATAACAATTGAAAGATGAACTAGGATTTAAGCCACAAGTCACAGAACAGAAAAAAAAGCAAATCTGACTGGGAACCAAAGTTGTTGATACAATGGCTAGTGCCAGTGGTCTAGGCTGGGCTTCTGGTTCACCCGTTACTAAGGCAGTGGTGGGAAGCAGACCACCAGGCCTCCAGGGAGGATGAGGGTCTGGGCTAGGAGGTGTTTGGACAATGGAAAACCATCAGGTATTTGGAGGGTAGTCCACTTTCCAGGGCTATACGAAGGTGTCTGTGGAGTGGTTAAAATCTAATGGTATTGTTCACAAATGTCCCCTTCCTTGCCAATTAGCTGTTTAAGTAAATAGTAATGAGGACTGAAACAGGGGTGTCAATGAGGCCCATGAATGATCTTCCCAGTATCTTGAAGATGTGGGAAAGACTTCATCACTGCAAGAGGGAGAGATACTGCAGTAAGAAGTTCACTTCTAATACAATGCCTTACAATCTGGGTTGTGCTTTTTTTTTTTTTTTTTTTTTTTTAAAGCATGGCTTGATCTCAAAACTATCTAGAACTGCCTGTAGTTCCTCTAGACAACTCTACACCAGGGATGGTGGTTGGAGCCCTAAGTACCTAGGAACAATGAAAGTGGAGAAATGAGGTCAAACTGTATTCATGGAAGAAAAAAGCTGAGATCTTTTGTTTGCTTTTCTAAACAAAAACACTTAGATTTGAGAGATCCATTTGCATTTCCTGAGGGAAAATGTGCTCCAGAAGCATTACTTCTATTAGCCATATTTTTGGGGTTTCATAAGCAGGGTTAAGACCAAAATGTATTGGGTTGTCCATCTAGGCCAGAGTCCAGGATCAAGTGAGACTCAGTCATCCTTCTTTTAAGTTATGGGAGATGGTGGTCAGCATGCAATACACAGCAGTGCCTCAGGGCAGCCCTGCTTGGTCCAGACAGTCCTCTTTTATATCAGGATCCAAGCTCATACTCTCCTGTTTGGGTCAGGTTTGGAACAAATGCTTAGCAGAGATGGTCCTGAGGTAGAGGATGACAGGCAAGCAACACCAGAGTACTCCAGTTCTATTTTTGATACAAATGAGACAAGAAAGCCTCCAAGGAAGTCTGATATATGGAAATTCCTGAAGGATTTGGGTTCCAGACTTTGATCACCTAGAAGGCCCTAAAGCCATGGAATACATGACGAGAACACCTTTTGCTCTCAAAACGCCGAAGTAGGGACTGGTCTCCAAACTGAAAGCCATAGAAGTAATAGCCTTCAAAGGACCTAGAAAAGCCACAGTCCATGGAAGTGACAGGCTTCAAAGGAAGGCCCAACTCTCAGGTGTACCAGGTTAGAGTTGGGCTATGCCAAACCCAATAAGAAATACTAAGAGAGGTGTGCACATTCAAGCAGCAAGTGCCTATAGGCAAATTTCCCATGCAGACCTGGAGACTGAAATTCCAAAACTCCAATCAGTATATCGAAGAGGTATCTGCACTCCCATGTTTGTTGCAGCATCATTTACAATAGCCAAGATTTGGAAGCAACCTAAGTGTCCATCAAGACATGAATGAACAAAGAAAATGTGGTACATATACACAATGGAGTACTACGCAGCCATAAAAAAGAATGAGATCCTGTCATTTGCAACAATATAGATGGAACTGGAGGTCATTATATTAAGTGAAATAAGTCAGGCACAGACAGACAAACATCACCTGTTCTCACTTATTTGTGGGAGCTAAAAATTACAACAATTGAATTCATGGAGTTACAGAGTAGAGGGAAGGGTAGTAGGGAGCAGGTGGTTAATGGGTACAAAAAATAGTTAGAAAGAATAAATAAAACCTAGCATTTGCTAGCACAACAGGGTGACTATAGTAAAAAAAAATTTTTTAAGTGTTTATTTTAAAATATAATAGTATATAATTGGATTGTTTGAAACATAAAGAATAAATGTTTGAGGTGATAGGTACCCTATTTACCGTGATATGATTTTGTCTCATTGCATGCTTGTGTCAAAATATGTCATGTAACCCATAAACACATACACCTACCATGTACCCACAAAAATTAAAAATAAAAAAAAAATCCTCCCACCTTAGCCTCCCGAGTAACTGGGACTATAGGTGTGCATCACCATGCCCAGCTAATCTTTTTTTTTTTTTTGTAGACACAGGATTTCCCTATGTTGCCCAGGCTGGCCTCAAACTCTGCTCAAGAGATCCTCCCCCCTCAGCCTTCCACAGTGCTGAGATTATAGGAACCAGTTCCGGCACCCAGCTGGCTCTTTCAACTATTTAACTTTTACATTATTATTCAGTATTCTGTAATCAGGCTATAAATTCTGTTTTTTTTTTTTTTTTTGAAATGGAGTCTCGCTCTGTTGCCCAGGCTCGAGTGCAGTGGTGTGATCTCAGCTCATTGCAACCTCCGCCTCCCAGGTTCAAGCAATTCCTCTGCCTCAGCTTCCCGAGTAGCTGGCATTACAGTTACGTGCCACCACATCCAGCTAATTTTTGTATTTTTTAGTAGAGACAGGGCTTCACCATATTGGTCAGGCTGGTCTCAAACTCCTGACCTCATGATCCGCCTGCCTCAGCCTCCCAAAGTGCTGGGATTACAGACGTGAGCCACTGCACCCAGCTAGAAATTCTTTGAAGGCCACTGTTGACCTTTGTATCCTATGCTGTAGCATCCAGGACCCAGTGCTGCACACAGGTGGTGCTCAATATGTATTTGTTGATTTATTCTGTGTGCTGGTTTAAAAGCAGAGTCATAGGACAGAGCACACTGCATGGGGGTGGAAGTCCTGTCACCTTCCCACATCTCAATTGCTTCTCTGTAAAATGGGGTAGTTGGACGAAACCATTGATTTTCAAACTGTGCTCCTTTGAGCCTTATTAGGGCTTCTTAGAGATGCCTCAGTAGCCACCAAGCACAGAGGAGTGGGGCACTGGCCTACCCCAAATTTATTGAGAGTGGATCTGCTTTTGTCAGTTTAACATTTTGGGGTTCACAGTAGAAAGTCATTTATAAGGGTTCAGTTGCTAAAATTTTTTTTTCTTTTTTTTTTTTTTGAGATGGAGTCTTGCGCTGTTGCCCAGGCTGGATACAGTGGTGTGATCTCATCTCACTGCAAGCTCCGCCTCCCAGGTTCATGCCATTCTCCTGCCTCAGCCTCCCGAGTAGCTGGGACCACAGGCGCCCGCCACCATGCCCGGCTAATTTTTGTATTTTTAGTAGAGACGGGGTTTCACTGTGTTAGCCAGGATGGTCTCGATCTCCTGACCTCATGATCTGCCCGCCTCGGCCTCCCAAAGTGCTGGGATTACAGGCGTGAGCTACTGCGCCCGGCCTAAAATTTTAAAATCTTACCTGAATTGATTATTTCAAAGGTCCCTTTGACTGTAACGTTTGATTTTGTTGTTTCATTGACATTTAAATGATAGTTGTCTTATCTGGTATTGGTCCATCCCATCTAAGAACTGTGCTTCCCAATACCCTCACCCTCCTCTGGGGACATCTCCCACTTTTGCATGGATGTTGTTTGTGTCTTAACTGCATTCCTCTTTTGTGCTCCTAATCTTAGTCATCTCAAACGTGTAACCTCCTCCCTTCCCTCCAACCTTCGTGTGAACTTAATTGGTGTCCTAATTGTTGGGAGAGCCACCTGGGACACCTCCCTTCCTTCACTCAGCTTGAATGCATTCCTGGTTCTTTCCGCATTTGCTCTCCATTGCATTCTTACCTTGTGCTTCTTAGTATTTCTCTTTTGCCTGGCATAGTATTTGGCTCCTCCAACCCAAACTCCAGCCCTGGCCCATGATCACTAAAAAGGATTCCCATGAACACTAAAAAAATTTTGTAGGTGATGTCTATAGACTAACAGCCTAACTAATGGAGAAGAAAAAAGGACAAAAAAAGAAAAGATAAAAGGAGATAAGGAAAGCAAGAGGAACAAAAGAAAGTGTGTGTTTCTTGGCATGGGTGATATGCACTCTTCCTCACTCCTTCTCCAAAATATATCCCAATTTCCGCTATGTATGAGGCTGCTTATGACTAACAATCTAGTAAAGGACAAAAACAGAATAAAACTTGCACTCTCCATTCCTTCTCATCAAGTAGCAGTCAACTGGTATGATTTTGAGAGATAATATCACACGAAGTTTAAGTGTGGGCTCTCGGTTAGACTGCCTGGAATCTTGCAGCCACTGTCATTGCTAGCTTTGTGACCTTGACCTTGTTATGCCTCAGGTTCTTCATCTGTAGGAAAAGTGGGGGTAATAATATTTTAAGGTCATTATGAGGATGAAATTAGATAATATGGGTACAGTGTTCTGAGTAAGACCTGGCACAAAGTAAGGCACTATACGTGTTGGCTGTTATTCTGAAAAAAAAAAAAAAAAAAAAGGTTTGCTTTAAGTCTCTTCCTCCATCCTTGAGCGCAACATCATGTTCCCCTGCAAATGAACTGGCCCAGTCCCGTTTGGCCTTACCATGCCTGTCACAGCCTAATAAATGTTGATGGTAAAGGATGGCAAGCTTTGGGGCACTCGATGCTCTTGCTTCTCTCTGTGGAGAGCCTATTAAGTGCTCTGACTATTGTGCTAGTAATGCACTAATTTCAGTTAGTTAAAGAAAGGAACTAACCACATTGTAGTCTATTCACAACAGGCCTGTTTAGAAGATTCAGCCTGGGGCAACATATATGTTTTATTATTTTATTGCAAGAATATAATAAAATAGGAAACAAATGAACTTCAATTTTTGCTTTTACTTGGCTTGTCTGCTAAGTGTGTGGTTCTTAATCAGCTATGTGCATTAGAATCACCTGGGGAAGTTTTCAAAACCCATACAGGTATGGGCCCCATTCCCCAAGGATTCTGATTCACAAGGCCTAGGTGATGTTCTGGCATGTTTATTTGGAAAACATTTACCCAAGGGATTCTGAGACAGAACTACTCTTCCAAGTATTTCTGGACCCTTTCTTCCCTTTCAGCAAAAACCAGCTTCAACTAGAAGGTAAAGACCATCTACAGGTTTGACAGCATCCACATAACGAGATGTGCTAGAAATTTTCTACCAAATTCTCCACTCACGGAAGAAAATATCTTTAGTTCATGTCCCCAATATTCCATGGAATTATGAATTATGTTTCATTAAGATTGAGCTACTAGCCGCTCTTTAGTGAATTTTTCTGCCATTTTTATGAGAACAACAACAACAACAAAAGCCTTTGCGGGTAATTTTGCAACTTACTTCTCTCACTTGAAGCTGACTCTGCACTGGGATGTTGAGAGTGTGATGGCATTTGTTGTAATTTCTGTTTTTCTCTTGGGTGTTCGTCCTCCTCCTTTCTTATTTTAGGATACCTGTCTACTTTCACATATGAGAGACTCGAGTAACTCAGAACTTTGATCTAGAGATAAGAGTGAAATAGGGAACAGGAAAAATATAATTGAATTCTATTTAACTAAAGCACAATTCTTATTTTCATAAAAGGATAGACATTATAAGTAAAAAAAAAAAAGGCAAATTTGTTCACCTACTGGTGCCTCCTGAGCCTCCAAATTTCTCCCTATTATCACTGGCTGCTTCTCTGCCATTAAAAATTACTGATAATTCTACCATCTACGGTAGTGCCTTCTATACTGGCGCTAAAGAAATACCAGATAAAGTGATCTGACAAGTAAAAAAGGGACTTTAAAAGGGGACTTTATTTCTCTGTACATTCAACAAAATCTCTTATCTCCTTTATTCCGAAGACCATAGAAAACAATCAAGTCAGAGGCTTGTGGGAGCCCCCTATGTCATTTTCATTGAGTTAATATGTAAAGTGCTTAGGATAGTGCCTGGCACATAGTAAGAGCATGTATGTTAGTTATTTTTATCCCTTTTTATTACCTTCAGGTAATTTTATTATTATATTTGGGCTACAACCAATTTTTAGGACCTAAACATGTGTAATCTCTCTAGATATGTGTCTTATTTATAGTAGGCACTCAAGAAATCTTATTGAATTGAAGTAAAGGAAGTTAATCCTGGTGAAGTCATAAATAACGTTTTCGAGTTTCAGAGATGCTTCATAGAAGAAATGCCCTTTCGAGAGTAAAAAAGCAAAGAACAGGTGTTCTAAACACAGCTGTTATGTGGAATTTCAAGAGCTGAAAAGTCAAAACTTTCATGGGCACATTGCTCCAGGCTGCTCTATATTGTGATTAGTACACTTCAATACATGATGCCATGAAATGTAAAGCCACAGACTTTTATGTGACCTACATACTTGTACTGCATGAGTAACAGGGCACTGTCATGATGTGTCACTGAGCTAAGAGTAGGCATGCTCCTTGGTGGAATATTTTTATTGTGTGTAGGAAATTCTGGGACATACTAAAGAAAAATGGATCATAAACACTCCTTCCAATGGGCTCCCATCAGAAAGCTGTTCATATCTCTAGTCCACCATGTACTTCTTTGCATTGTTTATCTGCTTCCATCACTTTCTTCTACTACCAAGCTGTGAGCTTCTTGAAGGCAGTCTCCACATTATTTATCTTCATATCTCCAGTGCTCACCAGAACCTAGCACATAGCACTCAGCAAGTGTTAAATGAAGACAGGATGTCACAGTAATCTTCATCTTTTTCAGTTTCCATAGTAAATAAGCAGGAGAAATGTCTCCATGTATATTTTGTATATTAAAATTTACAAACCAAAAATTGAGATCTATTGTCTGAAACACAATCTGACAGTGAGAGAAAATATTTGAAATCTAGATGATCTCAGAAAATTCTGAACAGATGAATGCCCTATCCATGTGTGAGTTACATTATTCATTTATTCTTCCCTTTCTCTCTCCATCTATCCAGCCATTCACTCACCTATCTGTCCCTCATCATCCATCCATTCATCCATGACTTTATTAAAGGACACCACCAACTCACATTTTCAAAAATATGGAGGAAATTTCTTGCTTTAGACTTATGAAAATAACTGCAAAGTGGCAAGATTACCTTTCTTTGCTTTAGTACAGAATTTGTTGCTAACAGCTCATATAATATAGGATTTTATTCAAATTTATAAAAATATTTAAAAATTTTTTTTCAAAATGTAAACAAAAGGAAAAGAACACATTTTATTACTTTTTAAAATCTTTCTACCACAAGCTGGCAGATTCTAGAAAAAGAGGACTGGCCACAGTGGCTCAGGCCTGTAATCCCAGCACTTTGGGAGGGCAAGGTGGGTGGATCATTTGAGGTCAGGAGTTCAAGACCAGCTTGGACAACATGGCAAAACACCATCTCTACTAAAAAATACAAAAATTAGCTGGGCGTGGTGGTGCATGCCTGTAATCCCAGCTACTTGGGAGGCTGAGGCACAAGAATCGCTTGAACCCAGGAGGCAGAAGTTTCAGTGAGCCGAGATCGTACCATTGCACTCCAGGCTGGGTGACAAAAGTGACAGAATTCTTCAGTTTTGAGATAAAAATAAACTTCTGTTCCATAGGCACAAATAAGCCTTAGTGTTTATGTTTATTGTGAGGTAAATAGTAGAAAGATTAAGTCAAATCATACAATCCTCATGTGGGGTATAAATGTGGATTTTTTGCATTAGAAAATATTTTGGAATAAAACAACCTCACAAATTTGCCATACATACCAGAATAAGAAACTTGTTAAAATGTTGTAATGCCTAATAACTATTGTTAGAATGTATTAGTCGTGTCCTTTCAATAGTTTAATATGACCAAGCCATCTGTTTGAAATGTAATTTTGCCTGAGATTTTGTCTCTAGTTTTTTAATTCTTCTAAACTAAACGTCCAGCAGAATTCTCTTAAATAACTAGGGCCTGATTCAAAGTTTTCACTATATCCACGTTGTTTGCCAAGTACTTACTGTCTATGGACAGGTTTACCATGATAAAGAACATAACATGCAAAAACAGACCATTATTTTAATGAAGATTGTATGTGAAATCAGAATTATTTAGGCTATCTGTATATCTATTCATGAAAATACAGAACAGCTTTAAGATTTTTTATTACTGATTACTGACCCTCTTCTACACCTTCCCCTTTTTCCCCAAGTGGATAGATATTTTTTTCTCAGTGATGATATTCACCCCTTTTTTTAGGATGGAGATTTCTCCTCCCAGTGGATTAGAAAGAAGAAGCATGGCTATTTCTTTGCCATGCTGGCCACAGCCTTCTTAGCTGTATCCTCCAAGTCAATGCCATAAGTAATGGGGAGTTAGTTAGATGCTATTAAGCATATTTTAAGGCCCCTGGACATTGAATCCTTCAAACTTGACCACCAGAGGGGCCATGAGTTCTAGTTCTCAGCAGTGTTTGATGATGCCATTGGCAATGACAGCAAAATTCACTATCACACCTAAAACAATGTTGACGGTGATTTCAAACTTAGGATCAGCAATGAGCAATTTAAATGTTTAGTACACCTGAGCTTCCTCTACACTACTGCTAATATCTAAGAAGTTGGCTGGGCTTTGATCATTAAGGGTAATAACGTCTCAGAGAGCCATGTATGGCCCAGCATCACTTAGTAAGGATTCCCATCTAGTTTTAATTTTAGATCATATCTGGTTGCTTCATTTTCGATAGACACACCTTGAATTTGTTGGCCATGCCAAATATGTTTTTTGTGGACATTCTGCATTGTCCTCAAGGTTTATCATGACATCAAAATAGACAACCTATCATTCCAGAGTTTCACCAAAGGTTTCACTTCAAGCTAAGTAGCATATAATTTCAGGAAGCAGTAAAACAGCTGGTTAAGCCTGATTTTTGTAGACCTGTAGAAGCCTACATTTTCTCCCCTTTACTAAACTTGACTGTTCTCTATGCCCTCAAAATGTAAATTTCCTCCTTAAAAATAAATTCCGGTAAGAAGCTGCCACTTATAACGCCTCTCCTGGAGGCTGCCATCAGTAAAGGCCATTGCAGGATTAGCCCATTAAAACTTTATTGTGGGAACATCACACCCAGTGCCAGTTACGAAATATTCTAACTTTTACCCTGTTTTCTGACATCAGTTTCTTGCTCTTAGGTACCTGCAGGAGCAGCCATCTTTTAGATGTTAATTCAACTCCCTTGGACTTCTCTGAAAGGAGTGGGGCCTGAGCACCAGCATTCACAAAATTTTTTGACCTGCATTGTCATAGGAGAATGACACCTTAAACAAAAACCAGGCACAGAGGAGTCTGACTAGGTAACTGAGATGAGAGAAGAAGGGACCTTTTTTCCTCATTTTATTGAGATGGGTCTCACTATGTTGCCCAAGCTGGTCTCAAATTCCTGGGCTCAATTGATCCTCCCACCTCAGCCTCCCAAGTAATGGGGACTATAGGAAACAGCCACCATGCCCAGCGAGAAGGGTACTTCATACAGATTTAATTCTACATTGGAAACCAACCTTGAGAAAAAGCCTACATTGTGTGTGTGTGTGTTGGGGCAGGGAGCGGTGTGTATGCTTCTGTCCAGATCTGAGTTCCTGAAAATCATAGTGTCTTATCCAGCTTTGTATCCCCAGTATCTAGTATAGTGCCTTATATATACTAAGTGCTTAATAAATGGTTATGACATGAATTACGGTTTGGATGAGTCCTTGTGCCACTGGAAACCCTCTCGAGATCACATTTAGAGGACTGCCACAGCAGCATGTCTGAGAGTCTTAGTTTGTTTAGTTTAACGCATTCTCTAACATGATGATTAACCCTCATGTAATCTCAGTCACAATTTTATCACTATAGATATTAATGAGCATGTTGAATCCAGCTGCTGCTGTGGTTTTACGTCCAGAATACCATAAGCCTATAAAATCCATTCCATTGGAAAGCAGAGTGGCCTTACATTAATTTCTAAGCTTTACACAACAATTAGGCAAAATTAGACAAGACTTCATGCTTTTTAAGTCCAAAGATTCCCTTTCTAGTTTTATTATGAAGCCAATACATCGAAGAATACTTTCCTCCCACAGTGCTTAAGACCAGTGCTAGATTACAAATACATAAATGGGCCATGACTTCCACCCCACCCACAAAATGATCCAGGCAGGAAATTCCAACTTGCTTGTCCATTGCTCAATCTACCCTTTGCTAAAGGAAGACATTTCTAGGTGAGGACATTTATAGTCAAATAAATTCTAAATGATAATGTTCAGTAACAGATCTTCTGAGCAAGGAAATATATCCACCTGTCTGGAAAAGACTCAAATTCTGTGTCACTTGTAATGGGCCAGTATGGAGTCTAAGCTGATGACAAAGCATCTCCTAGCTCTTCCCCTTCCTCTTCAGCTCTCCGGCTGTAACTCTGGGGAGGCTGTAGAGGCACAACATTCTCCTCTCTGGATTCTTCACTCATTACCTGTAAATGCTACATCACATGATCTCAGTTTCTTCAAATACCCTCTCTGTTGACTGCATGTTAATCTGTTCAATAGGTATTTTTATCCCAAAATAATGCAGGACCCAGAGGTGGAGAAATCTGTGGATTTGTGGTGGAAGAGAAATTATGAAAAGAAAAACTGAGCCAGATCCTGGTGAAGCAATTCTAGGGTTAGCAAGAAAACCAATTAGAAAAGAACTATAGTCTAAGGAGCCACATAGAGTTGAGAACCTGCTTACATTCATTCATTCCTTTCACACTTTTCCTTGAGTATCTATTACATATTGGTCATCTGCTAAGTTCTGTAATACAAAGATGAATGAGACCCTCCCCTTGAATTACTCACATTAAACAGTGGCGAGATTGTCTCTAATTGCTATGGCATACATGTGTACAAATATGCTTTGAAGAAGTCAGTTCTAAGTGATACCAAGGCTGCCTCACACTTAGACAATAAGAGAATCAGAGAGAAAAGCTTGTCATTCAGACAGTAGGTAGATTCAAACAGAAGATGTATGACAGAGAATAACTATTGACATAAATAGAGGCCAAAGATGGTGAAAAGGTGAGAGGGTGGGAGTGGTGTGCAAGACCCTGGAAGAGACTTTTGGGATGCAGGAGATCTGGGGATCCAGGTTGATTCTGGACATTTTAGAAATGCCATTCCTAAAGGTTAGATAAAGGATATAATTTGTTGTGGAGATTAAACTCTCTAGCCCTCCCCTACCATTTTCCATTCATCACATGGGATTGCAGCTACCTACCTTGAGTGGTTTGAGTTTAGGAAAGTTTTAGCTGAGGGAATCAACTGAAAGGAGTAAAAGTCACTGGTTCAGCAACAAACTGGCAGAGATCCATGTCCATGTCATTTGTTTGGCCTAGAGCCAATATTAATATTTTTATTGATGTTTTTTGGAAGGATGAGTCAAGACTCTATAGCGTAATTTGATGGATAACACAAAGACAAAAATTAACAGAATTACTAGACTTCTGTCCTTAGTGATTATTTACAGTTTAGGTGTTTATTTTCTGTCTTTTTCAACTAGACTGTAAGTTCCATGAGGGCAGGAACTTTGTCTTGTTTGTTCTTATTTTCCTAACATGTAGAATGGCGCCTGCAAATAACAGTTGCTCAGTAAGTAGTTTTACATTGCTTGAACCACAGTGATAGGCTGTGATGAGTACTGTGATAGCAGTATGCACTGGTGCTATGAGAGCACAGCATTCACTCTGTCTTGAGGTTCAGGGTAGGCTTCAGAGAGAAGGTGACATTTGAGCTTGAAGAGTGAGTAGCACTTCATGAAATAGAATGAGAGAGAATGGTATTTCTTTTTTTTTTTTTTTTTTTTTGAGAATGGTATTTCAGAAAGGGTGGAACACCATGAATAAAGCAATGTGTTATTAAAAAAATAGTATGTTTGGGGGATAATAAAAAGTTTATCTTTTGAATTCTGATACTTAAATAGTCAACAGTATGCATGGGAAGTAAATTTCCTTCCATACAGGCATACATTACTTCATGCAATAGTTGTGAAACAAGGACCACAGGGAGATGCAAGCAAATTACGTTTAAAAGACTATGGAGTAAAATTCTTTTGTCAGGTGGATTAATCTATCCCTAATGAATCTCTCCCGAGAAGCTTTTCCCTCCAAAGGTCTATCTTTTTCCAAGACGTTTATTCAGGGAGGTATCCTTCATATCTCCCTGAAAAGAAAGAAAAGTAAATAGTGGCTAATGCTTTTAACAATGATTAAAAAAATCAGAAAGGTCAAGGCTTTAAGGTCATTTAATGTGAAGAGGAAATAAGATAAATGTTCAGCATTTAAGGATTATCACTAACCCAACTTTTCATAAACACAGAATAGTGGAGGTGGAACCTGCAGAGACTTTTATTCAGGGAACATCCACTGCGGGACAGGCAGATGCTTTGGTATCCAGGCTGCTCCGCGCCGCCAGCTGCCCAAGTAATCCTCACAACAGCCCGCAGAGGTAGGTATTAACCACCCTTTGTTTTACAGGTGAGGAAACAGAGGCACAAGACGGTCAGGTAACCGGCTTGGAGTGATGAATGAAACTAAAATAAGCGCCGACCTCGAAGCTCATTTGGTCTTTCCCCAACCCCATGCGGCCTCATTAAAGAGACTTTTTTGATTAGCTATGGAGAAAACGTTCTTCATCAAACATGAAATGCAATCCGGAAGGCACAGGTTTCTCTCTCTCTCTCTCTCTCTCTCTCTCTCTCTCTCTCTCTCTCTCTCTCTCTCTCTCTCTCTCTCTCTCTCTCTCTCTCTCTCTCTCTCTCTCTCTCTCTCTCTCTGTCTGTATGAAGTGGCTTCTGGGGCCCCACGAAGCAATGTTCCCCCAAACAGCCCCGGACGAGGGTGTCTATAATTCATCCTGTTATAATTAACCCCGGGGTTACGGTATTGCTTCTAAAGCCCTTGTTGAAATGCAGATATGGACCTCGCAGGATTGACACGATCTCTCAATTACACCTAATTAAAGAGCTGGCTCTTTGAGAATCTGACCCGACTGGGCCAGGAGTGGGAAAGGCGGGGGCTGCCGGTTGGGGTGAGGGATAGGGTTCTGCAGTCCCGGGAAGGCAGGTGAAGGGTGGGGATCAGGATTGGAAGAGTCACTGGGTGCTCGGTGAGACGAGGGAGGTTGGAGCTGAACTAAAACAAAGTTTGACTTCTGGACAATTATCCAGGGAGAGGGCGGGGAACACACCTTGCCCGGACTGTCTGGGAATCCCATTGACAGGTCATCTCAGGTTCACCATCTTCCTGTCGTGGGCTCCTCCAGGGAGGCCACCCGGGAGCAATTAAACTGGGCCACACCAGCCACCTCCCACAGCAGCGGGGTCCGCAGATTTAACCCTTTCCCCCCAGATTCCGGCACTGGGTGCCGCGCTCTCTCCCCCAGCACCGCGCCCGCGCCCCCGGCTCCCGGACTGGGCATGCTCAGTAGCCGCCCGCTTCGTGCTCCCAGGGAAGCCTCTGCACGCCCTCCCCCGCTGCTCTCGGTCGCCTCCTCGCCGCCAGCCGCCCCGGGTGCATCCCGGCTTGCTCCGCTCCACGCGACCCAGATTCCTGCCCCGCCCCCGCCCCTTCCGCGCCCGCAGCCAGTGCGGCAGCCGCGGCCGCCCCTGTCCAGCCTCGGCGCCCGGGACCGAGCGCGTCGCTCGCCGCCGCGGAGCGCGTAGCCGGAGCGCCTGGGGAAGGCGGAGATGAAGACCACGCCGCCGCGCGCCGGGA
Organism: Homo sapiens; assembly: GCF_000001405.40. Classification (NCBI taxonomy): domain Eukaryota; kingdom Metazoa; phylum Chordata; class Mammalia; order Primates; family Hominidae; genus Homo; species Homo sapiens. Next base: position 107,591,380 of record NC_000011.10, read on the forward strand.
GCTGCTGAGCCTACCGCCGCCAGAGTCCAGGTGATTGGCGACCCCAGAGGAGCCTAGGGAGTAGGGGCGAATGCCCTTGGGGAGGAGAGAGGTGCGGCGAGGACGCGAGGCATCACGCAAGCTGCGCTGTGCCTGGGAGGCAGCAGAAATGCTAAGCATCGGGGGCAGAGAGGGAACGGGAATGAAAGTGCACTCTGCCTTGGTGCAGGGGCTCCGGGGTCACCCAGGACAGTGATTTCCCCTTCTATCCTGTCCTCCCAATTAACACCCGAGAGGCTGCAGGTCGGCGCGAGAGGCTGTTTGCATCTCGGCCCGGGCGTAGGTCGCCTAGCGACCTAACGCCGAGGGCTCGGGGAAGGGATCCCAGACAGAGCCAAAATGGAAGGCGGGACAAGGGCGGCCTGGCTGGGGCGAGGGGCTGGTCTGGGTCCCTGGGAACCCCTTGCCTTGTGGGCTTCGGTCTCCAGGGAGGAGCTAGGCAGCCGGGCTGCGGGGCCGCCGGACTGTGGGGTCCTCCGCGCAGCGAGCTGGGAGGAGCGGTCGGCTGGGCTGTTGAGCTGCGCCTCCTCCAACTGCTGGGAAACTCCGCACTTCAATATTGGAGCATCTCTTTCCCGGGCAGGTAGAATTGGACAGCCGAGTGGGGAGTGACAGCTGACAGCTGACGGGGCTGTTAAAAGCAGAGCAGTGGAGTGTGGTGGTGGGGTGAGCTGTTGTGGGTGCTTTTTTTTGTTTTCCAAGTGTGGGTACGGGCTGTTCTGACTCAGTGTTTATGCTCAACCTCTAAGCGGCGAGTTCGGTAACACATCTTATGAATATTTCAGGAACGACCTCACGGGCTCACTTGCTTCAGATCAAGTTTAATGAATATGTTGTCAGCCTTTCTGCTCTGCACAGTGCCCTGAGCTTTCCACATTTCATCCCTTTCCCCCACCACCTAGGAAAATACGCTGCTAACCCCCAGTGGGCCGTAGATTGGTACTATCAATTGAGTCTGTCATTTGGAGAGACCAATTTTGGGCAGGCATCCAGGCATTGTTCTGCATCTCTGCAATGTATACGTTTTGTGCCGGTGGCTTGACAACCGTCCTTAACTGGTGCTGCCAATATGGTGGAAAGCAGGTAGTATGCTTGTATTGGGATAAATGTCTTAATTCATTAACCTATTATGACAACACGTAGTTACAGCAGACTTAGTCATTCCCTCCCCCAGAAGTTTTCTCGGGGGTCAGTTTAGTTGGTATTTTGCCAAAGGCACACTCTTGTATCTACATTGGGAGGTATTTCTCTCATCTTAATCTTTTTCATAGGAAGAAGAAATAAATGTCTTCTCTGTAAGACATCACTGTCAAGAACACTGAAAGAAGAACCCATTAACGTAGGGAACGTTGAGGACTGGAACAGGTTGTAGGGCGTCTTCCTACACTTTGGGTTATAACTTCCATTGCATCACCACCATTTACCAGTAAACCAGCACACACAGCAATCAGTACTCGAAATGGTTCTCTTTTGCAGAAAAAGCCTGCTTTTCTCCCAGCTTTGGTGAGATAGATACGTAATCTTCGTAAAGACCTATAAGGAATTCCTCTGTGGAACAAAATTTTAAGCCTCCAGTACAGGATGCTGAAAGAAGCAACTCTTTAATCTTGCCAGCCCATGCACAGTGAAGCTGAAGTGCTTCAATTTACAGATGTTTTACATTTAGGGAAGGCTTTTCCAACAAAGACCTACCGCAGTTACATCACAGGCTCCACCTCCGCCTGCCAGGCTGCTTCTGCAAGGCTGTTAGTAAGGATACTATGTATTGCTGTGCTTGATTAATGAAGAAAATAAATCTCCAAATCAAAGATTTGTTTATTTCTCTTTTTGCATTCTGCTGATTTAATTGAAAATATGAAAATTTCAAAAATTAATACTTGCAGCCAGGACTTAACTGAGGCATGATAATAACTCTATAAATGTTAGCTTTCCAAGAGATCTTAAGCAAAATTACAGTATTCTTTGTAAAATCTTCGATAAATTGTATTATAAGAAAAATTCTATGAAATGGACAAAATAAGTGAAAATGTCATGTAATAAATTAAGCAGCATTTCTTAAAGCACGTTACTGAGATGTTCAGAAAGAAACCTAGTTGCATTAACAGACATGAAATCTGGATGATTGAGAAGTTTGCGGAGCTTGCATACAAATCCCCAGGTGCATTAAAGGAAGCGTTCTCCGAGTCCTCTGAGAATTTTTAACAAAGCACTGTTAGGTTTTCCAGATTTAGCAAATAAAAAGGTGGGCTGCCCAGTTAAATTTGAATTTCAGATAAACAGTGAATTATTGTTTTTACCTATGTCCCATGTAATATTTGGTACGAACTTATACTACAAAATATTATTAGTTGTTTATCCTAAATTCAGTTTCGACTGGGCAGCCTGTATTTTTCTGGCAACCTTAGTTACTGGAAATGTTTCATTCCTCCTTTTTGGGTCATTTATGGGTTGAAAAAATAAAGTGGAGCAGAAATCATATGCTGTTCTGCAGACAATCTGGGACAAGCTCAGTTCTGGTTCAAGCTTTTGAAAATAACTCATGCTTAAAAGTGAACAGTTTCACTTCAACACATATTGGTTGGGTATCTCTGCTTGCTAGGCTTAGTGGAAGGTGCCAAGGATGCAAAGATGACATGGGGAAATGGGGCAGGGGGAGGGATCTGCATCATAAGTTCTGGGAGTTGCTGTGCCAGTAGTGTGTGTTTATGGTGGTGGTGGAGGGGCGTGTCTACTGTAGGAGCCTAGAAGAGGCACTGAATTATGCTGGGCAGCTGTAGTCAGGGAGTGAGACGCCTAGCAGTTTTGACAGGGCTGGCCTTGAATAAGAGAGCGAGATCTTATCCTGGGCGAAAATGAGAAAAAAAAAAAATCTCTGTGTTAATAGTTAGTAGAGTGGTGCTGGAAGTTGAAGGATTTGATCTGATAGCCTCAGTGAGAGGACAGAGTGGCCTGCTGAGAATGAGGGAAGGGAGGGGGATTCTGAAAGAAAGATTTTAAATAGTTGCCAATGGGAATGGAAGAGAGAGCTGAAAAGGGACAAGTGCAGGAATTAGCAAATGGTACTTCGGTGAATGGACCTCAGTGCATTTAAAATAGCAATTGATCTGCTCTTGACTCATACCCTAAGTGCTAGTTTACTATTCTGTTACCATCTTGGTCTCCTCAGGTAAAAAGTTGTCATCACACAATACTGGAATATATCATTTAAATGTTTTATTACAATTATATAAAAGTAGATAATTAAATATAATATTTGAGATGCCGATCAATAGTCAGTTTCTTCTTGGCACAAATTTCTGAAATAAGATAAGCAGATGTCTTGGTTTTAGCAAATCTGTTGCTTCAAGTAGGAAAAGAAATTAAATTGAGATCATTTCTGATTTGATCCAGCTATCTTTAAAAAACTAGATTCTGATGATGGAAAGAGTGTACATTTTACAGAAATAGCACTATGTGAAAATGACTCTATGCTTGTAGTACCACAGAGGACCTAGTCAGAATGTTCCAAATGCAGTTAATTCCAAAAAACTGGCACACCACATACATGTGTGTCTTTGAAGACCCAGAAGCTACTTTCATTATTGAATAACGTGGTAAATTTCCAGGAAAGTTGATGATCAAACCACTGCAGTCCATGTAGAGAACAGTTACTCATTTCTTGAAGATTCCAATTTGCAGACTCCAGCAACTGATAATACAATGTCGTTCTAGATTGCCCTTCTGTCAATAAATCTGTTTTTTTTTTTTTGGAACCATCCTTCAGAAGAGCCTCATGTGTTTGAGTGTCCATATGTGTGGTTAAATTTCCACTTCAATTTTATAATAAGGTCTTAAAATTATAAAAATTACCCTATACTAAAACTTATAACTAAGTAGCTCATTAGGGTCTTTTTTCTCAAATGATTATCCTTTCAACAGAGCAGAAAACAGTTCTACTTCAGGTTTTTCTACTGTTCCTGTTTGCAATGTTTGCCAAACACATTCTGCCTTATAATTCTGATAGTATATGATAAAAAAATATGATCAAGAATGTATTGATGTTGCTAAAATTTCAAGGCAATTAGGCCATAGGTTTTGTTTTCAGCAAGGCTTCGCATGAACACGGCTTATTAAAGAAAGGCTTACTGCAGTAATCCTCAATGACAGTTTATGTGGAATATCACCCAGAGAGAACCTTAACTGAAATTGTGTGCCCAATTTACATTTTATATTCTAAGTCCTCAGTGGATACTCTGAATTTAAAGATTCTGAAGACAGTATGTTCTTTCATCCTGGGAGCTTTTAACCTTCCAACTCACTTATGCTGACCATGAGCAAGTCATATTTTATATCAGTTTCTATGCTGTAAAATGGAAGGTATGCAAATTAAAAAAATAATATTGTGCCAGCCCTAATCTCAGTATCTATAAAATAAACTCTTAAGTGTTTCTATGGTTCCAAGGGATGAATAACTTTATTCTCAATGAAAGTAGATGATTTGTACAATGTCTGGGTACTCTATATGATATTTAAGATGCCATCAAAATAATTCACAATTTGATTTTTTTTGCTTTTTTGGTGCAAGGCAAAATAATTGTGGCAAATGCCTAAGGAGAGCTTGTTAAGCCTTTTTAAAAAATCAGTCTCATGCAAGGCAATAACTGTAGATTCAAAAGTCTTTACATAACTTTTAAATGTTTCCATTTTAATTATTGGGATTAGGACTTGGGTAATTAGAATGCTGGTTTTAAGAGCTCATTTCAGCTGTTATAACTCTCCTTTCTATTTTTTATTTTTTTTGTGTACAAGTAGTTGGTGAAAGGCTACCATATGTTTTGAAGGTTTCATTCATAATGAAACTAATAATTTATTTATCTCACAGCTGTTTTTTGACTTAACAGATATCATCAGTGACATCAGAAACTCTGTTCCCTAAATCTTTTTTACTTTACCAGTTGGCATTATCAATATTTAAAATGTGAATTAATCAATCTTTGGAATGAATTTACTGTACATTTCTTACTTTTTCCTTTAAAAGAATAGGAATATTCCGCTCTTCAGAATTTGGAAGCCAGATTTTCTGAAGATTCCATATTCCATAAACACTGACATGTTAATTTCAGATTTCCTTTGCTTTATAATCCACTGAAATGAGCAAAAACTTAAATAATTGCTTTTAGTTGAGAAGCTCAATTGTACATTCTCTTAAAATGATAAACATTTATCAAAGCTATTTAAATTAAAATGCCTATTATGTACATCATTAGTCATAATTTTAAAAGCCTTTATTAAAATACTTTACATAGAATTTTGACTTTCATATTCTGTCTCATGGATAATGTATATGTAGCCCAATATGTGAATCCAATATATTAAAATCAAGACTTATGAAACAGATGGGTTGAGTTATAGTTTTTACTTCACTAAAGAGTTTTATGCTGTACCAAAAATTTCCTCTACTATTCCTTTAAACTGTAGATAACCTGGAATATTTAAAATAGAGGCAGAATTATCAAATTTTTATATATACACAATCCCTCTAGCACACATTTATCAGCTAGAATATTGAGTAATCTTTATGGGTGAGGGGCAGAAATGAGATCTGGAATGTAGTGTCATAGCTGGGTTGATCAGCTACATCCAAAGAATGTTCATAGGTATGGAAGCCAACATAGAAGCTGGTTTCTGTTGGTCTACCTTACAGCTCTTTATTTGACCATGACATTTCTACAATTTTATCAAGGACTCAGATGTACATAGATCATAATGCAAAGCTCAAAGCAATAGAGAATTTGGATGACAATCAGGATTAAATTTGAAATCTCTTAGCCCAGAACAAGCACTGGAACTAAGATTATATTTTAAAAGGATGGATGTGAAGTTCATTTAGGTTCTAAAATCACTTGCTAAGGACATAGTGTAGAAGTCCTAGTTTACCAACAGTTTGGTTTTCAAAAAATAGTTTTAGTTCACTTGAGCGTTAGCAAGCAGTACAGAAGAAATTAATGCTATACTTTGGTTGGATTCACAGATAAATAGAGCCCAGATCTAAGAAGGTCAGAAACAAAAAATATAACATACTGTACTGAAAGTGATGCATTTTGGGCCACCTATCAAAGAGAGAGAATGCTTTTATTGGGTAGGATGTTGATTCTGATGACCTTAAAAACACCTCCTAAATCTTATCCTGCAGTTTAAATTGAGCTCCCAGGCACTTATCCACGAATCTGCCAATGTCTAATTCAGCTTAGTAGCATATATGTGATAGATAACTATTGTACATCATTTCTTTGACTTATAATGAATGTATGATTTTATTCTTTTCCATGTGTTAGTTATTCCCTAGGTAATTAATCAATCTAACTAAAAATAGGTGCATCTGCTCTGTAACTAGCACTAGGTTAAATTAAAGAGCCTGTTTCCAGGTATTCTTTAATAATCTAAGATCATATTTGAAATTCTAGTTCAAAATGATGATATGTATTTTGAGTAGCCATAAAATAGGCTTGTGTCCAAGTCCTAAAAATAAAATTGCACAGCACACCTAATCAAATTAGACAACGATGGAAGATGAACATGTGTTTGTTCTGAGTGTACTCTACGTGTACTCTGTCATTACTCTGCATTGTGTTTTGACTTTTCAAAGTATTTGTTTATAGCATACAGTGGACAACTGTCATTCTTTTTCAACAATGCCATCTGAATCTCTTTTCCATGTTGAGGGTTGTATTAGTGAAGGTTCTCCAGAAAAAAGGAGATATATTTATATTAAGAGACTTATTATGAGGAATTGGCTTACTTGACTATGGAGGCTGAGAAGTCCTACAATCTGCTGTCTGCAAACTAGAGACCCAGGAAATCTGGTGGTGTAATTCCAGTCCAAGGGCAAGAAAAGACTAATGGCCCAGCTTAGCAAGCAAGCAGGAGGCAAAAGCGGGTGAATTCTTCTTTCTTCTGCCTTTTTGTTCTATTCAGGCCCTCGATGGCTTGACAATGCCCACCCACACTGGGAAGGGGAAATGACTTACTGAGGCCACCAATTCAAATGCTTATCTCATTCAGAAACACCCTCATAGGTGCACCCAGAAATAATGTTTAATCTGGGCACTCTTTGATCAGTCAAGGAGACACAGAGAATTCACCATCACAGGGGCTCTCTTACATGATGAGGCAGAGCCCACTCCCCACTCTAGGAGATGAAAGTGCCAGATGGTTCCTTTCCCCAAACCTCCTTGCACCTGGGCCTGGGCCCATGATCCAAACTCTGCCCCAGTGGCAGATTTTCCAGTTGGCAGTGCCCCTTGACCAGTGCTGGAGCGTCAGTGGGGCCACTCCAGTCTGTGCCTGGTGGTGGCAGTAGAGGTGTCTTTACTGGGCCAGTTCTGTGTCAGCATTTCAAGTGTTATTTTTGGCTACATAGCCTCCATACCCAGTTCTCTAGCCCACCTGGAGATTTTGTGAGTTGCCTTCAGAACAAATTCCATTTCTGCTTAAGTTGGCAGAGCTAGATTCTGTTTCTTGCAGTGATAAACAGGGTGCGAGTCCATTTTTACGTGGGACCTATTGAGCACACAACACTGAGAAAGGCACAAAAGGAAATGCTTTTTCATTCTCTGAGTATTTATGGAATAAGGGATCTTGCTTGGCATTGGCCAGAAGGAAAGACATACAAAGCTGGTATTTTCGAACTAGTGCTATGAGGACAAGTAGGAGGAGGTGGGGATACTACTGGCAAACTTAAAGGGAGGGTAGATGTAATTCCATGGCTATGCTAATTTTAAAAATTGATTTAGTACAGAGATGAAGTGTTGGGATAAGAAAGGATACTTTTCAGGAAAATAAATACTGCATTTCATCCATTCCAAGAGAAAATTTTTTTCCTTCATTTTAACATTTATGAAATTAGGAAGCATTGTTAGAGTGTGCCATGTTTTAATTGTTACTTTTTTCTGCTCAACTCGTCTACCATATTTTACTGAATCTAAAATGTCATTGACTTATACTATTATATTTTATACCTCTAAAGAAAAAGCTCAATAAATAATTATTTTAAAGGTGCTTCTGCCAGGTGCGGTGGCTCACACCTGTAATCCCTGCACTTTGGGAGGCTGAGGCAGGTGGATCACTTGAGGCCAGGAGTTCAAGACCTGCCTGGCCAACATGGTGAAACCTGATCTCTACTACAAATACAAAAATTAGCCTGGTATGGTGGCATGTGCCTGTAATCCCAGCTACTTGGGAGGCTGAGGTGAGAGAATCACTTGAACCCAGGAGGCAGAGGTTACAATGAGCCAAGATTGTGGCACTGCACTCCAGCCAGGGCGACAGAGCGAGACCTGTCTCAAAAAAAAAAAGAAAAAAAGAAAAGAAAAAAAAAAAAAACTGTATCCTAACAGCATACTGGGGACTCTCCAGACTAGAGGATTCAAAAAGACCCTAAGAGAACTAAGTCAGTTATAGAAATAATATGGGTTAGATACCAAATTCCTTTTCATTGTTGTTTCATAGTCTTCCAAAGCTATTAAAGAGCAACAGATTTACCTCTAACTTCTGTTATAAACCAATTCAGGTGCTAATTATTATAGACTTTCTTGGCTGTAAAAAAAATACCTAGCATACCTGTGATGATTCTCAATTATGTGGATGGCACCTTTTTTTTTAAATTTCATATACATCTAGAAGTACATAAGATAGTGTGAATCCCAGTAATTAAAAATCATCAAATCATGACCAATGCTGTTTGATCTCTAACCCTACCCTCTATCCATCCATATTATTTTGAAGCAAATCCCAGATACCATATGATTTCATTTATAAATACTTCAGTATGTATCTCTAAAAGAAAATGACTTTACAAAAATATACCCCTGGAAAAAAATTTATAATTTGTGGCATCTTTTTTTAGTAAATAAATTTTTTTAATTTAAGTTTTAAGCTACTTTAGTCTTTGAAGGTTTTTTAAAAAACAGTAACAACAACAAATTAGGTCCACTTCAATGTCCACTGATGTCTTTTTTATGAAATGTGTATGATGCTAACACGTCATATCACAGTTCTGCAACAATATCTCTTCTGATTTTTCATCCTGCAGCTTTCTTTTGAATATATGCTCTAGCTGAGGATTTGTGTAAAAAATATTCTTACCATTTTCAATGCGGTGTTCAGAAAAGCCATATCTGACCCTTAATTATTTTTGGTCCTAAACGAAGGATTCATAATACCGTATCAAATGATTTGGACGTTCTGTTAGCTAATGAGCATACATCACGTTGAACCATGTCAACATTTGTTTACTCAAGCTCTTCCACATTCCTATTAAATATTTCCCACCCATCTTCATCTAATGTCAAAGCCAACACACACATCTGTAATGTGTGGCCTGATGGATACTGTCCTAGAATGGCTTAGGTTTTGGGAATTCCTCTACTTGTTGGAGGCAATGCTCTGGTTCCTCAAGCCTTAGTTTCTTCTTCTTCTTCTTCTTTTTTTTTTTTTAAAGTGTGGTTTAAGTCAAGGTTTAAAGGCACTGGATCTCAAGACGTGACTGGTGCCTCCATGTGGGCTAAAATCACAGCCCCATGGAATCTTCTTAAAATGTAAGTTTTTGTGTATATCAAAGGAACACTTACACATCATTTAAAACATTGTATTGCTACAAGACTTATAATGGAAAAACTCATTCCCTAATCTGTCTTTACTCCAGATTTGTCTTTCTCAGGAATACCATTTTAATTCTTTTAACTGTTTATACTGCTGTTTCTTAGTATATTAAAAGTATCAGATTTATTGATTTTCCACTACAGAAGTGAAAATTTAACTTTCATATCTAATCCCTCTCTCTTATACATGTTTCTCCTTTCTCAATTCTCCCAATATCACTATTTTTGATTAAATATTCAACATTTATTTTGACAGTGTAAATTTTATTTATAGCTTTTTTTTTGCACAACTTTTTGTTTTCTCAAGAATTAGTAATTCTAATTTTTTCTTATTTTCTATTAATGTCTATTAATTTTTTCTTTTTTTTTTTTTTTTTGAGACAGAGTCTCACTCTGTCGCCCAGGCTGGAGTGCAGTGGCATGATCTTGGCTTACTGCAACCTCTGTCTCCTAAGTTCAAGCAATTCTCCTGCCTCAGCCTCCCGAGTAGCTGGGATTACAGGCACGTGCCACCATGCCTGGCTAATTTTTGTATTTTTAGTATAGATGGGGTTTTGCCACGTTGCCCAATCTAGTCTTGAACTTCTGGGCTCAAACGATCCACCTGCCTCGGCCTCCCAAACTGCTGGGATTACAGGTGTGAGCCATCAAGCCCAGCCTATTAATCTTATTTTCTATTAATTTTTTTATTATCTATTAATGAATATCCCAAATTTATCCCCAAACCAACAGAGTTGTGAATATTTTCTGTATACATTCATATATGTCAAATAATCTGTCAGTTCCAGTTTTTTTTTGAAGACATCTTTTCTTAAGCTCTAATGCACTCTGAACTGGTTAGATTGTTGTTAAAGGCCTTACATTTGCCATCATTCTAAGAAATCCTTTCACCTTTCTCCAGTATGGGATTTTCTGATTCCTGGGTCCAATGTCTTTCTCACTCTCCATCTCCATTTTGGTGGAAAGCTTTCTTTGGAAGCTTCCAGAAAAGGCATACTTGAAAGATACATGGAAGGTCTTGTATGTCTGAAATTGTCTTCATTTTCTCCTCATGCTGAATATTTTGGCTAAGTGTAGAAATGTAGATTAGAAAGAATTTTTTCTTGGAATTTTTCTTTTTGCTTCTGTGTTCCTGTTGACAAAATGAATGCTCCTGAAGACTTGATGCTTTCTATGTGAGCTGTTTTGTTTTTGTTCCCCCTCTGGAAACTTTCTTGTGAAATTTCATCATAATATGCTTTGGTGAGGATCTTTTGTTATTCAAGGAGCTGGGTACCCTGTGGGTCTTTTTGATCCGGAGACTCATGTTCTTCAGCTCTTGGAGAGTTTCCTGTATTATTTCTTTGATAATTTCTTCACCAACATTCTCGCTTTTCTTTCTCTCTAGAATATCTGTTACTTGGATGTTGAACCTTTTTCTCACCATTTTTCATCTTTTTGTTAAATTCTTCTGGCAGATTCCCTCAAATTTGATAGATATTTTCAACTTTGTCTTTCATTTCAGACACTTTTATAAAATTTCCAAGAACATTTTCTAATTCTCTTAAAGTTCCCTTTTATTGATTCCTGTTCCTATTTAATGAGTATAATATTTTTCTTTTATCTATGAAAATTATGATGTTTTAATAGTTTTCTTGTCTTTGCATTGTTTCTTGTTCTTTCAGATTCCCTTTTTTTTTTTTCCTCCTTCTTTGCTTTGGGTCTCTGTAATTCATGTCAGAAACGTCCCTTAGTTGTCTGATAACCCTTGGCTATCTGCTCATATTTAAGATTGAGGCACTAAAATGTTCTCTGTGCACAGGTGGGGCTTGTTGACCATCTTTCACAGTAGTCCAGTTGGGGGCTAATGCTTCTTTGGGGGAGAGCTATATGTGTCTCTGGTTAGTTTCCTGAGAGATAACTCCTCTAATATCCTACCTGAGGAGTATTATCCTGGCTGCCTCTGTTCTGGGAGTTGAGTGGGAGAAGAAGGATGGCAGGGATCTCACATTTACCAAGTAGATTTTCATGCAACCTCCTTGTATTTAAAATATCAACTCAATCTCATTTTCCTCCATCACCAAGTTCAGAGCCTCTCTAGCTCAACCTCTTTACAAGTAAATTTCATCTCTGCTGATAGAATGGAGAGGGGTTATGCCTAATTTCAAAAGATGGAGAAGGAGACATAGGTCCTAACTACTCCTATGAAAACTTTCAACCAGGCTGGGCACAGTGGCTCACGCCTGTGATCCCAACACTTTGGGAGGCCAAGGTGGGCACATCGCTTGGGCTCAGGAGTTCGAGACTAGCCTGGCCAACATGGCAAAACCACATCTCTACTAAAAATACAAAAAATAGCTGTGCGTGGTGGTGCATACCTGCAGTCCCAGCTACTAGGGAGGCTGAGGTGGGAGGATCGCTTAAACCCAGGCGGTGGAGGTTGCAGTGAGCCAAGATCATGCCACTGCACTCCAGCCTGGGCGATAGAGCGAGACCCTGTATTTAAAAAACAAAACCAACAACAACAACAACAAAACCTTTCAACCAAGCCTCTATTTTGGGCTTCTTACACTCCCACTTTTAGAGGAACTGGGCACCTCTAACTCCTGAACATGGCTGAGATTCTCACTCAGGAGTTCGAGACCAGCCTGGCCAACATGGCCAAAACCCGTCTCTACTAAAAATACAAAAATTAGCTGAGCATGGTGGCACATGCCTCGTGATCCCAGCTACTCGGGAGGCTGAGGCAGGAGAATTGCTTGAACCTGGGAGGCAGAGGTTGCAGTGAACCAAGATTGCACCACTGCACTCCAGCCTGGGTGACAAAGCTAGACCTTGTCTAAAAAAAAAAAAAGGAATTAAAGATTAAAAAAAAACAGTGTTAAATACATCAGCAATGTTGATTGTGAGATAGCTGGAAAACCAGGAGAACATGAGATCACAGAAGCCACAAAAAGGGCCTTTTAAGAAGCAGCTTTGCATGCGTTAGAAGCTGAATGAGACAGGACAGGAAAATGGAGCTTGGAGTAGAGCATACGCTGCCTTCAACCAAGCATGTACTTACTCACCCACCCTTTGTGTCGAGGTAAGAAGTGCTAATCACTCCAGACATGTTTATGATCTGAGCTGTCTTCATGTTTTCTTTGTGTTAAAAGAAAGTTATCTTACAGTGTATGTATGGATACATACACTGGAGGGACTGTGATAGGGCAAGGGAACCAGGGCTCAGAGACTGTGGAGTAAGAGTGTTGGGAGGCTCTTCAGTGAGGCTAAGAAGGATATGAGTTGCTCTATCAACAACATATAACATATTCTGGAATTACTTAACCTGGCTTAACTTGAATAAAAATGTCAGAGTCAGGAAATGAGAGTCCTATAGTGTGATTTGCTGCAGGTCATTAGTACTCATTTTCACCAACCGATAAATTCTTATGCAGAAGCATCACAGCCCGGAATTTGGAAGTAAGTAGGCTTCAGTCTTGCTATGTTTCATTGATTCTAAGATACTTTTTTCCCCCACATCACTAAAATTAGATGAATTGTAGTTTAATTGGCAGCATTTTGTTTTTCCTTAAGGGCACATAAAATAATGGTGAATTCTACCATTGATGGCACTGATGAAATACCATTGAAAAGAATAAAATAATATTCACTCAGCAAACATCTGTCAAGCCATGCATAATTATAGCTCTAAAGTGTGTTAAAAACTACTTTTTTGCTTTACCTTATGAATTGTTGCAGACGCCCAGTCTAAATGGTCGAATTCCTTTAAATGAATGCTATTACCTCTTCTGCACAGTCAGGGTTAGCATTGCCTTAAGAGCAGAGTACCCTGCTTGCCTCCAAGCTGCTGGAAATGCCCCAATTTGCCTGAACTTTCCTGTCAGATGTTTCTAGATAAATGTTTTCACTATGTTCTGATTGTATAAAAGCAAACATTTTGCCAAAAGCATCAGATTATATTGGCAAAATTATGTCCATTTAATTTTTATGCAAACATAAGTTTATTATTTTATCATGGTTTTATTGTGAAATTTAAACTAAAATATAACATTGAGAATTTACAAAATTCAGATGATTTTGGGGGCAAAACAGATAAATATATGTATTTTAAAATCTCCTTATTCTTTTGTAGCTGAGAGATGAATTTTCTTTCTTTTTTTTTTTTTTTTTTTCTTTTTGAGACAGGAGCTCCCTCCAGTGTCCCAGGCTGGAGTGCAGTGGCGCAATCTTGACCCGCTGCAGCCTTGACATATTGGGCTCAGGTGATTCTCCCAACTCAGCCTCCCTAGTAGCTGGGACTACAGGCGCATGCCACCATGCCTGGCTAAGTTTTTGTACTTTTAGTAGAGATGGGTTTTCACCATGTTGCCCAGGCTGGTCTTGAACTCCTGACCTCAAGTGATCCGCCCACCTCAGCCTTCAAAAGTGCTGGGATTATGGGCATAAGCCAGGGCGCCCAGCCTTGAGAGATGAATTTCATCAATCCTGCATCCTCCCATTTTGCTGCCTCCATGAAAACAGTGCGTAAGATGTAGGCAACCGCAGTGAAATTCAGAAAGACACTGACTTTGAAACAGATCATAAATACATTTGCAGGCAGCCCTGAATTCTGTGGCTGGGATGGACCTCCCTTGCTATAAATCATAAAAATTAACTCTGGATGAGTGTTTTATTCATGAGGGGAAAAAACCTTCTTTGTTGTCATTTTAATGAGTGTCAGCAGTGTTTTTCAGGCTAGTCACTGGGAGAGGAAAGGAAAATTCTGGAATGTGGCCTCAGGGAGATCTTTATGCACAAGCATTGTACCTCTAATATGAGATGCAGCATAGCCTGTGTGAAATGTAAATGGATAATTTGAAAGATTTTTCATTTGTATGTGATGGTAATTTTTCGTGTCGCTTCTTTCTCTCCTCATGTGCATAGCTGTATAAAGTCAAAAAATTGCATTTTATTCATGCTTCAAATGCTCAAAAATAACCTTAGAAAATTTTCTTTTTCTTTTCTTTCCTTCTCTTTCTTTCCTTGCCCGTTCCTTCTCTCCTCTCTCATTTTGTTTCATGTAGTAGAGTCTTACTGAATTATATCCTTTGAAATCCATGAGTCCCTCACCTGTCTAGGTCTTCCTTGCATAGGCATAGTGCTTCTTAGGCTCTAACGACATATGAAGCAGGATGCAAACTTAGCCATTATCTCAATTTGCTAATTCAAACCTAAGTGAATCTGATACTTGGCCCATCTGATTTCAGAAGACTGACCCCTTGTGTTTGTGGGTTGGCTCAGCGGGAACCCAGCTCCTCACATGGCAGGTGGCTTACCATCTACTCATCTACAAACCATCTGTGCTCTTGCCTGATGTTCCCTCAGAGACGTGCTTCTGCTAGGAGGGCAGGCTTATTTTGGAGAACTTTTTCTGATTTCTTGAAAACCATCCACAGACATGCATATGTGCAGAACATAATAAAGAATTAATGGGAGCTGTGACAGGAATTAATTACATCTTAAAACTACATTGGCGGCAGAGCGCGGTGGCTCATGCCTATAATCCCAGCATTTTGGGAGGCCAAAGCGGGTGGATCGCTTGAGGTCAGGAGTTCAAGACCAGCCTGGCCAACATGGTGAAACCGCGTCTCTACTAAAAATACAAAAATTAGCCGGGTGTGGTGGCGTGCGCCTGTAATCCCAGCTACTCGGGAGGCTGAGGCAGGAAAATTGCTTGAACCCAGGAGGCGGAGATTGCACCGCTGCACTCCAGCCTGGGTGATAAAGCAAGACTCTGTCTCAAAAAAAAAAACCTACATCGGTTTCAGTTACCTGTTAGTTTTGGCCTTTTTCTACTTTTTCAGTTGCCTTTTTAACAAAGAGAGTAAATTTCAAGTGTCTCACCACAAAAAATGTAATGAGATGATAGATATGTTAATTAGCTTGATTTAATCTCTCCACTTTCCATATACATACATACTAATCATAGTGTGATACAATTATGATTTGTCAATTAAAAATCATATAAATACAGAATAGCGTCCTTTCTCCTCCATTTTACCTCACCCAGACAATAGCCATCACTGAAGAAGGGGTGGAAAAAGAGAAGCCTGTATCTGTTTCTGTTTGATTCCAAAATCTCCACTTGATGGGCTGATTGAGGGATGTCACTATTTTGATTTCATCAGACTCTAGAAGGGCCACATGTACATACTGTCAGACCATTCAAGAGAGAAACTAAAATTTTTCACATACATTAAAGAGAATTTACTAGTAGTTTTTAATTGTCATTGAAACTTTCTCAATTACTTTTAGAAAAGCTTTAAAGTGACACAATATAATAAAGAAATAGGGCAGGCCAGGTGCAGTGGCTCATGCCTGTAATTCCAGCACTTTGGGAGGCTGAGGCAGGCGGATCACTTTAGCTCAGGAGTTCAAGACCAGCCTGGGCAACATTGTGAGACCCCTGTTTCTACAAAAAAATACAAAAAATAGCCAGGCATGGTGGCATGCACTTGTAGTCCCAGCTACTTGGGAACCTGAAGTGGGAGGATCGCTTGAGCCTGGGGGTCCAGGCCACAGTGAGCTGTGATTGCACCACTGCACTCCAGCCTGGGCGCCAGAGTGAGAACCTGTCTAAAACAAACAAACAAACAAACAAACAAACAAGATATAGGACAAATGGTATTGAACCAAACTCGCTACAGGCTTCCTTCTGATACCCAGATCAGCTTTGGATCAATCTTATTTTTAGGAGAGAAAACTACAAACATTATTATTTATGAGTCTGTGATTCTACATGTCATTCTTTTCTTTCTTCTTTCACCTGAAATGAGAATAGCGCAAACTGAGGAAATTAATCAGTGGCAAATAATTTAGATATTACTGATCTTGAATGTATCATTGGCAAAGTCAAATTGTGTGTGAACTCCCGGCTCCCCCACAACCTTATTGTTAAATGGAATTTTTTTGTTTGTTTTGTTTTGTTTTTCATTAGTGCTAAAAAAAAAAAAAAAGAAAAAAAAAAGAAAAAAAAACTTTGCCTAAACTTTCTGTTTTTTATCTAAATCTAGGAGAGTGGAACATGGAACATGTTTTCATATTCTAGTTATTACTAATTACAGTAATTGTGTTTTGAGGGTGACCCTTGTGATTGATTTTTTTCTCCTACTGGTGTTATGGCATGAAAAGAAAACAAGAAGAGGCAATTAGGGAAACCTAAAGGACCATGGAACTTCTTCTGCTTTCCAGTAAATTCAAGAACTCACTCAAGTTAGTATATATCTCCTAGGTGATTTGAAATATTTTACCAGCCACTAGATATATTTTATGTATCTTTAAAAAAAAACATATTTTCACCTGTAAAGGGAAAGGTGTGATGTATTACGAAGACTTAAGCATGCAGAGGTAGACTGAACTGAAGAAAAAAGCTGAAGACTGAAGAACGAAATCACCACATAAGTTACAGTGTGGACCGGAAGCTTGAATTTCACTGGATTTTCTAAACCCAAGGTTTAGAAAGCCTTGATTTACATTTTGGGTGGGGGATATTTTTACTTTTAGTTATTTCAGAATTATACTGCCAACAGTTTTTATTGCCTTGGAAATGAAGCCTCAGTAAAGAATAATATAAAACTCATGTATTTTCGCTCCATTGTATAATTTCTTCCCATAAAATTTTCTGGTTTAGAAACTTCTAGATCTGTAATACATTTGCTTCAGGAAAGGAGAGAGTTTATTTTTCAGTGGCAGGGTAACTGTTTTTATATGGGAGTCCTCCAGGTAGCTCCCAGAGGAACACTGTTATTCAGATGCGTATGTACATCCTGGCTTTGATTATCCCTAGCTTTGCAGTTTAGTTTGAAATGAATATACTGTGTATTCTCTTTATTCTCATGTCAATCCAGAGGTTTACCTTTGATTTCCAGAGGGAGCACAGGAAAGTGATTAATAGCACTACCTCGGGAGCCAAGCTGAAAGGGTTTGAATCTCTGCCACATCCTATTTGTGTGACCTTGGAAGGTTCCTTACCCTCTCTGTGTTTCAATTTCCTCAGCTGCAAAATGGAGATAATTGTTATTGTTCACTTCATAAGATGACAGTTAAGATTAAGTGAGTTAATACTAGTAAAGCTTACAGCATATTGCCTGGCACATAATAAGTACTTTGTGAATATTTGCTATTATCATTAATTTTATAAAACTTTAAGCTAAGACTTAACTTTTAAAATAAAATTTTGTTTATAAATGTGCTGTCTACAACTTTTTATTAAACTGGGGTAATCTCAAATTAGGAAGATTATAAAAATGAAATAGTATTTACTTTGTAGATTACCTTTTATTTATGTATAAACAGTATGAGTCCACCAGCCTTTTGGTTGTTACAGGGGATAAACTTGGAATGTGAAGAGCTACGCAGAAAGTAGCTTTCTTTGTCTCATCTAGGGATTTCAAGATTTTAAAGAAAGGAGTTCCGTCCCTTCTAGTTGAGTCTCTAATTCATTCCCTGGGGTGCTTAATAGAGAGATCGACTTCTAAGAGTTAGGGTTACCCCGTAGCACTTTACAAAGAGCCTCAGGGGGCTTCTTGCTCAAAGGAAGCAAGGCTGGTTTCTTGATGCCGGGCGAGAGGATGAGTTTTCAGAAGTAGCAGACCACACTCATTACTGCCCCTTTTCTCTCAGCTGGAAAAGAAAAAAAGACAAGAGGCAGATAACCTCATAGCTTAGCACTGAAGTATCAACTGATCTCTAGGGGCGTTTGATATGACAAGCACAATCATTTGATCCTTCCCTTTGGATGAGTTCAGGCCAATGTCCCTGTATACATTGAGAAAAATTACTACAAATCAGGGGAACAGGTTAGTAAACCCAGGATTATAATCATATTCTTTATTTTAGTTAAAAATAAATCTACAGATTTGTTTTCTTCCAATTGGGAGATTTGCAGTTTGTTTTATTAGTACTGTGATTGAGTAATGCTGGTAAAAAAGTACTTTTCTAAAAAAGTACAAAGTTCATTTTGACAAGTATATATTAAGCAAGCAGTGTGTCAGGCATTGTACCCGTCCATGGGTGTCCTAGAAAAGCATACAGTCCAGAGCAGAAGGAGACATGAAACAGATAATTTTGGAACAATATTAGCGATTTATTAGTAACACAGAGCAGGTAATTCTAATGTCTCGCTTGAAAAACACCTCTAGAGAGGAAGTCTTTGGGAAGGTTCAGCACAGAGAATGATTTTTATGTTCATCTTGATTTTTGTGAAGCAGGTGGCATTAAAGTTTATGTATGAACAAAAAGGGTGAATTTTTCTATATGTAACTAATAACTGAGTAAAGCTGAATTACACAAATAAAACGTCAATATCTGGGCCAGGCCTGGTGGTAAAGTGATCACAGTACTTTGGGAGGCCAAGGTGGGCAGATCACTTGAGGCCGGGAGTTCGAGACCAGCCTGGCCAACATGTCAAAACCCCGTCTGTACTAAAAATACAAAAATTAGCTGTGTGTGGTGGTGTATGCCTGTAATCTGAGCTACTCGGGAGGCTGAGACACAGAATTGCTTGAAACCGGGAGGCAGAGGTTGCAGTGAGCCAAGATTGTGCCACTGCACTCCACCCTGGGTGACAGGGTGAGATCCTATCTAAAAAAAAAAAAAAAAAAAGTAAATATCTGTATTTTTCAATTAATGAAACAGGTATAAACCAGGCTTACATGTAACCATATTGAAGTCAACAGGCTGATGTGTAAAAACACAGGAGAAGTGTATCATGGCCGCCTCATTGTTAGAATGCTATGCAGAAGAAGAGTGAACTTAAATTCTTCCTATCCTGAAAGGGCTCTGTATTCCATAAATGATGCTGGGATAGCATGCTAGCCATATGCAGAAGAATGGAATTGGAACCCAACCTATCACTATCTACAAAAATTAACTCAAGATGGATTAAAGATTTAAATGTAAAACCTCAAACTGTAAGAATCCAAAAAAAAAAAAAAAAAAAGAAAACCTAGGGAACATCATTCTGGATATCAGCCTTGGGAAAGAATTTATGACTAAGTCTTCAAAAGCAATTGCAACAAAAAACAAAAATTGATATGTGGGACTTAATTAAAGAGCTTCTACACAGCAAAAGAAACTATCAACAGAGTAAACAGACAACTGACAGAATGGGAGAAAATATTCACAAACTATGCATCTGACAAGGGTCTAAAACCAGGCTTAATTAAACTAAAGAACTTCTGCATGGCAAAAGAAATTATTGACAAAGTAAACAGACAACAGACAGAATGGGAGAAAATAGTCACAAACTATGCATCTGACAAGGATCTAAAACCAGCATCTATAAGGAACTTGAACAATTCAACATCCAAAAAACAAATCACCTCATTAAAAAGTGGCCAAGGCTGGGTGTGGTGGCTCATGTCTGGATTCCCAGCACTTTGGGAGGCCGAGGTGGGCGGATCACAAGGTCAGGAGATCGAGACCATCCTGGCTAACACGGTGAAACCTCATCTCTACTAAAAATATTTTTTAAAAAATTAGCCGGTCGTGGTGGCAGGTGCCTGTAGTCCCAGCTACTCTGGAGGCTGAAGCAGGAGAATGGCGTGAACCTGGGAGGTGGAGCTTGCAGTGAGCATAGATCAAGCCACTGCACTCCATCTTGGGCAACAGAGCCAGACTCCATCTCAAAAAAAAAAAAAAAAAAAAAAAAGTGGGCAAAAGACACGAACAGACACTTCTCAATAGAAGACATACAAGCAGCCAACAAACATGAAGAAAATGCAAATCAAAACCACAATGAGATACCATCTCACATTAGCAAGAATGGCTATTATTAAGAAGTCCAAAAACAGCAGATGCTGGCAAGGCTGGGAGAAAAGGGAATGTTATACACTGCTGGTGGGAATGTAAATTAGTTCAGCCACTATGGAAAGCAGTTTGGCAATATCTCAAAGACCTTAAAACGATCTACCATTTGACCCAGCAATCCCACTGTTGGGTATATATCCAAAAGAAAATAAATCATTCGACAAAAAGACAAATGCATATGTTCGTCACAGCATATGTTCACAATAACAAAGACATGGGATCAACCAAGGTGCCCATTAACAGTGAACTGGATAAAGAATATGTGTTATGTATACCATAGAATACTACACAGCCATAAAATGGAATAAAATCATGTCCTTTGAAGCAACATGGATACAGCTGGATGCCATTATCCTAAGAAAATTAACACGGAAAACAAAATACCAGATGTTCTCACTTATAGGTGGGAGCTAAACATTGGGTACTTATGGACATAAAGATGGCAACAATAGACACTGGTGACTACTAGAGTTGGGAGGGAGGAGGGGAGCAAAGGTTGAAAAACTAACTATTGGATACTATGCTCACTACCTGGGTGACAGGATCGATTGTACCTAAACCTCAGCATCACGCAACATACGCATATAACAAACCTGCAAATATACTCCCTGAATTTAAAATAAAAGTTGAAATTATCTTGAAAAAATTCTCCCCATGCTTAGGTCCTGCTGAACCACTTGGGAAATGCTGGTTTGGCTATAGCAGAGGCTTAGTAGAATGAAATAGATGAGCTCAGTACCACTCATGGAAAAATAATTCAAAGGGCATTTCTTATCAATAGTGGCTCAGAACATCACACACACAGCTATGATTTGCTAAACACAGATTGTCTAATTAACAGCAAATAGAACATTAACAAGTGGGTCTCCTTTAAAACAAAGCTACTTGACTTTAAAAAGAAACAGTAATTTTTCATTTTCTATATAAAACATTTAGCATAGTTATTTAATGAATATTCTGTGAATAATGAGTTAAATAGCATTTGCACAGGCTTCTTCTGCCACCCAAAGCCATTTTTGGTGTTTCCTGTTTGGGGGACAGATAATGAGATCTAATTGTTATCTTTGTTTCCTGTTTGGGGGACAGACAATTAGAACTAATGGTTATTTTCCTTCCCTTCACTTTTCCCATTCAATCAGCAAGTCCAGTTGATTCTACCTTCTAAATATTTTTTACTTCTGTTCAGTTCTCTCCCTCCCCACAGTCATCATCCCAGTTCAGGTCACACCAACTTGCGAGAATTTATTTTAACAGTCTCTTAAGTGATTCTTCACTTGACAAAATGATCTTTTACTTTAGAGGAGAACATAATAAGAATGACAAAATTATAATACTAATAATAAATACTACTCACTGAATGTATATTAAATACCTGTAACTATGCTGAGTGCCTTACATGCTTTGGTTCTTTTAATCCTTAGAACAATCCTACAAGCTAATTTAATTACTTACCCCATTTAATCCTAGAGAGGTCAAGCAACTTGTCTAAAGCTGCCACTTGGCTAGTGGTAGATCCTAGACAAGAACTTTGTCTCCAAAACTTGTGCTCTCAACCACCATGCACACTCCCTGCCATATCTGCCAAATTTTCTCTTAATAGGAAGGCTCTTTTACTGTATTAAACTATGCTGCGTTACTCAGCACAATATTGGACACATAAACATTCAAGAAGTTTTTACAAGGGATAAATTCAAGAACTATTATGTAAAGAACGGGGAGTTAAAGTATTATTTCACTTATCTCACATCATTATGAAATAAAATTTTTTTCAGGTAAGCCAATTTTATAGTTAACTGAAATCAAACCACTTAACAGTACAGAATTGTTAAAAATTTAGATAAACTATTTCTAAAATGCAATCCATTCTTTACTACCTTAGTTGCATGAGAGTTCTTTTTCAATCATATCCTAATGACAAAGAGCTTTTGTTATGAACAAGTGTCATATATGCTACTTATTTAGTAATTCCTTCTGAACTATGGTTTTAATTACCATCTACATGCTGAGGAAGCCCAAATCTTTGTTTCCAACCTGTGTTGTCTTCCTGACCTTCAGATCCATGAATCTTTACCACTTGGTCCTGAAAACTAAAAATGTTCCAAAGACCTTTTTATACCCAGATCCCCAAATATGCTTCTCCAAAATATCATATCTTAATGAATAATTCCTCTGTCTATCCAGTTGCTGGCCACAAACATGGACATAATGTTCAACTCCCCCTTTTCCTTTGCCAACCACTGCCGCAGTCAATCAATTAACAAAGGTCCTATTGAATCTACCTTCTAACTATCTCTCATATCTTTCACACCTCTGTCTGTCCATTGCCTTATCCTGCCATTAATATCTTTGCCTGGGTTATTGCAACAAGTCTGTAGATGGTATCCTATATCTATAATTTTAGGTATAGGATTTATTCCTCATATTACAATTTATTCTTCATATTACAATCAGAGTATTTTGTTTTGTTTTGTTTTGAGACGGAGTCTCTGTTGCCCAGGCTGGAGTGCAATGGTGCAATCTTGGCTCACTGCAACTTCCACCTCCCGGGTTCAAGCAATTCTCCTGCCTCAGCCTCCTGAGTAACTGGGGCTACAGGCACACACCACCACACCCGGCTAATTTTTGTATTTTTAGTACAGACAGGGTTTCACCATGTTGGCCAGGATGGTCTCGATCTCCTGACCTCGTGATCCACCCGCCTCGGCCTCCCAAAGTGCTGGGATTACAGGCATAAGCCACCATGCCCGGCCCAGAGTGTATTTTTTAAACTAGAGATCTGATCATGTCACATCTCAGCTGGAAAGCTTTCAATAGCTCCTTATTGCTCTTCAGATAAGGTTCAAACTTCAACATTACTTACTAAGCCTGCTTGATCTGACCCTTACTTGCTTTTCCTTATCTTGCCATCACTATTTTTCCCATCCCTCTCACTGAGCACCACACTAAGTCATGTTGGAACTTTATCTCTTATACATATTCTGCACTCTTTTGCCTTTAGAGCTTTGCATGTGCTATCTGGAGAACCCCCAACCCCTACATCTAGGCTAAGCATCTCTCCTACTCACTGCCACAGCACCTATTTCCACTTGTAATACTGTATTTAAGTCCCTGTTTGTTTCTCTGTATCATCTTCTCTCCTCTCCTCCCCAAAGACTGTTGCATCTACAGGGTAGAGCTATGCCCCTTTTGTTTACCCTATAGTATCCCTAGTGCCTCACTATGTCTAGAGCGTAGCAGGCATTAACATATTTTATAAACTATTTTGAAAACAGTTTTAGATTTACAGAAAAGCTACAAAGATAGTACAGAGGGTTCCCTTATACTTTCCCCTGTTGTCAGCATCTTTTTTTTTTTTTTTTTTTTTTTTTGAGACGTAGTCTCACTCTGTCACCAGGCTGGAGTGCAGTGGCGTGATCTCGGCTCACTGCAACCTCTGCCTCCCGGGTTCAAGCGATTCTCCTGCCTCAGCCTCCCAAGTAGCTGGGATTACAGGCACGCGCTGCCACACCCAGCTAATTTTGTATTTTTAGTAGAGACGGGGTTTCACCATGTTGGCCAGGATGGTCTCGATCTCCTCACCTCGTGATCCACCCACCTCGGCCTCCCAAAGTGCTGGGATTACAGGCGTGAGCCACCACACCCAGCCTGTTGTCAGCATCTTACGTTAATATTATACATTTGTCACAACTAATGGACCAATACTGATACCTTATTATTAACTAAAGTCCTTGCTTCATTCAATTTTTCTTAGTTTTTACCTAATGTCCTTTTTTCTATTCCAGGATCCAATCAGGATAATACATTACGTGTAATAGTCATAGCTCCTTTGGCTTGCACCTCTTGGCTGTGATAGTTTCTTAGACTTTCCTTGTTTTTTAAGCTTTTCAGAGTTTTGAGGGGTACTGATTAGATATTTTGTGGCATGCCCTTGAATTGGGGTTTGTCGAATGTTCTCATGATTAGACTGGGGTTATATGTTTGGGGGAGTAAAGTGCCATTTTCATCATATCAGGTCAAGGTTACATGCTATCAACATGACTTATCACTGGTGATCTTAGCCTTGATCACCTGGCTGAGGCAGTGTTTGTCAGGTTTTTCCTTTTTTTTTTTTTTTTTTTTTTTTTTTTGAGACAGAGTCTCACTTTGTTGCCCAGGCTGGAGTGCAGTGGTGCCATCTTGCCTCACTGCAACCTCTGCCTCCCAGGTTCAAGCAATTCTCCTGCCTCAGCCTCCCAAGTAGCTGGGATTACAGGTGCCCACCACCACACCTGGCTAATTTTTGTATTTTTAGTAGAGATGGGGTTTTGCCATGTTGGCCAGGCTGGTCTCAAACTGCTGGCCTCAAGTGATCTGCCTGCCTCCACCTTCCAAAGTGCTGAGATTACAGGTGTGAGCCACTGTGCCCAGCCCTACTGTAGTTATTCTTTTTTCCCCTATCCACACTGTACTCAGAAAGTCATATGTCCAGTTTATATTTAAGGGATAGGGAGGTTTTTGTTTGGTTTGTTTTTGAGACAGAGTCTCACTCCTTCACCCAGGCTGGAGTGCAGTGGCGCATTCTCGGGTCACTGTAACCTCCACCTCCCGGTTCAAGTGATTCTCCTGCCTCAATCTCCTGAGTAACTGGGACTATAGGCACGCACTACCACACCCAGCCAATTTCTGTATTTTTAGTAGAGATGAGGTTTCTTCATGTTGGCCATGCTGGTCTTGAACGCCTGACCTCAAGTGATCTGCCTGCCTCGGTTTCCCAAAGTGCTGGGATTACAGGCGTGAGCCAGGGTGCCTGGCCTGCTCCACCTACTTGAGGGCAGAGTGGCTACGTCAATTATTTGACCATTGGGAGTTCTTTCAGTTGATTGTTGTGTTTATTTGACACACGCCTATTTTGTTTACCTTGAGCACTTCTTGACTTTCTTGTGCTGCAATATGCTTCAGGTTCACCTTGCCCTGACCCAGCTTTAGAATCAACCATTTCCCAGGGTCCCCTAGATGCCTTTATTGTTGAATGTATTAGAAATTATGATCCGAGTGTTGGGTGGGAACTAACCAAATTAAATTAAAATTTGGATTCATTTAGAAAAAACACAAAAGTACAAAGGATAATATATGTTCCCACCACTCAAAATGAATAAACGTTATTTTCCTTTTATTTTGCCTCAGATATATTTTAAGAAATAAAACACACAAAGTTGAGAAGATCATTTTTCTCCTTCCAATCCTAAACCCCACCTCTCTTCCCAAAAGCAACCACAGTCTTAAATTGGTGTATAGACAGTTTTTTCAAGCATGTATGGAATATTTACAGAAATAAACGTGTTAAATAAGAGACTGGCTTTTATTCGAGCTAAGTATGAGTTCCCACACTCTGGGCTGTTCTAGTTGGCAATGTGTCTCTGCCCGCAGCTCTTTTTCGAATGTATATTCGTTTCCTTGCATTTCTGCTGCAGTGGATGTTCCATTTCTCTCTTTTCTCATGAGATAACTTCTCTCCACTTGCAGACACTCTCTCTTCTATAGTCTGTTTTATCCCCTCTCATCCTAACTTGCTGCTTTGCAGGCTGCTCCTAGTGTCTTCCTTATCAAAAGGAAGAAGGCTGATAACCTGATGTACACTTTGTGAAAGCAAATCATAAACCAAAAAGTGCCATGCAAATATCAAATCTCACTGCTCTGTTCACAGTGCCAAAAGACAATGGGGCCTGGGGCATCATTCATTTCTTTGTAGTATCTTGCGCTTTAAGTGATTCTTGAGCTTGAGCTCTTTAACAGTTGTCTTTTATCTTGAAGTTAGTTGGTTCCAGTTATTTTTGAGTTGTACTTCTACAAAGTTGGGGCCGCCAGATACTAGACTATTGGATATCTGGAAATCCAGTTGGTTAATTTTATTGTTCTTCATTTTTATTTTTCTTAGGAATACTATTCCTAAAGATATAGGAACAATACCCAAAATAAAGGAAAAGACTGATATTGAAGAGATTGCTCATGAAATTCATAATTTCTCCAGCAAGTGACTTAAAATGAAAGGCTAATTGTATTAATATAAAGTCTATACCTGTAACCTCTATCCATTGAATTGCATTGCTCTGTGGGCAGTTCTGTTGATAATGTTCTGGGTGGCTGGCATGTTAACTGCTTGCCTCAGTAAGCAGAAATTTTTGGTTTGCAGCTTCCAGCCTTATTAGTAAATATACCTAATATCTAATTTCTTCCCACAGTTGACACTTACTTTGACAAAGGCAAATTTGGAAGCAATTACTTGAGGACAGTTCATATAGCATCTGGACAGTCAACACGGGCACCATGAAGCACTTCCTGAGGTATGTGTTTACGGTTCCCTGGCTGAGCCCTCTGCAGTGGGAGAAACCTCCTCACTGGTTAGGGTAATATTACCAGTCATCGTTTGTGATCCTGTGACCAGGACTCCTAAGATTCTGTGAAATAGCACTGCATTTTTGCTAAGAATAACTTGGCCATGAGATTCCTCTGCTAACTCTATATGCGTGCTGATGATAAGACAGAGCACTTGTAGATGGCGAGAGAGTGTGGGCACAAAAGCATGGCACTTTAGACAGCCCTGGTGCCATGTGTCTCTGCACAGTGGTACACCGCTGGCCTGAAAGGTTTAAGGAAATAGCTGTCAATGAATCACTTAATACAATTTGTGTAAAATCATTTTCTGGAAATAAGTATCCTTTTAAATATCCTTTAATTTAGATTTTGGTTGGCTGGCCAATCCATATGGGCATTTTAAAATTTTGTGGGCGGTCAAACTATATGTTCTAAGCTTCCGCTCTTCTTACCTCAGTGATGTCTCTGAAATTTGTATCAATTGTTGGTTCC
This sequence comes from Homo sapiens, assembly GCF_000001405.40. Classification (NCBI taxonomy): domain Eukaryota; kingdom Metazoa; phylum Chordata; class Mammalia; order Primates; family Hominidae; genus Homo; species Homo sapiens. Next base: position 107,618,730 of record NC_000011.10, read on the forward strand.
CTGAAGATTGTGCTGGACAGAGTATGCCATAAATTGGTATGTTTGGGGTGATCTTTTTTAGTTTTGAAAAGCATTTGACTGGACCTAAAGTTATAATTATTTTCAAGAGTATTGACTGTCATTCAGTTGTCTATTAATGGAATTCCCAGATAAATTTTGCATAATATTAAAATACGGCAAAATAAAGTTAGTCAGGTCCTGAATGTGAGAAAATACAACATACTTTCCAGAAGATCGGGCTTCTTTTCCTCAAGATGGTGACCTGCTTCTGTTACACATTCTTGTCTTTCACTCGGGCCTGTTTTCTCTAAGCAAATTAATAGGCTTGCATCTTTTAAGAAATGATTTGATTCCTACAATGGCCATAATTTAAGATCCACTGCCCCCCACCCCAGTGGTTTTGGTTCCATTGTTGTTTCTGGAGCACCCAGATCAGTTTGTGTGGGATTCACTGGGTTTTGATGCAGCTACTGGTAGTTTACTGGATCTTCGAATTGTGAAAACCTCTCAGGAAGTTACTGTGAAACAATTTATAGTCATCAGCATTTGTTTTATTGTACAGAATACTGTTTATCTTAGCTGTGTAAAAATATAGTATTTGAAAAATCAGGAGGACATTTGCCAGCCAAGTATTTGACCTAATATGTTCTTGGTTGTCATGGTAATTAACTGATCTATCTATACATTCATGAAAATTTGGCATTTGTGCACACCTCCTGAATGTAAACATGGTGTCTTTCATCTGCAGAATCATGTTAACAGAAAGCTTTAGTGTGAGATGAAGCTTAGAATTTAGGAGCTCCCTTTGTAAAAGTGGTGATGATGGTGGTAAGGTTGCCAAGTCTTGTACTACTCAATTTCTTCCTCGATGTCTTATTTGTTTTAGAAAAACTTGAGCAGCCTCAAAACCAGTAATTTTAGGAAAAATAGTAGCCTTTGGTTCTGTTAGTTTTATTGTTAAACTGAATAGGTGCACAAAGAGTACATTTTTAAATTAATTTGTATATGATGATTTAGAACTGGTACAGTGAAAATCTACCATTGTAATTTTGCATAGACTAGCACCAAGGGTTACAGAACCAACACATCCCTATTAGTTATGTGTTCTGATAAACATTTTTTTCATGTATCTTGGAGTGTATATTTTATAAATATTATATGGCATTGATTATTTATGTGAAACTAAAGCTAGGATAACAGATTGTACATTAAAACAGAAACTTGAGGATTTTCATTGACCATTGGTTTTGAAATAATAAAAGGAAACTTGATCATTTCCCTTCTTTAGTTGATTTATTTTCTGTAGTCCATTTCCACAGATGTTGGACGATTTTGGCAATCTTTTCATTTGAACCAAAGAGAAGGTTATGTAAGCAAAGCCTGAATGAATCAGATGTTAATTCCTGAGCTCAGCAAATGTATTATGGAGAATGAGGAGCTGACTTTTCACTGGGAAGAATTCAGCATTATTTAAAAGCCCATGCAGTGATTAATCTGTCAACTTCTGAGATGTTCTAGAATGAAATGCTCCATGCACAGTCCCAGAAGAAATTAGGTTAACCTTAGAGAAACCAGGTTGTGGGAAAAAATGGATTTTGATCTACATTTAGGATACATGATACCCAATTGCTACCATCAGATATATTAATGGTATAAATATTCAGAGCAAAAAGGAATAGAGAAAATATTCAATGTATGTCAAAAATTACATGAAATATAAGGAATAAATGCTATTTGATTAGTACACCTGGCTAAAATGTGTATTTTAAATTGAGGATAGAAATGGGATATTGGGTATGTATCCCCAGACCATCCAGTCTGACTTTAGCCATGATGTGCATGAAAAGAAAACATGAGGCTGGGCGTGGTGGCTCACGCCCGTAATCCCAGCATTTTGGGAGGCCTAGGCGGGCAGATCACGAGGTCAAGAGATCGAGACCATCCTGGCCAACATGGTGAAACCATCTCTACTAAAAATACAGAAATTAACTGGGTGTGGTGGCACATGCCTGTAGTCCCAGTTACTTAGGAAGCTGAGGCAGGAGAATCGCTTGAACCAGGGAGTCAGAAGTTAAGGTGAGCCGAGATAATGCCACTGCATTCCAGCCTGGCAAAAGAGCGAGACTCCGTCTCAAAAACAAAAAAAAGAAGAGAAAAGAAAAAGAAAACATGGGAAAACATGGATAACAAAACATATCTACATGTGATCAGAAAAAGAAGGAACATTTTTTAAGTCCCAGCTAGAACAAAAGCTTAGGGTTTCATTTTTGTAATATATTTTACTAACTTTAATTCAGTTGATGTGTATAACAGAGAAGTCTGAAAACTTGTGCTGAAGATCATTTCCCTCGTTGGGATTTAGTTATTGAGGTTATATTTTTTAAAGTTATCAGAACATGATTAATTTTGGAAATTAATAAAGGAAAATTTTAAAGTCACCCATGTAAATCATTGCTTCCAACTGTTCCAGTCTCAGAATCTCAGTTTCTTGGCCCTGCATCTCACCTCGTTATTTTCCTTCCTCCAGCAGAAAAGAGGAAAGGAAAATATCTGCCAAGCTCAAACCTCTGTGGGAGGAACTGAGCAATACAGCAGACTTATCCCATGTCCCAACTTTGAGGCAATCAAGGGAAAAAACTATTTTTCTAGTATGATTAGGTAAATAAGGGCTTACAATTAGCAAAAATAACTACAAATTGGATTTTTAAGTCATTCATACTTGATTAATATCTTGGTCCACTAAGTCATTTAGTGTGCATTCATTGCTAATAATGCAAGTATTTATTCCACTTTCATTCTCTCTTCATAGCAAATGTAATTAAGTAAGACATAACATCCCATTTTACAAAGGAGGACAAGGAGGCTTAGTAAAGTTAAGTGACTTCAACAAAGGCACATAGATGTTTGAATGCAGGCCTCTTTGACTTCCAAGCTGTTTCTCATGTTTGTGTCACATTACCCCATTACTGTGAGCCCACTGTGAGGTATTGTAGGTGATTCAAAAATGAATGTGAGGGCCAGGCATGGTGGCTCACACCTGTAATCCCAGCACTTTGGGAGGCCAAGGCAGGTGGATCACCTGAGGTCAGGAGTTCAAGACCAGCCTGGCCAACAAGGTGAAACCCCATCTCTACTAAAATTACAAAAAATGGTTGGTCATGGCGGTGGGTGCCTGTAATCCCAGCTACTAGGGACACTGAGGCAGGAGAATCGCTTGAACCCAGGAGGCGGAGGTTGCAGTGAGCCGAGATCACGCCACTGCACTCTAGCCTAGGTGACAAGAGCAAAACTCCATCTCAAAAATAAATGAATGTGAGACGTCTCTGTTCCAAAGTAACACACCACCTGGTAAGAGACGAGGCGTATGCATACAAAACTAAGATATATAAAAGAATGCGATCAGTGACAGGTTATAAACATTTTGTGAAGGAATATTCAGGAAACGCTTCATTGAGACAATGTTGAGAGAAAGGAAGGACTAGGATTTTAATATTTTAAAATAAGGATAGAAGATGTGGGATGCTGTAAACAAGGCCAAGAAGGCATGACTGGTGCCATAAGCACTAGTGGTCCAAGTTTGTTAGATGTAGACCCTGTTTGGGGTGAGTAGAAGACAAGTTGCAAAAATCAAGTTAGGAGCAGTTCTTGGTCACCTTTGCAAGCACAGCATGAAGCAGCCCAGAGCATGGCAACATTTTCACCCCGACTTAAAGAGCACCTCAAAGAGGAAGGAGAATCGGATAAAAATATCTTTTCCCCTTCTAACATGTCTGGCCTTCGCTTAGAGCCAGACATCTAGTCCAATCCCTTCACCTTATGTGTGAGAAAGAAGAAACCCAGAGAAGCAAAGTAACCTCTCCAAAGTCACATAGTTCATTGAGGCAAATTCGGGCTAGACTCCAAGTCTGACTTTCAGACAAGTTAGTCAAACTTTTTATTCAGCATGACCCACTTTCCATTGCTTTTGAAGAGCAGAAGGTGCAGGAACGTGTAGTTGTTCCAGAATTTGATTAGCATTGCTTGAGGCATTGACTGAGCTTGTGAGATATAGAAGCTAAGTCCTGAAAAAGGGAAAGTTTATGGCCTGTGCATCCAAATACCTCTCTCACTGTAGACTGGTACTTTTAGCTGTAGTGTTCTCTTTTCTATGGTACATACATGTATGAGGTATATTTTTACATGTATGTGTGCATATATATGACACATACATATATAAACACACACAAATATGCACATATATATACACATATATATTTTTATTATACTTTAAGTTTTAGGGTACATGTGCACAACGTGCAGGTTTGTTACATATGTATACATGTGCCATGTTGGTGTGCTGTACCCATTAACTCATCATTTAACATTAGGTATATCTCCTAATGCTATCCCTCCCCGATTCCCCCACCCCACAACAGGCCCCGGTGTGTGATGTTCCCCTTCCTGTGTCCATACACACATATATTTTAAATTATTTTGCTCCCTGCATTAAAACAAACAAAAGCTGTGTCCACACTCTCATTGAAATATGTTAACCTGCATCTTTTTCTAGGCAATCTCCTGTAGGTGACCTTCCCAGAGCCTGCCCATTGCCCTCAAGCTGTTGTCCGAGATCCTCTGGGAGCTGGATCACGTACATCCCAGCTCTCCCGCCCCTTGGCTTTCCCTCAGCTTTTCAGGGCCAACTCTTTGGCCACTTCACTGTTTGTTAAGCTCTTCCCGCAGAGCATGAGCAATATACCCGAAAGCCACGGGCACTCAATAAATGTTAGTTTGAATTTCATTCATTTACTCATTGGAATTTTCACTTTTGTACTGAAGTGAGGAAAGCACGCTGATTTTCCAGGCTGTTCTGTCTGTCTCTGTGGGATGGTGGAGCTGGCTTTCCTGTCCAACCTGAGAGGAACGTACTGTCTCTCTCTCCTCTGCCTCTCCAACACCCTGGGTGTTTTGCTTTTATAGAATTGTCACACTGTTTTTCAACTTTCTGTTTTTACTGTCCTTTTCCTTGCTAGACTACAAGCTCCTTGTGGACAGGGAGGTCATATGGCTTGCTGTGAAAATAAGTTCTTGACTCATGTTCACTTTTTCCACTGCCATATCTCCCACTCTCATTTCTTCTGTACTGCACGGTCAGTCTTATTTTGTATTTGGCTCTATGAAGGAATAAATAAAATAAATTGAAATACCTTTCAATTGTCATTTTTCATTTCCCCCCAACTTATTTCAAATCTCTTTCTTTCAGCTGCTCTAGGTCTTTAACAAAAATTAATTTGTTCACAATACTGAGCATGTCCTCTAACTAGGTTGTTTAAATTTTTTTTGAATTATATTATGTAGCAAATTTATAATAATAACAGGCCTATTTCTTATCCCCTATAGAATATTTTGAACCCTATAATTGATGATGGAGCATGAATAATACCTTTGATGACTTTATTTATATGTTTACTTAATTTGGGTTGCCTTAAAAATATTTTTATTTACCAATAAAAGTTTATATTTGAGGTTGCATTTAAATACTTTTAAAATGTCAAAGTATAATGTGTTATAATGTGTTCATTGTTTCTCCTTATAAATAAGTCAATAAAAGTATTATCCAAAGAGTAAAACATAACCTGATTTTAAAAAATAAATCTTGTAGCCAGGCACGGCGGCTCATGCCTATAATCCTAGCACTTTGGGAGGCTGAGGCAGGCAGATTGCTCAAGCCCATGAGTTCAAGACCAGCTTGGGCAACACAGCAAGACCCCATCTTTATAGAAAATACAAAAATTAGCTGAGCATTGTGGCGCGTACCTGTAGTCCCAGCTACAGGGGAGGCTGAGGTAGGAGGACCACCTGAGCCCAGAGAGGTCGAGGCTGCTTCAGCCTAGGCAACAGAGTAAGACCGTGTCTTGACAAATAAATAAATAGAAATAAATCTTATAAAGTGTATTTAATCATCAAAATTTTGGTTGAATAATGTTGTTGTTAGTAAATTAAGAGAAACCTGTACCTCCTTTTCTTTGAAAGGAAAGGGTTACACTATTAATTAATTTATTTTAATTATTACACAATCAACTAGTGCTCTCTAAGCCTTCAGATACAATTTCCCTGGAATATATTATAAAAAGAGTGCCCTTTGCTACAGCAGTATAATTTTGAATAACATTGATCTATGATAGATATATAACCACCAATCCCCTTAATTTTTACTTTTTCGGAAGTTAGTGTGATCTCTTCAGAAAAAGAATAATGTGAAAAAACCACAGGGCCCCACACTATCTGGGCGTGGGATCTTGGAACCTCTCCCCTGCTCTACAGGAAGGAAATACTCTTGTTTTCCTAGAGACCCACGGATGGTTTCTTTGTGTGATTTCACATTTCCAGTTCATGTACCAAGTCCTCTGCAGCCTCTCTTCCTAGTAGAGAGCTCTTATACGGATGGTCCCATTTACTAGGCAAAGTACCTATTGATAAGTTAATTCCCAACCGATTGTCAGTGCCCCTACTTAGGAACTTCAGTGGAGCAACTAAATGATCTGTCGGGGACATTGAGCCGCTTGCTCTTCTTTATGACATTTAGATGAAAAGTATTTCATTTGGGAAACTGTGGTTTGAACCAAGAACTGTGATTATTTTTGTACATATCTTTCATCAACAATAGTGTACTTTTTATTTATTACAGGATTTCTTCAAGCAAGAATTAACTTTCATTAGCACATTCATTGAAACTGTTCAAAATAAGCCACTTTTCTCTTACTGTTCCAAAAGAAGACGTCAGAGTCACAAATTTAGGATGATGGCATAGTGTTGCATTACAGGTACCCACACCCCCTCACCCCACAGGCAAGGGGCTACATGGTTTTAGGCGCATTTCCTGTTTTGAAAGCCCCATCCCTCCTGAATGGATTCCTCTAACAAAGCGCCACAAGACCGGAGGTTGCTTTTGTTTGGTAGCAGAGATATGATCCATTTCGAATAATTTACATTGGGTGGCTATTCTGGTTCAAACTAGAGAATGAATGTTAAATAATAAACGTGATCATAATTGCTTTATGGAAGAACACTGCTGTGAACTCAGCCATAAACATCACTCTGCAGCATATTAATAAAAGGCAGTAACAGAAAAGATTGGAAATGGAGCATGTGTAGTAGCTCTTATTATTGAATCAGATTCTCCCAGTGTTTAAGCAAGGCATTCATCTTAGGAAGCTACAGTAACTCTTTCTGGAACACTATCAAAAAGCTGTGATTAAAAAACAGAAATAAACAAAAAAACTGCTGCCTATGCATGTAGTTATTAGAAAGAGGAGGTGGTGATCAGTATTTTCTCCATCTAGTCTTGAGGATTTAATTGTTGTTCCTACAAAATCTAACAGATTATTTTTAGTAGTGAGTCAAGAATCTTCCATCAAAATGAAGAAAACTAAGTCTAGTGTTATGAAGAAGAAAAGCGAATATTGCCCAATTAAAACTAAGCTTATTGGTTTCCTGATTCAGCCTAGGAGGGAAAGGAGCAGAGCCATAAACCCCCTGAGCAGAGGGTTCAGAAGGTGAGGAGGGTGTGAAACAGGAGGTTGAGATTAGTGCTGGTACAAGAGACAGTAAGTGGGTTCTGTCTCACAGGTACATTTGAAATGCCTCCTCCCAAAGCATGCAGTCATGAAAAAAAAAAAAAAAAAGGACATAAAACAAATGAAATTAAAAGGAGGAAAGGGTACAATGAATCCCAAAATCCTTAAACTCAAATAAGAAACAGATACACCTTTTCTTTCTCCCTTCCTTATTCTCTTCCTTCCTCTCTCCCTCTGTTCCTCCCTCCTGTCCCTCCCTTCCCTCCTGTCCCCCACTTCCCCTTCCCCTTCCCTTCCTTCCTTCTTTCCTTCTTATCTTCTTTCCTTCTTTCTTTCTTTCCTTCTTTTCTTTCCCTCTCTCTTTCTTTCTTTTTCTTTCTTTCTTTCTTTCCTAAACAACCACTGATTAGCTCAAGAGCATTTACAGATCTATTTCTTTATTGCTTCCTTTAAAGGGTAAACATGTCAAACCAATATAACATTCTCTCAAAATAGTTAATCATTTTTATTGTTCTGCTTTTGATCCTCAGCAGTTTTTTCCATAAACTTTGTGATTTAGGGACTTAAATAGGTCCAAATTATTTAAGAAGTGAGCTTCTGGCAGTATTTGATGGTGAACAGCCAGCCTGAGTTGCTCACATGGAGGTTTTGAGGAGTTGGTCCTTTTATAAGGAAGCAAGTTGTATATTGTTTCCAAAGTAAGGGATCACCCTGATGTTTCCATCTCTGACCATGACCTGCCTGGACCAGGTTTATAACCTAGACACAAAATAAATTACACCTGTCAAAACATAATTTGATCTGATGATCTGGATTAAAAAAATACAGTAACTAGCATAGCAGGAAAGTATGGTACCTAGCACAGCAAGCTGAGGTTTTAATTAAATATTTGTGGGCATGTTGGCCCATTAGAAAAATAAGGGGAGAAAATAGAATATATCTTGGATAATAAGTAGCATTATCAGGTCCTGTTGGCCTAGGAATTATGAAAGAACAAGCAGCGTATAGATACCATTTCATAATTCAAATGTGCACAATTGAAATTGTTTATGATTATGTGAGAGAGATGTGATTTACTTCACAGAGTGGTGAACCCTAAGAAATGATGCTTCATCCCTAACACCTCCTGTGGATTTCTCCTGGCTTTCATGTCTTTGACAGTATGAGCATCATCAAGGAAGTTTTTTTTAAAAGATAAAAGCAAATAGAATGAGATATCTTTTCTTCCTTTTGATGTAAGACTGTCTTGATGCAAAACAGTAACACAGTCATTTTTCTCATATACAAGGATGCCAGTGGGAGAAATTAGAGTTGGGCTGTAGGTAACTCTATATATGGACACTTCCTGCCACTTAAGATGACACTTCTAGGTCTCAAGCCTCCTCTTTGTGTAGACCTGATACAGAGGTCACAGGGAAGACTTTTTGTAGCTTAATTTAAGCTCTGTTTGATGCCTTGGAACCTAAATAGGAAGAATACAGAGACACTCCTTGAACGATCATAAGGGTCGTCCTCTTCTCTAGGAAGATTTAGTACAAACAGAACTGGATTATCTCATAGTTCTACTTTTGCTAGAGTTCTGCCACACAGACTTAAAAGGTAGCTTCCTTTGAGGTGCAAGCCCGCAGATGGGGTGGACTTCCCTGAAAATTGCACATGGAACAGATATTAGGGAAAGCTTTTATCTTTGACTTAGTAATTAATAGTATATATTAATATGTTAATGTATATACATATATATCCCAGTAATTAATATCATTACCATTTTGCTGGGGACCAGTTAACAAGATATTGCTCAATCTTTTTTTTTTTTTGGCATAGCTATCCAGTAGTTAGAAAATGAAAAACATTTTCCAAGAGAGCAAGCTGAGGGGTTTTTTTGTTTTGTTTTGTTTTGTTTGAGACAGAGTCTTGCTCTGTCGCCAGGCTGGAGTGCAGTGGTATGATCTCGGCTCACTGCAACCTCCGCCTCCTGGGTTCAAGCAATTCTCCTGCCTCAGCCTCCCAAGTAGCTGGGATTACAGGCATGTGCCACCACGCCCAGCTAATTTTTGTATTTTTAGTAGAGATGGGGTTTCACCATATTGGCTGGGATGGCCTCGATCTCTTGACCTCTTGATCCACCCGCCTCAGCCTCCCAAAGTGCTGGTATTACAGGCGTGAGCCACTGCGTCCAGCCCTGAGGTTTTATAAACCTTCTCACTTGTCTAATTAAAATATCCCACTAAATTTATTTTTAGGGCTACTGGGTTTTGTTGTTGTTGTTTTTTGGGGTGTTTTTTTTTTGGAAGCTGTTAAACTAAATCCTAACAGATCTTAGGATATATTTGACTAGAACAGTTGAATGAACAGTAAATCCATTTTTGTCTTTCCGCAGAATCTGGTTGACTTTGTACTGACTATACATGGAAATTTTATATGCACTTTTGTAATGGCTTTTGGTGATCATTTTATACATCATAATTTTAGTTATAATTTTCATTTTTTAAATAAAATAATACATATTTATTATAAAAATGTACTTAATCAAAAAAGAAAATTAAAATTACTGATTATTTTACTACCAATCAATATCACTGTTAACATTTTTGTTGTGTATCCTGCTTTATACATTACTATTAAAATTTTTGTTTTATTTTTTAAATGAAAAGTGGATTATCCCATACATATTTCTTTTTAACTTTTTTCTACTTGATAAACATATCATGGATATTTTCATGTTATTAGATATTCTAGGACATAATCTTGTTGCCTGCAAAGTATTCCATTATGTTATCTCAGTGCAGCAGCTTGGTTGTTTTGTATGGTTTCTTTCCATTTCCTTTGCATTTATAAGATATAAACTCCATGCCTTTGTGCAAATCAGACTGTTCGAGTTTTTATTTTTAACACAAGGCTGTTGAAGCTATTGGAACCAGAGCAATTTAAGGAAAGGAACACGGTCAAGGTTTTGATTCTTTTTCAGGGATGGATCACATTGTAGAGGCTACTAGTTAACTACTCCAGTATATCTGAGTGACCATGCATCACCTTATTTTAGAACTGGAAGGAATTAGTGAACTTTTGAGAATAAAGAAAAATCTTTTCCAGATGACAACAAAAGGAAGTAATATAAATAATTCTGCCTCCTGGGGATGTACAGTATAAAGAGAAAATAGGTTGACTATATAAGTTCCCGGATAATAAGTCCTCTTTACCACTAAAGCTTAAGTCATTTGAAATTCTGAACCGTACCATGAAATAGTAGGCACTCACATTTTTAAAATTAAAAGTCATCATAAAAGATGGACTTACATGGGCCACAGATGTGTGAATAAGCACATGACTGGTGACAATATAGTTCATCATTTGTTGCGGTATTGCTGGAGTGAGGTAGGGTGTACAGTAAAGAAAACTTTCTTTAGCAAGAGCCAAGAACAAACTTCTCAAGAGGAGTTTTTGAAACATTTAAATCACGGAAGGTCGTCACGTCTAGGAAAATCAAAGGTCAAGGGTGCTTGTTCAGTGAACTGATGAGAAGGGCTTCTGACAAGGCCAGGGAATGTTAGGATAGGTCAGCAGAAAAGGCAGGTGGCCACAACCAAGTCCTCAAGGAGGTCTGCAATGCCTAAGGGAAAGCAGAGGGAAAGAGGAAAGAATGGGAGCAAGGGAAGGAATCAAACAGTGGGATTGGTCGAGGGTGAGGAGGACACTAGGGAGGGGCTGAAAATGGACAAGGGCAAGCTGAGAGGCTGTTCATGGAGGCAAAAGAGGAGAGCATGTTCTTCCCCCACGTCAAAGGGAGGGCTGACTCCTAAAACACAAGCAGTATTAAAGGATTCTGTTTTCAAGGTACTCATTTACTTCCAAGATGGTTTTAGGCAAAGGAGGGAAAAGAAAAGATTCTAATGCTTCATCCTCAGTTTGTTGGAATATCAGATTTACTAGAATAGAAAATTCTGGAGTTTCTTACAGTCATAGTAAGTGTAGCTACTGCAAATAAAGTAGCATGGGACTAGAAACATATGTTAAGTATAAGGTGATTTTTCTAACCCCTGATTTTCTCCTGGGCTTCTTTTCTTGCTGGTGGTGGCTGCTTTCTCTTCTCTTCCAGAGTTCTATTGGAAGGGTGCTGTGTTTTGTTTTTCACAGAATGTTGATCCAGGTATGCCTGTATTTTTACTGTAAATTTCTGTGGCGCTGCCTGAAATTTGTAATGAGGAAGCTAACTGGAAGATGTGAACTACAACGGATCTGTTATAATACCAAGCCGGGAGCTTCTAGAACCATGAAAATCGGTAAGCCTGAGACAAAGAAGTAAGCAAAAGGTAGAGTTGGTATGATGGAAGATACGATGTTGTCTTTCAGTGTAGTAATTCTAAACCATGTGTAAAGGATAATCTTTGAATGACTGTTTTTGTTGCTGCTTTCACAGAAACATCACTGAGGGATTCTAAAAGTAAGGTAAGTAAAATTATTTTTCAGCAGCTTTTTTTTCACTTGGAAGCTTACCTTTATCATAAGAAGTAAAAATTCTAAGAAACCAAAATATACCACTGGCTAGGAAAACTACTGCCAACTGAGAAGAAATAATCATTTGCCCATTACAAACCACTGTACTATTTACATGAGAACAGCCACTGTATGTGAATTTCTAGGCAGTTTGTGAAGTACTTATTACTTCATTGTCAAATGAACCCTTTCTTATACCTCTTCCCAAATCATAAAATAAATATTCCTTGAACATAGTAACAGTATTAACTCCCTACTATTTCCTCAATATCCAAATCATTTTTAACATTATACTTAAGATTTTTCAATAACATCAAAGAAGCCACTATGCTAGCTTTTGTAGCATAGTGGAGCATCCATATAAGAAAGAAAACCTATTTTCTTTTTCAAGATTCTTGATAATTTTATCTTATTAATTTTGACATCCTGAAGACTATCTCCCTCATGTGCCTCACTCTTTAGTCATAAACATAATACCCCTTAACAATAGAAACTATGTTGGGCGAGGAAATGAAAATATTACATTTCAATATAGGTAGCTTGAAACAGGAAAATGGTAAGAACAAAACCAAAAAAATTGTATGTGTTTTCCTGATTAAAGTTATCAGGAAAATTGCACTACCCCCCCCCCCATCGTGAAAATGTCAAATTTATTAGAATTCAAGTACGCTAAATCAATTGTTGCTTTTAACTTAAGTCTTCATATAGAAGCTTAAGCAAATGTTTGAAGCCTCTATCCCAGTAGATACTGATTAAGCCTCTGGTGTTAATGAAAAGGAAAGTGATTAAAACATGTTTTCCAGCTGTTGCAGACTTCTGTGAGTGTTCACCCCGACGCTATTGAAAAAACTATAGAAGATATCATGGAACTGAAAAAAATTAATCCTGACGTAAATCCACAGTAAGAATATGTTTCTTATGTCAAAAATACAGAACACAAATCACATGGCCACAGGTTTAGTGTTTCTCTGTCTCCTCTCTTTTTTTTTCTCCCTCTCTCCCTAAAATAATCATCTGCCATGTTTTGACTTTCAGATGAGGAATAAAGAAAAAAAGTACCTTTTTCATGTTTGTAAATGGCAGCAACTTTGTACTTCCTTTGTGGCTTATGCTTCTCAGATGCAAAGAATGTAAGAAATGTGTTGAGTGCCCCGATAGAGAAAGATGAACCCATTCATCAACAATCACTCTATCTGATGCCTATGTTTTACGCTAACAGTAAATGTTCAAATTGTAAATGTGCTTAAGCTGATTCTGTTCCATCTAGAATAGTCCTTCACTTCCTTCATGAATATTACTTTATGACAGGCTGAGAATCTTGGAGACTGTTTCTACCTGCTTGTCAAGAAGACAGGCATGTGTGGGAAGGAGAAATGGTTTTTATATGAAGACTTTAGAACTTCATAATTTATTCCTCTCATCTTGGAAGTATTAAAATGCATTTGGCAATGTTCGTGACATTTAAAATTAGCTTTATATTTTCCACTGGGTACAGCAATTTTTCAGTAAAATTTTGCACTGAGGACACTGGGTAGAATAAATTCCAAATGCAGATATATTTAGAGAAGGTTTTAGGTTGGTAACAATCAAACTGTCTTTTAGATGTTCGTGTCTGAGAACTTTAGATGTTACCTTTGAGAAAGGCTTTTATTAATAATTACAGGAACTGTAGCTGAAGGGAATTTCAGAGCACACTTGCGTAGGTCTATCTCTTGGAAGGATTTTGGATACTAGCTATCTAGGGGCTCATCACAAAACCTCCATTTTTGCCTGGTCTCTATAGCGTTCTTTAGCAGCCGCTTCAGTTCATTAGCTGCCTTTTGCCTATTCAGCTACCAAAGGTTGATTTACTTATATAGTAAAGGTCTTTTTGAAACCTTCTAACATATATTTTATTCCTCTGGGAAGGTGATAAGAAGGCAGTTCATTATAAATAAGATTGAACGAAAAATTTAAGACTACAACTGGCAAGAGGGATATATGAGTCCTGTAATCATGTTTAGAGACTGGATTAGATTTAATAGCAAATCTTTTCTATGAAAGTTATATAAGGTGCATTCAAGAGCATTTCTTTGCCATCCATTCTCTTGTTCTCATTTTTTTAAAAGACCCTTTTAGGTTCAGGTTGAGGATCCCTAATCTGAAAATCCAAAATCTGAAACTTTTGGGCATTGACATCATGCCACAAATGGAAGATTCCATAGCTGACTTCATGTGACAGATTGCATCTATTATTAAAAATGTTGTATAAAATTACCTTCAGGCTATGTGTATAAGTTGTATATGAAACACAAATGAATTTCATGTTTAGACTTGTGTCCCATCCCCAAGGTATCTCATTATGTATATGCAACTATTCCAAAATCTGAAACACTTCTGGTCCCAAGCATGTCAGATAAGGGTTACTCAACCTGTAGTATTTTTTTTAAATCTCCATGTGGATTCTAGTGCCTTTTTTACAGAGCGACATTGATAAGCTCTGATATAAAAAAATTAAGTACTTTTCTGAGAAAACAAAGAAATAGCTTAGAGATGGGGGAAACACTTTATAACTTACCAAACTGTTACTACTATTAACCTCACTTGTTTTAATTACATTTTTTAAGTGCTGCTTATGGTGGCACTAAAAATTACGACAGAGAAAATTTATTTATTTATTTTAATCTTTTTTTTGAGACAAGAGTCTTGCTCTGTCACCCAGGCTGGAGTGCAATGGCGCAGTCTAGGCTCACTGCAACCTCCACCTCCCGGGTTCAAGCGATTCTCCTGCCTCAGCCTCCCAAGTAGCTGGGACTACAGGCACGTGCCACCACATCTGGCTAATTTTTGTATTTTTAGTAAAGATGGGGTTTTACCGTGTTGGCCAGGCTGGTCTCAAACCCCTGACCTCGTGATCTGCCCGCCTCTGCCTCCCAAAGTGCTGAGATTACAGGCGTAAGACACCGCACCCGGCCAGAGAAAATTTAATTGACTTTCCTTATTTCTGCCTCTTATATTCCGTCCATTCTCCTCTTTCCCTCAAAATTAACGCTATTCTCCATACTACATGGACTTTCTAGGTGGCTAGTGCTATGGTGCCCTTTCCTAAATTTTAATATCTGGCCTAGTTGTTTGGTGCTATGGTAACAAGTAATGATGAAAGTCATTCACTGAATATGACTTTATTAAAGTTCAGTATTCCTAGGCTGTCTGACTGTCCTGTACGTTTGGAGCAGGTACACAGTTCTAAGTTCTGTTGCCCTCAACTTGAGATTTAACATCTGTGCATGTCATTTACCCCTAAAAAAAAATATGATGATGTACAGTGATTATAATGACCACCACCACACCACCTCAAACATGCTCAAAGTCCATGAGTGAACAAGACAAAAGACTAGATTGGAGAGTATCATATGCAATTGCCAATGTTCAGCCATTTTTGAGCCACAGAAAATACATGACTCTAAAGAATTTAGGAGGAAAAAATAAACGTGAAGTGCTACTTTTAGACCTTTAGATTCTACATTACTTTAGAGGCTGTAGAAAGGGAAAACAGCATTCCAGTCACAGAAAGTAATGATCCTCTGTGTGTTACAGTTGCCAGATTGTTTTCTGTTCTAGTGATATGCTTTTAGGGTACTGTTATTCAAATAGTGTACATTCGGAGAGGACTGAGAACGATCATAAAACATCTGAAAACCGGCTGGGCGCAGTGGCTCATGCCTGTAATCCCAGCACTTTGGGAGGCAGAGGGAGGCAGATCACCTGAGGTCAGGAGTTCGAGACCAGCCTGGCCACACATGGCAAAACTCCATCTCTATTAAAAAATATAAAAATTAACTAGATGTAGTGCTGGGCACCTGTAATCTCAGCTATTCGGGAGGCTAGGGCAGGAGAATCACTAGAAATCAGGAGGCGGAGGTTGCAGTGAGCCAAGATTGTACCACTGCACTCCAGCCTGGGTAACAGAGCAAGACTCTGTCTCAAAACATAAAAAATAAAAATAAAATAAAACATCTGAAATAAGATGTCCCATGAGAGGGAAATGAAGAAATAAGATTTCTCTTTTCCCTAGAGATTAGAAGACTCGCTATCTTAAATAGTCATGGCACTGGAAAGGTGGAAATAAATTTGCTCAGAGAACGGAATTGGAACCACTTTGTAATAAGCAAAGCAGATTTTGTTTCAGCATAAGAAAAAGTGTTCAGACAACTACAGCGGTCAGAATGTAATAGAACATCTTGTAAAGTTGTAACTACCCTCTTAGCACTGTCTCCCCTGAGGAGGACACTCCTAAGTGGAGGTGGTGTTGTTATTGTTATTTTGTTTCACTTCATTTTGTTTTGATTTTTTTCCTTGAAGCCCTTAAGGGCTTTTTCTGTTGTCCTCATCCTCATTCTCTTCCACACATCTTTCTAAGGTAATTCTGATATGACCACCTGGGGGGTGCTATATAATCCCTAAGAGCCCAGTATTACCTATAATTTCAAGTAACCTGCATAAAGAAATCCCTTGTGGGTTTTGGTTTTGTTTTGTTTTGGTAGAGATAGGATCTTGCTTTGTTGCCCAGGCTGGTTTTGTACTCCTGGCTTCAAGCAATCCTCCCATCTTGGCCTCAGAAATCCCTTATTTTTAAGTCATACCATTGCCATTTAGCTTTAGAAAAAGTCAGACTTCGAGGCAAATTTTAGCCAGGTTCTACAGTTGTCCATGTGGAGATTTAATAAGAATTGTGCTTCTATTAAATAGATCATCTTTGAGCAATTTCCTGAATATTATATTAATATGAAAAGTTCTATCATGCATACATCAAGTGAACAAATGCCAAAGTGAATGCCCTGTTCTTCCTTGTGTGTCTCTTCTGTTTTTGAACACCCTAGGCTGGGAATCTCTCTTCAGGCTTGCCTTCTGCAAATCGTTGGGTACAGGAACCTTATTGCAGATGTGGAAAAACTGCGTAGAGAGGCCTATGATTCTGATAATCCCCAACATGAAGAAATGCTTTTGAAGGTTAGTGCTTGAACACATTTCGGTTCTTCCTCTAAGTCAGCTGACATTTGCCAGGCACCTGCTATGTGCTAGGCGCTGCTCTGGACATCAGGGGTACAAAGATGGATCAGACACGGGCACCTAACTGGTTGGTAAGGTCAAGTTTTCTCGCTGGTTCAGGTGTTGGAAGTAAATTTTTCATCAGAAAATTCCTGTGAGAAGTTAAGTTCAAAGCCAATTTTCTTTTGTAATCTGAGAAAACGTCAGAGGTGATTTCTGTGGGCTCTCACATTTGGCTTAAGTTTAGTTTGTTTAACAAGTGTTGAAAGCCAACAGGAGAAATAGCATTTGTCAAAGAGTGACTTGGGATTCCCATTTACGACTTTTAATACACATCAGAGAAGATAAAGTTGGTTTCTGCTTCAGCAATGGCCCTCTTGGGAAATTACCCAAGATCTTAATGCTGATTATTTATGCATGTAACTTAGTATTAGAAGAGGTAAAGGTTTATATTTGGCACACTAGAACTTCTGGAGAAATAATGTGGAGTTATGAATACTCCTGGCTGTCAAAGCAAAACCTTAAAAATCTTACAGGATCTGATGGTATATTAAGAAACATCAGTAAAACTTTCCCTCAAAACACTTGAGTTTGGGGCTAAAGAAATTAAGACCCCACAATAATTAAGACTACCCTTTAGAACTACATACTTACCTGAAATGTTTTATAAATTCATTTCTGAAAATAGATGCTTCTTTAGAATTAGAGTGCTTTAGGGTATCTCCCTGCCTTTTCCTAGAATTCATAAAGGCAGTAACAAAATTGTAAGAAAACATTTGTTTAGCTGCCTTTATTTTATTGAAAAATGTCAACAGAAGGCGTAATTTCAAAAATGTATCCTGTTGTGTTTTTGTGTGAAGGAGTGTATGTTTTTGTGTATGTAAGTACTTAAGCAGATGACTCATTTGTCTCTATTAATTAGTGCTGGATCTGATGTGAATCATTAAAAATTAAAGATGCCTCATTCTTGGCAGTAGTTTTTCTTCCTTTTCTCCCTGCTGAAGTTTAGCTAACCTGCTGAATTTTATCTCTTTTATATTGTCTTTTTTTTTCTGGCCATTTTCTGATGGAGGTAGTTCAACAAAATTACCCAAACATAGGAAATAAGAGGTGACAGAGAAAAGAGGTGTTGTAATTAACAGATAGTCACAAGAGCCTGAACAATGTATTAGAATAGCTGAGGTTCCCTCAGAATGAGTGACATCCAGGTGCCTGCTAGGCACCATCTTTAGCTGATCCATTGTATATGTGCTGGCACATAATGGGTTTTCAACAAATATAAGTGAATGCACGAATTATTATAGTTCATTAGCTACATCTCGAGAACTTGTATATGACTTTTATCTGTGGTTATGATTAGATTATCTGTTATCATTTAAACTGTCAGCTATATGAGATAGATAAGGAAATGATGGCTATCTTTATTTTACAGATGAGAAAACTATAAGCATTTTAGCTCAGGTTCTGATTCACACATCTAGTAAATTATAAAGTCAGGGCTGTTCATTACTGCATTAGGTACTTTGGGGAAAGGCATCATTTCTGCCCTCAAGCAGCTTACAATCCAATTGGGGCATATTGTTCACCTTCAAAAATCACTAAATCTGGCCAGGTGTGGTGGCTCATGCCTGTAATCCCAGCACTTTGGGAGGCTGAGGCGGGTGGATCACTTGAGGTCAGGAGTTCAAGACCAGCCTGGCCAACATGGTGAAACCCTGTCTCTACTAAAAATACAAAAATTAGCCAGGCATAGTAGCAGATGCCTGTAATCCCAGGTACTCGGGAGGCTGAGGCAGGAGAATTGCTTGAACCCAGGAGGCGGAGGTTGCAATGAGCCTAGATCGCACCACTGCACTCCAGCCTGGGTGACAAAGCAAGACTCCATCTCAAAACAAACAAACCAAAAAAAAAAAAATCACTAAATCTTATCCATACAGCACCCTAAGGTATCTTTGAAATGTTTTCCATGCCCAATGCCTTATTCTAGCCATCATCTCCAACTTGGGCTGTGCCAGGCTTTTAATTATGGCAGCAACCATTAGATTCTTCTCTCACATCATCTAAAATACTGTTGGAGGGATTTTTTTTTCCTCAAAACACAGATATATTCATTGTCATTCCCTAGACTAGAAACTTCAGGCTATGTCCTATAGTAGAAAGCCCACGCATCTTAGCATGGCATTTTGGAGGCTTTCCAGTGTATTTCATGAAGCTACAGCTCCTGTATCCTCATCACATATAGTACATTTCTGCCATGCTCTGCCATTCACCGTGACCCAGAATAAGTCGTGCCATACCATACGCCCAGGAATTTGTTCATGCTATTCCCTCTGTTACCCATTATTCTCACTGCAGAAGCCGGCTCGTTTTTTAAATCCTTACTCACTGAATTTTGAAATCTTCACTAGCTCCCCAAGCAAACTTAGGAGTGGGAATCTTTGTTCTCTTCTTCAGTTTGTTCAAGTTTCAAGTACGATGATAAAATCAGAAATAATAAAACATTAATGGAGTGTTTAGTATGTGCCAATTGTTACAGTCAGTGTTTTCTGGCATTATTTCATTTCATTATCACAGTAGCCTTGTGGTGATACACTGCTGTTGTCTTCATTTTTCAGATGAGGAAACTGAAGCTGAGCAGTGAAGTGGCTATGTGAGCTCACATAGGGTGGTAGCTAAGGGCTCTGAGCTACCACACTGCACTAGGTCTTGAGAAACAAACCACATCTTGTTCACATTTGTCTTTCCAGGGCTGACCCATGGTTTGTGTTTCACTGCCTGAGCTTAAGCTTCTTCATCTTTAAAATGGGTAATAATACCCTTGTTACCTACTTCACAGAACTGTTTAGAGCAAAAGTCAGCAAACCAAGGCCTGCAAACCAAATTTGGCATACCACCCATTTTACAAGTAATATTTGCAGTACAGCCACATGCATTTGTGTATGGTGTTTACGGCTGCTATGGCTGCTATCCTAGTTTAAAGGCAAAGTTAAGTACTTAGAAGAGAGACCGTACAGCTCATAAAGCCTAAAATATTTGTCAACTGGTTTTTACAAAGTTTGTGCCCAGGCACAGTGGCTCACACCTGTAATCCCAGCACTCTGGGAAGCTGAGGCAGGAGGATCACTTGAGCCCAGGAGTTCAAGACCAGCCTGAGCAACATAGCAAGACCCCATCTCCACAAAAAATTTTTTAATAAATAGCTGGGCATGGTGATGTGCACCTGTAGTACCAGTTACTTGGGAGGCTGAGGCAGGAGGATCACTTGTGCCCAGGAAGTCAAGGCTACAGTGAGCTATGGTTGTACCACTGTACTTAGCCTGGGCAATAGAGTGTGACCTTTCTAAAAAATAATAATAATAATAATAATTAAATTAAGTTAAATGTAAAAGCGTGTTTGCTGATCCCTAGTTTCTAAGCACAGGTCATATATAGTATTGCCACATGTTTAAGTGCTTGGCTTTTTAAGCATAGGAGAGCATTATCAGTGTTACTAGAGTTCTGAAGTATTTTAAAAATCTAGATTTTGTGATCATTTGAACATAGCCTGGGATGAAATTGAATAATATCACTGTCCATATGAATCACTTATATAGACATTTCTATTAAAAGTATTCCAACCAAATTCATAATGAAGACAAAATTCTAGGTGGATTCATGCACTTAATGAAAAACATAAAGTCCAGAATAAAGACCCTCTCCTGATGGAAAGAGACAATCCCATGATGACCTTGGTGAGAAGCTGCTTCTCCTTGAATGCTCTGGCTCGAGGGCAGATGAATCGCCTTCCCTTTCTGTCCTGCAGAGGGTTCGAGACCAGGCAGAAGTGTTCAAATAAACTTGTGTAAAGCTTCAGTTCACAGTGAAGAGAGTTCAGCAGAGAGAGCAGGCTGTGATGGATAACAGTCTGACTCAGAGTGCAGTCTCCACATCTGTTTCTTGTCTTCTGCTAATCACTTTTCCTAGCCCCTGGTCTCCTCCACTTCGCAGGTGGCTTTGTAGTAACTACTCCCAGTAGCACAGTCTTAGATGAGTGGATTCCTTAGAGTCCCCACCATAAGCCCACCACCATTTCTCAGATCTGAAGTTGGCTTCCTAGTGCATGACCTCATCCTTCAGGAGCACCCCATTCCCTACTCTTATTTTTTCAGGGAAGAGCTTACCTATTGGAAGAGAATCGAAATAGCTCAAGGCTATTTT
The DNA here is from genome assembly GCF_000001405.40 of Homo sapiens. Lineage (NCBI taxonomy): Eukaryota > Metazoa > Chordata > Mammalia > Primates > Hominidae > Homo > Homo sapiens. Next base: position 107,640,002 of record NC_000011.10, read on the forward strand.
ATTTTATGCATATTTATTTTGAGACAGGGTCTCACTCTGTCACGCAGGCTGGAGTGCAGTGGTGCAATCTTGGCTCACCACAACCTCCACCTCCCAGGTTCAAGCAATTCTCCAGCCTCAGCCTCCTGAGTAGCTGGGATTACAGGCATGAGCCACAGCGCCTGGCTCAAGGTTTTTTTTAAATAGGAAATATACAGATAATTGTACTTCATATAAGTATTTTAGCATAATGGGCTTTCATCTTCCAAAATAAGTTTGACAATTTTATTTGCTACGTATAGTTATTAACCTACTGGTTTAGCCTTTCAATATTTAGCAAGTTTGTTTTAAAAATTACTATTCCCATTGGTTTACAATACCATTAATATAAATGCATAATTTCGAAGTCAACATTCATTTCACTGTGGACATAAGAATTCTTAAGGGGTACAATAATGACTGTGGCTGCTGGGCACTGTTCAAAGCCAAAATGACTGGCAGGCTTGGAAAGGCATAAACTATTTATACATACCCTCGGTATACTACGAGTCCCACATTTTTGCTGTACATTCTTGTCTCATAATACAGTATAAATTATTCCCTAAGTCTGAAAAAAAAATTAAGTTGAATACATTTTTGTCTTAATTTCAAAATAACCTTTTTAATGAAAAAGAAGTTCCTCATGTTAAATCTGTTCAAAAGAAGGATTTAAATACTTTGGTCACAACATGTACAATTTTTTGACCCTGAGTGCCCCATTAAAATCAGTTTAGCAATAAAACCTTCTGTGCTTTATCAAAAACAGCATTCAATAGATTATAAAATTATTCAATCTGCATTTGAATCATTATTAGGACACTGAATTATAACAAAGTCCAGCAAATGTATGACCATTCATCAACACCCTTAAAACCTGTGAATTATAGCAATTAATCTCATGTGTGCATATAATTCAAACATAAACTTTGTGGAGAGGGGATATAACATAAATACTACAATATTTCTTCAGTCCTATTTAATGCTGCCTAGATGGTTAGATGAAAAGGTTAATATTTCTAACAGGCACTTTGGGAAGCCGAGGAAGGTGGATCACCTGAGGCCAGGCATTCGAGACCAGCCTGGCCAACATGGTGAAACACCGTCTCTACCAAAAATACAAAAATTAGCCAGGCGTGGTGGTGCACACCTGTAGTCCCAGCTACTCAGGAGGCTGAGGCACTAGAATCACTTGAGCCTGGGAGGCAGAGGTTGCAGTGAACCGAGATCATGCCACCGCACTCCTACCTGGGTGACAGAGAAAGACTCTGTCTCAAAAAAGAAAAAAGAAAAAAAATAAGTATATATATATATATATCTCTAACAGGAAGAATCAAACTAGTTTAATAACTTGTTTTCTAAGTAGTTACCACAATTTAGTAAAACCAAGATATGCCAGAACCTATGCCAATACATTTTTCCTATAGTGTAATGTAATTGCTAATATGAGGTATAATCTGTAAGCAATTAATACAAATATAAACAGGCATAAGCCACCATGAAATCACAGTCTGGTGAAAGCTTTTCAGCTAAACTAGTTGGAGAAGAGAGTTAAGGGAAATGAGAAAAGGCAGACAGGGCAGGCTTCCAGTGGGAACATCATTTACATGCCTTATCATCATCCTCTCATATGTAACAGTCCACTGGTGCAGGAAGGTAAATCCTGTCCAAGTATGCTAGCCTAGAATATACTTTATGTAGCATAGTAAGATTATTTAAGTATTACTAATGCTTCATTTGCACTTATATTTAGATTATACATAATCCTATATGCATATTAAAAACTCATTTCCCAAAATGAGATAAAAACATTTCAGGTAAGATGGAACTATGTACTACAGAACTTACAATATCTAAACTCAGAGGTAAAATCAAAGGAAAACATTACTACCTTTTTAGTAAATGGATTGTATGAGCTTACTCTTTTTTTTTTTTTTTTTTTTTTTTAGATGGAGTCTCACTCTGTCACCCAGGCTGGAGTGCAGTGGTGCCATCTCAGCTCACTGCAACCTCTGCCTCCCGGGTTCAAGCAATTCTCTGCCTCAGCCTCCCAAGTAGCTGGGATTACAGGCACCTGCCACCATGCCCGGCTAATTTTTGTATTTTGAGTAGAGACAGGGTTTCACCATCTTAGCCAGGCTGATCTTGAACTCCTGACCTCATGATCCACCTGCCTTGGCCTCCCAAAGTGCTGGGATTACAGGCCTGAGCCACCGCACGTGGCCCCTCACTCATTTTTTAATAGATGGGTTTGTCTGATGAGGATTATAATCCAATATTTGGTTAGCAGCAATTTTACCAAACTGTAAGTTCTTTTATTAACAGACATTATAAACAGATAATACTAATCTTATTTACTTATTTATTTTTGAGATGGAGTCTCACTCTGTCACCCAGGCTGGAGTGCAGTGGCACGATCTCGGCTCACTGCAACCTCCACCTCCCAGGTTCAATCAATTCTCTGCCTCAGCCTCCCAAGTAGCTGGGATTACAGGCACCCGCCACCACACCCAGCTAATTTTTTTTGTATTTTTAGTAGAGACGGGGTTTCACCGTCTTGGCCAGGCTGGTCTTCAACTCCCGACCTCGTGATCCACCTCAGCCTCCCAAAGTGCTGAGATTACAGGTGTGAGCCACCGCGCCCAGCAATACTAATCTTATTTAAAAATAATGAGTGCCACACTGGTGAATATACAGCTTATGAATAACTTTAAAAAATTTTCCCATTATAAAAGGCAAACACAGCAGACAACTATACTAAACGAAGAAGCTAGAATACAGATACATGATTGATGGGTCTAAAATGATACATACCGTACATAATTAATGTTAATCATGTGATCGTTATATTTTTCTTTGTGATTCCCCTTCATGCTACTTTCTCCAGAAACTGAATTCTGAACTTCCTCTTCTAAAGTTGGTACAATCAGGTTATCCTTGGACATCAAATTTTCTTTTATCACAAACTTAGTGATACAAAATGACACAAAAATGTTTCGTTTTCATATTCATCCAATATCTGGAGTAATAAAAAGAAGCATGTGGCCAGGCACAGTGGCTCACGCCTGTAATCCCAGCAATTTGGGAGGCCGAGACCAGCAGATCACTTGAGGTCAGGAGTTCGAGACCAGCCTGGCCAACATGGTGAAACCCCATCCTGACCAACATGGTGAAACCTCATCTCTACTAAAAACACAAAAATTAGCTGGGCATTGTGGCTGGCACCTGTAATCCCAGCTACTCAGGAGGCTGAGGAAGGAGAATCGCTTTAACCCGGGAAGCAGAAGTTGCAGTGAGCTGAGATCACACCAGTGCACTCCAGCCTGGGTGACAGAATGAGACTCCATCTAGGAAAAAAAAAAAAAAAAAGCATGTGAAAATATTCTGGAAATCTTAAAGTATGCTGGTCCAAGTTTTGCTATAGATGATTCCTTTATACTAACCCTGCTGGGGAAATAGTTACTGCTTTTCAGAAGACACAGCACCATCAAGTCTGTGTCTAGTATAGTCTGTAGTAGAACACTCTTGGAGTTTTATGAGCCACACAAAGAAAACTCCATTGTTCAGTTGCTGTCATTTGAGTACAAGTATCTGGACGGCATTCAGTCTGAAGTTTGACAGCAAGTCCATTTAGCTCAAGGCAGAATTACCTTAAATGTTCATACTTCCATATACCTGCATCTTGGCCTTCAGGTGGCTCAAGATTTTTGTCAGTATTGGAGCAATCTTGACTCTTATGTTCTGTTGCGTATACTGCTGAACAGCTAGCGTACTGTCCATTTCATCAAAAGAATCGTCAGGCCAGGTGCCCAGCCTGGTCCACCTCAGCATTGCCATGCCCTCTGCCATCACCACAGTGCCATCATCTGAAGATTAACAACTTAATTAAGAACACTTTTTAGCCATTTGTCTAGCCTTTCATGATCCATAAAATTATTAAAATGAAATTTCTTTTTAAAGCATTTTATTATTCAGGCCAGGCACGGTGGGTCATATCTGTAATCCTAGAACTTTGGGAGGCCGAGGCAGGTGGATCACTTGAGGTCAGGAGTTTGACACCAGCCTGGCCAACATGGCGAAACCCTGTCTCTACTAAAAAATAAAATAAAATAAAATAAAAAATACGAAAATGAGCTGGGCATGGTGGTACACACCTGTAGTCCCAGCTACTTGGGAGGCTGAGGCACAAGAATCCCTTGTACCCAGGAAGCAGAGGTTGCAGTGAGCTGAGATCATGCCACTACACTCCAGCCTGGGCGGCAGAGTGAGACCCTGTCTCCAAAGAAAAAAAAAAAAAGCATTTTATTATTCAAATGTTTTACTAAGCATTTAATAAGCATCCCACGCTATAAGCATTCACCCAATGAGTAAGGTTTGTCACCCACCTACGGAAATGAAGCGCCTGCTTTTGCCATCTTGCTGCACTCACTCGATGAAACAAGATATATATATATATACTTTTTTTTCTTTTTTTTTGAGACAGAGTCTCGCTCTGTAGCCCAGGCTGGACTGCAGTGGCACGATCTCGGCTCACTGGAGGCTCCGCCTCCCGGGTTCACGCCATTCTCCTGCCTCAGCCTCCCGAGTAGCTGGGACTACAGGCGCCTGCCACCACGCCCGGCTTATTTTTTGTATTTTTAGTAGAGACGGGGTTTTACCGTGTTAGCCAGGATGGTCTCGATCTCCTGACCTCGTGATCCGCCCGCCTCGGCCTCCCAAAGTGCTGGGATTACAGGCGTAAGCCACCGCACCCAGCCAAAACAATATATTTTTTAGTTGTGCAGGGCCCTGAGATGACTTCACATTATTATTCAAATGAATGTGACGAACTTTACATTTTTTTTCCCTTTTTTCCCTTCATTGTGTCAGTCACCAAATCAGTTCCTAAAGGGTTTTTGTTTTTGTTTTTGTTTTTGTTTTTGTTTTTGATAGACTCTCACTCTGTCGCCCGGGCTGGAGTGCAGTGGCGCGATCTCGGCTCACTGCAAGCTCCGCCTCTGGGTTCAAGCCATTCTCCTGCTTCAGCCTCCCGAATAGCTGGGACTACAGGCGCCCACCACCATGCCTGGCTAATTTTTTTTTTTTTTTTTTTTTGTATTATTTGTAGAGACGGAGTTTCACCGCGTTAACCAGGATGGTCTCGATCTCCTGACCTCGTGATCCACCCGCCTCTACCTCCCAAAGTGCTAGGATCACAGGCGTGAGCCACCGTGCCCGGCCCTCTAAAGGATTTTTTAAAATAAACTTTTCCCCAATGACGATCACCTGGTCTCATTTAGTCTTTTCTGATGTTCTCAGTTTCTGGTTTTTGTTTTTTGTTTTTTTTAGACGGAGTTTTGCTCTTGTGCCCAGGCAGGAGTGCAGTAGTGCTATCTCGACTCACTGCAAGCTCCGCCTCCTGGGTTCAAGCAATTCTCCTGCCTCAGCCTCCCAAGTAGTTGGGATTATAGGCGCGGGCCACCACGCCCGGCTAATTTTTTGTATGTTTAGTAGGGATGGGGTTTCACTATCTTGGCCAGGCTGGTCTCGAACTCCTGACCTGAAGTTACCCACCTTTCCTGGCTTCCCAAAGTGCTGGGATTACAGGCATGAGCCACCGCGCCCGGCCAGTTTGTGTTTTGATGAATGCAGGGCACTGGCACATTCTTATATGAATTCTTTAAAAAGAGATTTTGTATATTCATGCTTGATATTTTGCTTTCAAGCATGAGAGATCTACCTCCTATCTTTTTACCCTTTTTCTCTCGCCCTTTAGACAAATGAAATTTACCTGTTGTGGCACTAACATAAAATATTGTATAATGTGAATAGTAAGTAGTATTAGCTTAATGTATAAAATAACATTAGTAAAATGAATAACAGCTTTTATTAGTATTTTCTGTCATTGAATATTATGTTTTACACTGTGTCAGGTATGTGACAATTTGATTTAGCAAGGTATTTTGTGTATTACTGTTTCATTTAAGCTTTGTAATGTAGAATAAGCAATTTAGAAATTGAATTATTTCTGAAATAGTAGTAAGGAAATTTTACATTTGTGTTTATACCCTGTCGGTAATGAAGATAGAAGTCTAAATAGTAAACTTGTTTACATGCCCATCTCTATTAGAAAAAACTAAGAGTCTGAGCATTACATATTTATACAATTATGGGTCTCAGCGTCTCTCTCAAGTAATGATATGTGCTGAATCTTTCTACAGAAAACTAAAAAATAGAACCAGCTTATTAAGCAGTAAAGAGTATAATGCTTAAAATTTACAATTGTGCAGTAATGTATTAATAAAATTGATTTTAATTGACATTACTTTTGGTAACTCTTAAAGATAATAATACATTTTGAGGTTTATTCATGAACATTACTGATATTCCTTCCTCCAGCTACATGATAATGTTTACTCTCACTCCTGTTATAGGTGAGACCTAAAAAATGAAACTTGGCCGGGTGTGGTGGCTCACACCTGTAATCCCAGCACTTTGGGAGGCCGAGGCAGGCAGATCACTGGAGTTCAGGAGTTTGAGACAAGCCTGGCCGATGTGGTAAAACCCCGCCTCTACTAAAAATACAAAAATCAGCCAGGTGTGGTGGTGCATGCCTGTAATCCCAGCTACTCCAGAGACGGAGGCAGGAGAATCACTTGAACCCAGGAGGTGGAGGTTGCAGTGAGCCGAAATCAGGCCACAGCACTCCAGCCTGGGCAACAGAGTAAGAGTCCGTCTCCAAAAAAAAGCAAAAAGAAACTCATGTCAGTTCACTTTTTTTTTTTTTTGGTTAATAATGCTGCTAAAAGTTTTGATATAACATTAAAGCATTTTCCCAGAATCTGAATAATAGGTGGTCTTGAAATTTTTCCTCTTCTCTCTTTTCTTTATACTCTTAAATATTTTTGAGCGCACCAAAGAGCTTTTTTGTGGGAGATTATCTATCTAATCTATCTATCTATCTATCTATCTATCTATCTATCTATCTATCTACCTATCTACCTACCATCTAATTTCCTATTCAAAATTAAAATAGACTTTAAACATTAAAATATATAAGTACTCAATCCATTGCCTTCAGAGCAAAGATATCACAACACATTATGCATCCTTTGGAAAATTCAGCTGTGTACTCATGAGACAATGAGAGCGAAAAGGCAAATAACCTCTTCTTTTATTATGAAATGGTTGTTTTTTGGTTTTGTTTTTATCTCTCAGACCTTCTGGAAAGGTCCTGGGAACCTCCTGGGAGGCTTCAGTTCATACTTTGAGAAATGCTGTCATAAATAATTGAAAGATGATCACATCTTTTTTTTTTCTCTCTTTCATTGTCATAGATGATCACATCTTTAATTGTAATGTATATGCATACATTCAGCTTTGCAAAGCTCCTCCTAATAATGTAGTTTACAAAATCTGAACCAATAGGAAAGGGTGTATCAACAGAGTAATCCTTTTTTTTTTTCCTACAGTTATGGAAATTCTTGAAGCCCAATACTCCACTGGAATCTCGGATTTCTAAGCAGTGGTGTGAAATTGGTTTCCAAGGTGATGATCCTAAAACAGACTTTCGAGGAATGGGACTTCTGGGACTGTACAATTTGCAGTAAGTAAAATGAAGGACAGCTAAGTGTTCGAGTGATGTTTTGGTCTCCTCATACTGAAATGGCAAAAGTTGAGTAATTAGCTTCAAAAGGTACTTCCCATAAGACTCAAAGAAAACATTCAAGTCCCCTGAGAGGTCAGGTTCATAAAATGTTAAAAGTGTCTGCTACCTTCCTTGTATTTCAGCAAACTTCAGGGATTTTTAAAGCAAATCTCAAATATATTTAAAAAATTGTTTTATTATTGAAAATTTTCACACATATGTAAAAACAGAGAAGATTGTAAAGAACACCCTTGTATTGATCATCCAGATTCAGTAATTGTTGAGGTTTTGAAATATTCACAACATTATTTTTTTGGCAGAAGGGTGTTAATGAAAAATTCTACACCATCATTTCACCCTTCATATTTTAATATGTAGTTCTAAAAAAATATAAATATTACCTCACATTCACCACAATGCCATTATCACAGCAAACACAATTAACAATGATTCCTTGGCGTCATCTTTATCCAGTCCATATTCAAATTTCCCAGTTCTCTCTAAAATACTTTTTACGGCTGGTTTGTCCTAGTGCACTTCCATGTAAGATCTACACATTGCACTTAGTTACATTGCCCTTTGGTCTTCTTAAATTAGATCAGTCTCTCTTGCTCTCTCCCTTCCTTTTGCCCCCTCCTCCATGTCATTACCTTCAAGATTTCAGAACAGTTGTCCTGTAATATGTCCCATGGTCTGGATTTGTCTGTTTGCACTTGTATCCGTCCCCTGTATTTCCTGAAAATTGGAGGTATGCAGGCAGGCCTGAAGAGATTCAGATTGACATCACAGCGGGAGGCCTTCAGTGTCCCTCCACTCTCAGCCCTGTGCTGCAACGAATCAGAGGGATCCCAGCCTGATGCCTCCAGTGTAAAGTCCACCATCAGCCTTTCTTCCTTCTATGATCTTTACTGAACCAATTAATTAATTGTATAAAGAGTACTTTTCTATTTCTGTTATTTTTCCTATAATTGTTAGCTGGAATTTTTAAAGACTTGGTTTCCTTGTAGAGTACAGTTATTTGGTTTCTCTGAAATATAGGCAGGACAGATATTCAATTTTTGTATTTGCTTGCCAATTCTCAGAGTCAGGAGTTAGTAGCCTGGTTCCCTTGTTAGTGTCAATTTTTTTTTTTTGCTCTATTTTTAAAACACCACTTGTTAACTCCTGTGTTTTTATATGTTTATTGTAACTCAGCTAATTGTACTTGTTATTTTTTTCATGCTTTAATTCAGTCATGTGTAGTCATTATTTTTTGAGTCAAAGGGTCCTTTCAAGTTGGTTCTTGTGTCCTTTGACACTACCCTATTAGGGCAGTGATATTATTTTTAAAAGAAGTTAATTAAGCCTTACTCAGTCATTTTGGTGGCATCCCAATTTTCCCATAGATCTTTCCCTTTATTTTAAATTTAAGAAGTTTAATAATCACCCATTCTTTTATGAAACATTTTAATGTAATATTAATGAATGGAAAGTAAATATTAATGAGAAAGACAATGTCACAGATAAGTGGATAAAGTCTGAGCTTTCAAATAACTGGGACAATTGGCCTTCCATTGAGAAAAATAAATTAAATCATTACCTCACCTCAGTTCACAAGTTGAAAGTCCAAAACAAGTCTTTCCTACATTTAGAAGAAAATCAAGATATCTGAGTAAGGAGAGATCTCTTAAAGACACGAGCAAAAAAAGCATCAACTGGAAAAGAAGAATCAATAAATTTCACACATTAAAATTGAAAACTTCAGTAAGATAAGCCCCATAAACAAAGTAAAACGAGATAAGACTGACACATAAATGATAAAGGATCTATGTTCAGTATATTATTCTCTATAAGGTTATTTGTCTTTTTTATTTGAGGACATTTTTAGACGCACTGAGCCAAAAAATATGAACAGACGAGACATAAAAGAGGAAACCCAGATAACTGACAAAAGTATGAAAAGAAACTCAGTCTCACTAACAACTGTGAATATGTGCATTACAATTGCTGACTTGGGTTTGAAATTTCCTGAGAGGAAATTCAAGAACTTCTTTTACCCTTTGGATTGATGCGGGAAATATACACACATCACATTAAATAATATATGCTATTGTTTTATCATTGTCTCTATGAAGTACTTTTTAATGAATCATGTTTGAGGGTGTGCAACTTTTTGTGTTTATTAGGAAACTTAACTACTTTTTCCCCTTAGAATAAAATGTTATTGTTTTTAACATATCTATGCTCAGTAAGATATTTTCCATTCATCCAGAATTCAAATTCCCAATGAATATTTGAAACATATCCTCTCTCATCTCCTCCAGTCTTTTCTTTCTTTCATCATGTCCCTCACCGAGGCTTCTGCCTTCTGAAGGCCTCCAAACACCAAACTATTCGACCTCCTCTTCTATAACCCCTCTTCATAATAAAATCCTTGGTTCTCTGGGTAATGGCAAAGCTCTTAATTAAATTTTCAAAATCTACTGGATACATTCCTAAATCTATGTGTGTTTCACAGCTACCCTACCATGTCATTACATTTGGAAAATTCTGTTGTGAAAAGCTGTTTGTTCCCTGGAGGAGCTGAAACAAGTGATAACCTTATGCCAGTATCCATCTCTGGATTCAAAATGACCTCGAATTGGATTAAAATGAATATATTCAGCGAGTAAGCAAGTATAGAGTTACGGTTTTCTTTCCCTCCCGCTGCAGGTATTTCGCGGAAAGGGATGCCACAGCAGCTCAGCAGGTCCTGTCTGACTCTCTTCATCCGAAATGCAGGTAATTGTTGAAAGTAAAAGATGAATTAGGTTTTATGGGTTAGATCAAATGAACTTCATCTCCTACATGTATCTGTTGATGAGATTCTCAGGAGAGTGAGGCTCAAAGCTTTTTCAAACAAGCCCTTGTAATAAATGCTGAGTTGGAGGGTTAAAACTTCAGGTACTCATTCCAAGATTTAGGATGTAAAGTGGCACCGTTCAGGTGAGATATGTATTTAAAGGGACTGATAGAGTCACCAGTGTCCAGGAAGACTGAGGAGGTGGGCATGGAAGAAGGGCAGGGTCTGGGGGAAAGAGTCCAGAGACAAGAAAGATGATGGGGGAACAGAAGGAAGAATGGAAGTTAAGAAGTCAGGGACCAAGTGAGAACATCTGGAATTACTAAGGCTTTTTTTTTCTTTCTTTCTTGTAAAATTCTAGATTCTAAATTGTTTGCATTTTCATTTACTTTTCTAATTTTTTTCTTTGATTACATGAAGGGATATCACTAAAGAAGAAATAAGGTATTTTTTCTTTGTTTTTGTGTTTTATTGCTTTTATTTTGTCTTAGAATAAGTATGGGTAAGAATTTTTTTAAGGAACTCTGAATTTATTTGTTTCAAAAAGCCAACATTTTCAAACCTTTAATCTAATATAGTTAATTATAGCTGGGCTATGTTTTAACAAACTGAAAACCAGATGAGATTGACCACTTGGAAAATGTCAAACAGTCTTTCTACAGCCATGACGGAACCTGGTTGGAGAAACATTTTGAACACTCACCTAAAGGCTGAACACCTCACCACACCTGTTCTGACTCCATTTACCCCAGAGAGGGGCATTTTATTTGGGAATTCTGTTGCACAGAACAACTTTGCTCCTCTATTAATATATCTAATTTGATTGTTATAAATGATAGTTTTGTGTGTGTGTGTTAGTCACTCTTCTTAGAAGGAGTTCCATTATTTTGCAATCATAGTTTTATATCACTTTTTTCTCCTCGCATGATGGTAGGTTAGTTGTTAGTACTCATGTTTGCTAAGTAAATCCAAAATTTTATCAAAACCATCTCAAGATTCAGGGATAGGTTGAGTTGGGCTTTTTTTCCCCCTCCACCTTACTATTTTACTCATTCTAGCTTCATTTGGCTAAGATTCATTAAGTCATATTACACTTCCCAAATTTACATTTGTAATATTTTATACGATTAAAAATTCATTCCTTTAAGAAAAACACTACAATCATTTAGCTCTTTCTTGTTATATGGTTAAAATCAAGCGATATTAATTTTGTAACTACATCTTCTGAATTGCATATTTCTGTAATGTAGAGACTCTAAACTCCCTCTAGTTAAAATTGGCTGGGGAGTCAATCCATGCTCTCAGGTGGCATATCCTAGAGGAACATCAGTCAGAAGACACGAGTCCTCCGCAGTCCTTGGAAAGTGACAATAAGCTCGCAATATTTCTGATTAACCACTGGAGGGGGACTGACTTTGTCTATGAGTCATTCTTAAAGAAAAGCTTCATAGTTGTATCTCCTGTGTCAGCCATCCAAGAGAAAGTATTTTGAGGTTTGGGGTGACTACTCTTACTTAAAAAGAGACTAGCATTTGTGTGTGCATGCATATATGTGTAGTCATGTATATAAAATTACCACGCTTTATCCCTCAAACTACAATAAAATTGAATCAATAAAGTTCATGTATTAATTACTTCAAACTGATGGTAAATGTCATTGGATACAGAACAGAATGTTTCAAAATGCTACTGTCCTTCACTGATGTCTGATAAAAGTATATATGGATTGATTATGATATCAACGTAGGTTCTGTCAAGCCCTGAATATTTCAGGTGTTCAAGAGAGAAAAGTCAGTGTGTACTAAGGAAAGCTCTTTCCTGTCTATCCTTCAGCAAGCATGACACATTACTGCTCTTGTAAACATCCATTGGTTGAGTATTAAAGTAACTTGAGGGATAAAAGTGGATTCAAGTTAAAGAAGAAAATTTTGACTATTAGTTTGTGTGTGTGTTTGTTTTCTCCCGACAAGGGGAATGCCATCTGTTTGGGCCAGGATATCCTATAAGTATCAAATAAGTAGAGATCATTTGGCCTTTTCTTATATTTCCAATGCAGATAGAGAAATGATTTAATAAATATGGAGACACTGTGTATTTATAAAGCTATGCTGAAGAGAAAATAGGTGCTTATAAATTCTTATATATAAAATTTCTTAAATTGCACACATACCTTATTTTAGTTTGGATATGAATCTTTAAGGTAAAAAAATCTCCTGATCTCCTGATTCCTCTTCAGCTGTTTGGTTTGTTAGCCAGAAGTTACACTTTAAAAATAGGTGGCACGTTTTAATATGAATTAAAAACAGTTATTTTGAATTATAGCCATTTATAGAATAGAAAGTACACATTGTTAAATATCAATTCTGTGTAATGTTTTTGTGGTTGTGTGTTGTGTGTATTATATGCATGTCTTGTAATAAAATCTTTGCTGTGTGTTCTGGAGAACTCTCCTTTCTTCTAGTTAGATAGAGAGAAATTAAATATTCATAATAACTAGTTTTTACATTGTATTGAGTTCAAATGCAAACTACAGTTTATACAATTTATACAAATTTTATATATAGGAATTTATAAGTGCCCATTTTCTCTTCAGCAAAGCTTTATAAATGAATGGTGCCTCCTTATTTGTTAAATTACATCTCTATCTGCATTGGAAGTATAAGAAAAGGCCATATGACCTTAGTGTAAAATACTGAATAAAGGTTACATCAGTCACAGGGAAGAATGGAACATGAGTCCTGCCTCCTTCTATTGGCTGTATGGCAGGGAATGGGAGTGGGGCAGATGCACACAGAGTAATAGAATGTAGGGCACAGTGAGCTGAGATTGCACCACCACACTCCAGCCTGAATGACAGAGCGAGGCCAAGAAAGAGAGAGAGAGAGAGAGAGAGAGAAAGCATTTTCAGAATGCTTCTATGATAGAAATCTTTTTTCAAACAGTCTTATTCAGAAGCTGAAATTACAAAACAAAGATGAAAATGGAGCTGCTGTGGCTTACTGACTTAGCTTAGCCCAAAGAAATACCATAGCACTTATTGGGACAGAGTTTTTAAAACCTGTAAATGCTCCCTCCCTCCCTCCCTTCCTCTCTTCCTCCCTAGCTTCCTTTTTTTCTTCATTCCTTGCTTCCCCCCCTCCCCGCCTCTCCTCCCTCTCCTCCTTTCCTTACCTTCCTTACTTCCCTCCCTCCTTCCTTTCTTCTTTTCTTTCTTTTACTAACTCAATCATTTACTTATCGATGAACATTTATTTGGCATCTACAATGTACCAGGCATCACAAATAATATAATAATATTATTTATTATATTATTATAGTATGGTGAATAGGATAAACACCACTAGGTAAAACCAAACAAAATGCAGTAGGGAATCAGGAGAGAGTGAGGCGACATCTAGTTACCTCACTAAATGTTTCAGGAAGGAGGGGTTTGATCATTAATGATAGTGCAAAAGAATAGCTTAATGTTTGGCCTTTAGGGCTGTCTCCCATGGCTATACTAAAGTGGATAGGAGGTAAATAGCATGGCCTTAAATAATTCCATTTCTGACCTCCATATAAATTGTACTGTGGCTTAACATTTGTTGGATAATTGAGCTACAGACATCTCTGCATATAGTTAACAGTTTTAACATAAGCATTAAAAGAGAACAAGTACCAATTAGAGGTTAAATCTGACTTACTTACTTATTCATTCATCCATTCAGCAAATTCAGCAAAGCAGAATGGGAGAAGAAAAGGATGGATAAGGCAATTGGGTGAGTATGGGATCTCACATGGAAAGATGGTCCGTCTGAAACAGAACCAGAACTAGAACTAGAGTATCATGAAAGACAAGGGTGAAACTCTACTTGTCCTAATAGAAATATACAATCTGGTTAAAATGTTTAAAGTACCCTTCTATATGTTTGTGGATTTATCTGTATGGTTATATGATATTACTTTGCCTATGAACAACTGACAAGGTAGAAAGTTGTAATTATAAGGAAATGATTTTCAGAAATCACTTAGAATTGTGTTTGGGGCCGGGCGCGGTGGCTCACGCCTGTAATCCCAGCACTTTGGGAGGCCGAGGCGGGCGGATCACGAGGTCAGGAGATCGAGACCATCCTGGCTAACACGGTGAAACCCCGTCTCTACTAAAAATACAAAAAATTAGCCGGGCGTGTTGGCGGGCGCCTGTAGTCCCAGCTACTCGGGAGGCTGAGGCAGGAGAATGGTGTGAACCTGGGAGGCGGAGCTTGCAGTGAGTGGAGATGGCGCCACTGCACTCCAGCCTGGGCGACAAAGCGAGACTCCGTCTCAAAAAAAAAAAAAAAAAAAGAATTGTGTTTGGTAGTTTTCTTTTAAGGATTTTACCAAATATTGGGCTATTTGATAAAAATTTATTTTAGTTTTTTTATAATGCCCCATATTATCCAAAAATATTTCTGAATAGAGAATTTTTTTTCTGTGCTGGATTTATATTAGCAGAGAGGATTTAAGAACTCAGGTTCCGTTAATTTTTGGTAAACATGTAAATAAGGAACTAGAAAATATACACTGTGTTAAGATCCTTATTTACATTTTTCTCATCATAAAAGTAATTACAATTTATTATAGAAAAGTAAACAAAAAATCACCCAATCTTATTACTCTAGCATGCTCATGTTAATATTTTGTGGCATCTTATTTTAGTTTCTTTCCTTGCACATCTGTGTATATAATAAAATGGCTTGCTCTATCCATAATGTTTTATATCCTGCTGAAATCGTCTTTAAGAAGATAGTTTTAATCAGGTGTAGTATATTATATGAGATTACCATAATTTATTTTGCTGTCTGTCTTCTTTAGGATATTTGAATAGTTTCCATGTCATTGCCATTATTAAAAATGCTATAATGAATTATATCTATAAAGCTTTGTCCACTTCGGATTTTTTTTCTGTCATATATTTGGAAATAGAAAGGTCAAAGTATATGAACTACCAATTCTCGTGATACTCATTACTGAAATTTTCTGCTAAATTACAAAAGTCAAGGTTTTGATAGGGTGGGGACGGAAGGGTGACCTGCCACTCTGATAATTTAATAGTAAGTTAAATATCAGATTACCCATTATTGAAATGCCTTTTTTTTTTTTTTTGTAAAGTGAAAGCACGTTTACTAAGAAAGCAAAAGAATAAAACAAAAGAATGGCTACTCCGTGGGTAGAGCAGCCCCAAGGGCTGCTGGTTGGCTATTTTTATGGTTATTTCTTGATTATTTGCTGAACAAGGGGTAGAATATTCATGAGTTTTCTGGGAAAGGGGTGGGCAATTCCCAGAACTGAGGGTTCTTCCCCTTTTAGACCATAAAGTGACTTCCTGACATTACCATGGCATTTGTACACTGTCGTGGCACTGGTAGGAGTGTCTTTTAGCATGCTAATGGGAAATACTTATTTCTTCTATGTGACACACAGTTGGTTTTGTGGTTTATACTTTATAGGTACTCATTTGCAATTGTGGGCATCAATATAACTGACCTGGCATATAATCTACTGGTCAGCGGAGCTCTAAAAACCCATTTCTACAATATCGCCCCAGAAGCTCCAACATTGTCTCACTTTCAGCAAACATTCTGTAAGTATCCTGTTGTATAATTATCAATATAGGTTTCTACGCTGGGCACGGTGGCTCACCCCTGTAATCCCAGCACTTTGGGAGGCCAAGGCGAGTGGATTGCCTGAGCTCAGGAGTTCAAGACCAGCTTGGCCAGCATGGTGAAACCCCATCTGTACTAAAAATACAAAAATTAGCCAGGCATGGTGATGCGCACCTGTAATCCCAGCTACTTGGGAGGCTGAGGCAGGATAATTACTTGAACCCAGCAGATGGAGGTTGCAGTGAGCCGAGATCATGCCACTGCACTCCAGCCTGGACAACAGAGTGAGACTCCATCTCAAAAAAAATGATATATATGTATATTATATATATTATATATATAAAAATACATGATATATATAAAAATATATATTATATGTATTTTATATATATAATATAGAGAGAGAGAGAAAGAGAAAGAGAGAGATTTCTGTAGAACACTCCAGACAAGGGTCAAAGCTGAGAGATCTTTGTGATTTGGCTGCTTTGGAGCCTTTGAACTTCCTCTTTTGGTTCTGATTTTTTTGTTTTCTCATTCAAAAATCTACACTTATATTTTCAGGCATGGTAAATTCTTCTCTTTCCTGCTCTTGCATAATCTTCAGTGTATCCCCTTCTGGTCTGACTCAAAGACATCATGGGTGTTTCTCTCCCTCTGATCCTCATGGCATAGCACTTAAGAGTGCAAGTTCCGAAGATAGCCTGAGTTAATTCTCAGATCTATGTTTTAGCAGAAATGAAATCTCCAAGAAGGATTAGAAGATTAAGTTGAAACTCTCCTAGAAAGTAGAACAAAAAGGCATAGATGAAAAATAGAAAATAAAAAAGGTTGTCAAATTAACGGATCACTCTGTGAAGTCTTATATTTGAATAATAGAAGTGCCAGAAAAATAGTGGTGAAAACTAAGGAAGGGGAATCAAAGAAATAAATTAAGAAAAATTTTCAGAACTGAAGTATGAGTTTTCATACCCAAAGTAATAAGCACCTACATAATAGATTAATGTATACCCACACCAAGGTTCTAATCATTGTGAAATTTAATGATACTGGAAAGAGATGACCCCGAAAACTTCCAAAGCTGTCACAATGAATTGGGAATCAAGATGACATTGGACTTCTCAACAGCAACGTTGTATTCTAAAAAATAGAATATTGGCTTCAAAAGTTAAGAGAGACTGGGCACTGCACATCACACCTGTAATCCCAGCAGTTTGGGAGGCTGAGGCGGGAAGATTACTTGAGCCCAGGAGTTTGAGACCAGCCCAGGCAACATAGCGAGACCCTGACTCTACAAAAAATAAAACATTAGCCAGCTGTAGTCCCAGCCACTCAAGAGGCTGAGGTGAGAAGATCGCTTGAGCCCAAGGAGGCCAAGGCTGCTATGAGCTATGATTGTGCCACTGTACTCCAGCCTGGGTGACAGAGCAAGACCCCATCTCAATCAATCAATCAGTCAATCAAAGTTAAGAGAATATCTTTTAAAACTAAGGGAATATGATTTCCAGTTTAGAATTTTACACCCAGTATAACTTACTACCTTACCAATCAAGTATGGGAATAGAATAAAGACAGTTTCTTAATGCAAGGTCGTAAACATTTTACTTCTCTGTACCTTTATCAGGAAGCTTATTTCCACAAAATAAGAGAGTAATCCTAAAGGAATAAATGGGGTCTAGAAAATAGGAAATCTATCCCAGGAGAACAGTGAAGGGAAAGCCCAAAATATCTGTGCAATTGGCTGCAAATAATAAATTTAGATTCTAGAAGGTCAGAAGGCCGTGAGAGAGACTCTTTGAAGAACATGAAATTGACAGAATATTACCATGTTTGAACACATTGAGAAGACATTGGCATATATAGAAGACAGTTTAGGCTTAAATTAAGTGGGAAGCCAGGCAAATAAACAAAAGAAGGCAGTTATTAATACAAAGTAAAGAAAAGGGTGAGAAAATAAGTGACTATGTGGCTGGGGTGAGTGAGCGGGAGCTAAATCTTTATCTCCTATAGAGAAAAAAATTTTTTAATCAAGTAATGGAAAGCATGTTGATTAGAGCTATGAAGATCAATAACCAAAATAATCAGCTAAAAGAATTGAAATGTTGCTTTAGGAAAGCAGGAATTAGGGCAGGAGACTGCTTTTTTTTGTTTTGGGGGTTTTTTTGGTTTTTCGTTTTTGTAACAAGACTTGTTAAACTATTTGATTCTGAACAATGTGCATGTATAACTTAGATAAAAATGAAAAGTAAATTATAAACACATATACTTTACAACTTGTTAATGGAAAATGTAAGTCCCTTACATACATTATCACAGCTCCTGCTTTGATAATTGGATGATTATATTCACTCCTATAAAAATTCTGAGCATCTCCAACAAATATGATTGAGATTTTACTATAGATTAGGTTCTATGCTGAGGAAGACAGGCATTTAAACAAATACTTAAAATGTAGTGGGTCCAGCATTATCTTAAGGGAAACAAAAAAGTCTTTAAAAAAATAAAATGTAGTGGGAAGAATTTAGTGATTGAGGAAGTAAAGGTACTGCTTCTAAAAATTGGAAAAGTTGCCGGCACAGTGGCTCACACCTGTAATCCCAGCACTTTGGGAGGCCAAGAAGGGCAGATCACTTGAGGTCAGGAGTTCAAGACCAGCCTGATCAAAAGGGTGAAACCCTGTCTCTATGAAAAATACAAAAATTAGCCAGGTGTGATGGCGCACGCCTGTAAGCCCAGCTACTCGGGAGGCTGAGGCATGAGAATCTCTTGAAACCAGGAGGTGGAGGTTGTAGTGAGCCGAGATTGTGCCACTGCACTCCAGCCTGGGCGACAGAGTGAGACTGCATCTCATAAATAAATAAATATTGAAAAAGTCTGTGGCTGCCTTAGCTCACTCAGCCTGGAAGTCAGGGAAGTTTCTCCAAAGCAAATGCCACTTTTGAAGAGACCAAAAGAATGAGTGGCAGGAAATAAGGCAATGGTGGCTGAGTGGTCCGGTGAAGGCCATAAAGCAAAAGAGTATGTGGATTTAAGAAATAGAGCATAGGGTTTGCCGGGTGGTGACTAGAGATGGCACTGGAAGCCTAAGAGCAGGTTGGAGGGCAGTCCTGAAGAGCTCTGTAAGCCACGTCAAACAGCATCAACATCCAGATAAAGAAAGCCTCTTGCCGTGTTTCCCTGGCCCCTTATACTTGCCCTGTTCTGTATTTACCATGCTCATTAGAGAAATCAGGGAAGTAGTTTTGAGGGAAGGTAGAGTGAGTTTAGTTTTAGGCATACTGAGGGTGAGCTGTTCTTGGGAAATCCATATGGAGCTGCAGAGTGGGCATTCTCATAATGTAGGGCTCTGGAGTGCTGAAGGATTAGAAAGGCTCTAGCTACAGATTTGTGGTTCATCAGCACCTGGGAGAATATCAGAGCCACACAGTGGGGGAGCACTCCCAGGAAAGAGTCAAAGTTAGAATCATAAAGAATTGGCATTTAAGGGCAGGTTTCACTGCTGTATCCTCAGCACAAAGCCTGGTACAGGGTAAAGGTGCTCAGTAACTAGAGGGGGGTTGGGTGGGTGGGTGGGTGGGTGGATGGATGGATGGATGGATGGATGGATGGATGGATGGATGGATGGCTAAAATACTGGCTGATGTTTTTTGCAGGAGAAAGGAGAGTCTAGTTTCTGTGGGAAATTTTCTCCTTAGGCCAGGCGCGGTGGCTCACACCTGTAATCCCAGCACTTTGGGAGGCTGAGGCAGGACCATCACTTGAGCCCAGGAGTTTGAGACCAACCTGGGTAACATGGTGAAACTCCATCTCTACAAAAGAAAAAAGTATTAGTCTTGGCCTGGATTGATACGCTTCCAAGAGAATCCTAGCCCAGATGAGCAAGTATGCAATAGGATTACATATTTCCGAAGGCCCTCATCAGGTTTTGGAAGCAGCAGCAATCCCCCTATGGATTGTGGTGTATGTAGGCAGAGGGGCTCAGGCCTCTCTAAGGGAAACAAACTGTGCCCTAGATTCATTGTTCCTCAATCAGACATGATCAGTTCTGCACGTCTCCTGTGTAATATTCTTGCAATTACCTGTGTCCTTGCATATGTCTCTGCTCTCTACTAACCAAATGCAGTGAAGCAAAACCAAGACATTCAAGCAGCAACAAATATGCTGCAGGCTGGAGTCAGAGAGCCAAATTAGTATTCAAAACAAGTATTCCATCTAGGTAGAAGAATAGAAGAATATAATAGCTCCATCCTTCTGACGTTACAGTATTATTCGGTGAACACTGAGCTGCCAAGGTACTATGTTACAAAAATTGCATTCAGTCTAAAGCTCCACTGAACACACAGCCCCATTGAAATGGAGTGAGGTTAGGTGTAATGAGCAGAAGGGAAAGTACAAACGCCAGAAGGGGAAAAGCAAACTATTTTTTTCTTTGACCTCCAAAAGAAGGAACTATTCCATAGGAATAAGAACCAGAGGAACAGAATGTACTGGAAAAGGCAGCCTATTGCCGTGGTGAAAAGTCAGCTGGTTTCAGGCCCTCGTTTCCAGCTTCCAGCTGTACCTGTTATTGTAGACCATTCAAGGAACTCATCTAAGCCCAATATCTGCATCTGAAAGATGGAGATGTAATATCTGTGTTACCTACTCCACAAAGCTGTTGTAAGAATGCAATGAGATGGTGGAAAATAGCCTGGCCTCTGTTTTCTCCCTCTCCTTTCCATGCCACTTTGTTAGCTTCCATAGCGAACAAATCATCAGCTGCAATTATACTCCTGTTTGCCTCTCTCCAATAGACCCAGCATTAGGGAGCACAGGAAGTCTGCCTTTTTCTTCATCTGCAATACCTAGTACTGTGTCTGTTTCATATTTGTTCATCGGCAGATGAGTTAACTGACAGATCAGACCAAATGAATTTTTGAACACTGTAATTTATATAAGTGAGTGGAGCTTTATGATTATAATATGCACCTTGGAAGCCAGACCACCATTTCTGCATTTTGATTAAGATCATGTTACACAGTCTTTACTTATTTTCCTGATGGGATAGAGAAAGAGAGTCCCAGGGAATCAGTCTTCAATCTTCGGAGGAAGAATCCTGAGCATGGCGTCAGATTGTGAGCCAGCCCCTCCTCTACCCTTACCCAAGCCCTTTAAACCTTTCAAGATGTTTTTCTATAATTGTGTGTAAGGTAGGAAAATGGGGAAACCAAATGAATCCACATTCTTCTGTAACCGTGCCACACTACATCACCTTTAGAGTGAGTTGCCAATATTCCAGCACATTGTAGAAAGGTGAACATTTATGTATATTGCAGAAAAATGAATTCTTCATTAAAAGATGATTTTTCATATTGCCTGTTTATCATTGTCAACAGGAGAAAAGATGCTGTCACTCATGAAATACTAATGAGATGCATTATCGATTATTTTAATTCATAGTATTGGAAACCTGACTCTATGTACAAAATAGATGTGTTTATTTGAGCTCAGAGACCAGTCAGGAAAATTTATGTATGTATTTTATATAGTAAGGAAAGAAGGATTTATAAATTATCATAGATTTATTTTAGAACCATAAAAATTATATTTAGGAGGAAGCCAAGGAAACTTTCTTTTTAAAAAGAGAATCTTCTTGACCAAAGTTCTCAACTTTAGTGACACAAGTTTCATCTTATTGAATTGCAAGTCTGGTTAAATCTGGGAGGATCTGCATTTTTTAACAAGTACCGCAGATCATTCTTGGAATATTTTAGAAGTTTGCCCAGTCACTGAAATGGACAGGTGATTGAATTCTTTTGGTTGGTTGAATAAGATACTGAGATCAGAGGAAACAAGTTTCTGTTGATGTGCACATTTTTCCATACATAGCTAGTATGACAACCAGATGACAAACAGTCTCCAAATCATGGCATATGAGAAATGATGAGGAGAAGCAGTGAAAGAGAAAAGCTCAGGGCATAAAGCACACTTCAAACACTTGAGTTGGGGAAGGATTGAAGTTGTTCTGTGAAATACAGGGCAACAGATTTAGGCCCAGAATGAGGAAGAACCTTTATTTGTTTGTTTGTTTTTTAGAGACAGAGTCTCTCTCTCTCTTGCTCAGGCTGGAGTGCAGTGGCACCATCCTAGCTCACTGAAGCCTCAAACTCCTGGGCTCAAGTGATCCTCCTGCCTCAGCCTCCCAAGTAGCTGGGACTACAGGTGCAAGCCACCATAGCTAGCTTATTCTAAAAAGTTTTTTGTGGGCAGGCACAGTGGCTCACGCCTGTAATCCCAGCATTTTGGGAGGCTGAGGCGGGCGGATCACTTGAGGTTGGGAGTTCGAGACCAGCCTGACCAACATGGAGAAACCCTGTCTCTACTAAAAATACAAAATCAGCCAGGCGTGGTGGCGCATGCCTGTAATCCCAGCTACTCAGGAGGCTGAGGCAGGAGAATCGCTTGAACCCGGGAGGCAGAGGTTGTGGTGAGCCAAGATCGTGCCATTGCACTCCAGCCTGGGCAACAAGAGCGAAACTCTGTCTCAAAAAAAAAACAACAAAAAAAAACTTTTTGTAAGCCAGGCGTGGTGGCTCACACCTGTAATCCCAGCACTTTGGGTGGCCGAGGCAGGTGGATCACTTGGGGTTAGGATTTCAAGACCAACCTGGCCAACATGGTGAAACCCCATCTCTACCAAAAATACAAAAATGAGCCAGGCATGGTGGCACACGCTCGAATTGCTTGAACCTGGGAGGTGGAGGCTGCAGTGAGCTGAGATTCGCCACTGTGCTCCAGCCTGGGCAACAGAGCGAGACCCTGTCTCAAAAAAAATTTTTTTTTTTGTAGAAACGGGGTCTTCCTGTGTTGCCCAGGCTGGCCTCAAACCCCTGGCCTCAAGTGATCCTCCTGCCTTGGCTTTCTAAAGTGTTGAGATTACAGGTGTGAGCCACAGTGCCTGGCAAGAAACAAGCTTTTAAGAATCAGGTTCCTCATCCAAGGAACAAACCGTCAGTGTTGTCACCAGAGAAGTTCAAGCCTGAATGCTGCCTCCGGGAATCCAAGCATCAGATGAAGAGAGACAGAGGAGATGGCTTCTGGGGTGACTGATACTTCCCGATTTGGGCCTTTTCTGATGTGTTCAGGTTCCCATGACAGTGATAGTGGGGCCCTGGCTTGTGTAACCTCAAGGCCAGTAGGGTGATGGTTGGTGTGTACCCTCATCAGAAATGTTAAAAACAGTCAATTCTAGTGTGTGAAGGGCCCAAAGGCAGGCTAGTCCTAAAAGAAATGGCATAAGCCAGGCACAGTGGCATGTGCCTGTAGTCCCAGCTATTTGGGTGGCTGAGGCAGCAGGATCACATGAGGCCAGGAGTTCAAGGACAGCCTGAGCAACATTGCAAGATCTTTCCTCTAAAAAATTAATAAACTTAAAAAAAAAAAAGAAATGGAACAGTCAACCCAACCCTCCTTCTCCTATATTTACAGAGAGACCACATACTTAAACAAATATAAGCATGCTTAACAATGCAATGAGACAAGTAACCAGAGGGAAGGGTCTGTGGAAGTGGACCAGCAGCCGGCCATGTGTGTTGGGGGCAGTGAAGGTCACTCCTAATTTTGTATTAAAATAAAATATGAGTAAAGATTTTTAAAAATGTATGAAATTATGTTGAGCATTTTTCCATACATAGCTAGTTACTAGAAAAACAAAAAGTATTGATTTTTTTGTACTATTAGAATTAAGTGTGTTTATTCCAAATTCTCTTCTCATCCTCCCCTTCCCCATTTTCATTTATGCATGCAGGTGGAAAAGCAAGGATTCAAACCAGGTTTCTGGCTCCAGAATCCTGTCTTCTATTTTCTACCTCCTTCTAATGTTAAGACAAAGAAAATTTTGCATAATCTTTGTTTTTCTTTTGTCTTCTTTTTCTCTTTTTGAGACAGGTATCACTCTGTCACCGAGGCTGGAGTGCAGTGGCGCAATCACAGCTCATTGCAGCCTCGACCTCCTGAGCTCAGGTGATCCACCTCAGCCTCCCAAACAACTGGGACTACAGGCATGTGCCACCATGCCTGGCTGTTTTTCTTTTTTTAAAACTAGGATTACTTCCTTAAGTACTTTTCTTTCTAACACATAGAGACACCTGAGCTTGTAGTAGTTTACTACCTACAAGTATCTAGTATTAAAAAAAAAACACTATGCATATTTCAATACTAAATGTGGTAGATAAAAATAATTAAACAAATGTGGTAGTGGGAGGGGGCATAATGGGGAACAAAGCACAATGAATAGGTTCTTATATCAAATACTTAACATTTATTCCCCAAATTGTTTCAATCCAGATCACTCGTGGATAGCATTTTTGAGACACCAAAGGATTTGAATATGAAATTATTGCTTCAGAGCAAGGAAGTCTTATTAACAATTTCATGTGGTTTAACGACCAGTCTGTGTTGTTCAGGGTTGATTTACAATTTTTATTGTCTCATAATAGAGTGTCAGAATGCATTTGTTTGATTTGTCGGGGTAATTTAAAACTTTAGTTACATCAAATATCAAGAGAATAAAGTCCGAGTGGAGTGATTTTGAAAAGTTGGACCGTCACATTAATTTAATTAGGAGGAGAAGGATGAAGTAGTCACTGTCAGCCTTTCAGAAAATGTTCCCGATGCGATTCATACTCAAGAGATGGCAGAACTGATTTGTCTTCCTGCTTGGGAAGAGTGAGAATGATTCCAGGGCCAATTGCAAAAAGCTTGCAGATTGGTAGGCTTCAACTGCACTGATTTTAAAGAATAATCTTAAACAGTGGTATTTTCTAGATTTTGAGGTCTTCTTTGAGCTCCACGGTTGCTGTGGCTTGGTTCAGCATCTTCCTCAGCATTCAGAATGATTTTGAATGTGATTAAGGATTTTTTTTTCTCCTGCATTCTTATCATTGTATTGTCTCCAACAGGCTATTTGATGCATGAATTTCATAAGTTTTGGATCGAAGAGGACCCCATGGACATAATGGAATTTAATCGTGTGAGGGAGAAATTCCGCAAGAGGATCATCAAACAGCTGCAGAACCCAGACATGGCGCTGTGCCCACATTTTGCTGCCTCGGAAGGTTTAATCAACATGTAGTTGCCCACGCCGGTTTTAATGGATACCCTGGAACACTGCCTCATTGTCTTGTTAGATCTCTGCTTAGGTCGCAGCTCACGCATTGAATGCACACAGTGATTGTATGCATGCCTTTTGGTACAGTGTTTTCATCTCTTGGTCATAATTCCGAGATCCCCAGAGACCACTGTTTCTGGAGTATCTGTCATCCAGTGACTGCTCATATTGTGGCATTATGCAGTGTTACATCTTGCCTTGATACCCAGGTATGGAGAGAGTTTTCTATTTTTTTAGACTTTTTTTCCTCTCCCTCATAATTCAGCATTAAAGAATTGTATTTCTCTAGCTGTATTTTGTATGTAAGAGGTTTAGCTGAATCTCATTCTGTGAAAGCCTTTTAATTTATTGAAATGTTTCATGACTACTGCTGCTAGCTCTTCAAGCCAGGTTCATGCTTGGACCTCATTCTGATAAAGTATAAGACTTTAAAATAATACAAAACAGGGCCGGGCGCAGTGGCTCACACCTGTAATCCCAGCACTTTGGGGAGCTGAGGCGGGCGGATCACGAGGTCAAGAGATCGAGACCATCCTGGCCAACATGGTGAAACCCCGTCTCTACTAAAAATAACAAAAATTAGCTGGGCGTGGTGGTGGGTGCCTGTAATCCCAGCTACTCGGGAGGCTGAGGCAGGAGAATCGCTTGAACCCGGGAGGTGGAGGTTACAGTGAGCCGAGATCATACCACTGCACTCCAGCCTGGCGACAGAGCAAGACTCCATCTCAAAAATAAATAAATAAATAAATAAATAAATAAATAAATAAATAAATAAATAAATAAAATAGTACAGACAGACACATGATAAGCCAAACTGTTCCTGCAAACATAGCTATGCTTCATGAGGCTTACAAGAAGTAACTTTAGGTAGGAGCTGTTTTTGTTTGAAGTACTGCAAAATTATATTGTAACTTCCCCTCACCCCAGTTGCAATTGTGTCATAGTCATCTGTATATCAAACTATTTTATTCCCATAACTTCATTGGCTTGGATGCCTAAGTGTATGATGCTTGAAGCCTCAGAAAAGAAATAAGCATATTTCAAAAGCTGCAAAAGGTTTTTCACTGCCTGCCTCTTGCGGAACTGGGTTACACCCTGGCACTGTTCTGATCCAAGCATATTTGCTTGGGGAACTAAGTGCTGACTAGTTTGTTTTCTATGTCAAGGGGCAATATTAAAAAACAATTTGCAAGAAAATGTGTTTCAAGAGAGCAACCTAAGCTAAGTCACTCTGCGATATTTCTTGAAAATAACGACCTTGTCTTGTATCAGTGGAAGAAGTAAGTTGCTTAGAAAGGGAAAAGTCAAATTGTTCCAGAACTGCTAAAAATCATTTTAAAAACCATGATTTAGTTTGGAATTATGATTGTAGTCTGTTGAATAGTATTTACCATGGCATTTCATACCCATGGTATTTTATACCTTCTGACTATCAATTTTAGTATTATTAGATGTTTGTGTAACCACTTGCTTATTTAAATGAATTTTGAGTACTGCCTAATTGTCAGTTATATGAATAAATTACATGTCATTCTACTGTAACGTATATTGGATTTCATATTAATATTTTTGTGCTCGTACAGCTTCTGAATATGCAAATATGTGAGTGAATGGAATGTCAAAGACAGACAACCTGGAGCTGACTATAAATCACACCATCATTCAGAGTCAGCAGGTTCACAACTTCCTAGGAAACCTGGCTTGGCTGTTGCTAGATAAAGCAGAAACATTAACTACCCATTGTTTTCTTGGCCTTTCTCTCCCTTCTGCGTTTGTATTATCCTTTCCTTCTGCGTTTGTATTATCCTTTCCCTTTCAGCCATGTACCAGGTGGCAGCATTTTGCATTGCCTTTCTTATGGTCCTGTGTCCCTTCTTAGAATGCGGAAGGGAAAGAGTTGATTAGCACATGGTGGATACCATGAGTAATGACAAGAATGTATATTCCTCTCTCAAGTAGGGGAGAACTTGTCAACCTAGTTCCTCAGGCCTGCCTGAGGAGCCCTGAATTTCCACCGTAGCTGCAGCTGCTGTAGATGAAGGCATTATTCCACATGCAGTCCAGCCTTTGCAGCCACATGTGCTCATTGTCTCTTTTTATCCATTGTGGTCCCATGTCACTGTCACGGCTTGACAGCATGTGGCACTTACACCAGCTTGCGTCTCTTCTGTTCAGATAGAGATAGTTGACGCCAACAAAGCTAAGAGTTTCCCCTCTCAGCTCCTAGGATGCTTTCTTTCTATTGTATTTGAACATGGCTGCACAATCTTAGGATGAACAAGCTGTGACGGCTCCTTTGAGCTCTGAGTATTATTAGATTTCTCATTCACACCACTTTGTGGAAGATGCATTCCACCCAGTCACACAAAGTGAGGTGAGAAAAAGAAGAGGAGAGGTTTCAAAAGCATCAACAACATGTGGAGTGTGTGTGTGTGTGTGTGTGTGTGTTTCCCTTGAATATTTTTAGCTTATACTTTTCCATTGAATAAGGGTTGACCACATAAAATGTCAATTGTGCGGCAAGCCTCTTCCAAGTCTTCCAAAGCACTACTTGCTATGATAAAAACACATTCCTGTTTGCACTACAGAAAGAAAACCTTCTGAAGCACTGTTTCTGAAACTTGACTCTGACCTTCCTTCTCACGGTTCTTGTTATTGTACTGTGCTGAAAAACTTTTGCCTGGTAACCCACCATCTTTTCCATATTTGAAAAGAGGCTTAAATATATGCCAATCCCAAAAGACAGGGTGACCTTACAATATATCTTCCAAAACAGAACACTGTTGAGAGAGAAAGGGGATGTTGTTAATGGTTTCTTTAGAACAACAGAGTAAACTGGGACAGTTTAAGAAAACTGAGATGTTAGGTGGCCAAGAGAGACCAAGAGACAGACATAAGGATTGTCCACCCACAACTTAATTAGGCAAATATAGCCCAATTTCTTTACTTTCAAGCCTCTGGCAGGAGAAGTACATCATACAGATATAGACATTTTGATATCCAGGATACTACCCAAAATCTTAGAGACCCATCACAAGCATGGGCTTGGTTTGAGCTGAGAAATTCAGCTGCATAGATGGGGCCTAAGTTGGCAATAGGCAATCAAACTCCATGGCAACAAATTATCTTGATCCGTAAACATATGGTGCCAGATCCAAATTGAAGGGGAGTGAGGAGGGGACCAGAGTTGGTGGAATATGAGGATAGGAGATGGCAGATGATGGAGAGAAGAGGAAGGGGGCAGAGAAAAAGGAAAATATCAGCTAGACCCATAGCCACTAAGCCTTCTGACACAGACTCTATTAAAGCAATGCCTCTAACTCTTCAGGGAGCTCAACAACGGTAGCTGCTCTAATCTAGAGAAAAAAATGACAGAAAAGCAGAACCAAGTATAACATGAAGTCCTAGAAGATGAAAGAGATTCTGGTACAGATTCCATTTCAAGAGCTCACATTTACCAGGTTTTTATGCCATGTGCCAGGACGGTGCTAGTCCTTACCTTGCATTATTTCATTTCCTTAACAACACACAGGATCAGATGGGTTGTTGTTTGCCTGCGCACTTGTTTTTCTAGACAAACAGGCTTAGATAATTTAATACATTGCCAAAGGTCTCAAGAGAGAGAAGTATTAGGTTGGTGCACAAGTAATTGCGGTTTTGCCATTGAAAGTAATGGCAAAAACTGCAGTTGCTTTTGCACCAGCCTATAAATGGCATAGCTAGACTTGAACCCAAGGCCTTAACCCCAGACATTCAATCATTATGCTGCTGTCTACCTAACTGGAATCCTCTACTATCCCAGGGGACTGGTGAATTATAAACACACACAAATGCGTACACACACTCCACCCCCAAGTGATAACAGAAGTGTTCATAAATACTTCTCTCTCAGATGTCTGTAGGGTGAATTCAAATGCTGCCATACTGTCCCTCAGGACTGCCCACAGTTTTGGTCAGGTTTTTTTCCCCTTGATACTCAAAGAACAATTCTAGGACCTTAAGCTCTTTCTCCTGATCCCTGTCTCCCCCAGGAGAGGAAGGCTGCAAATCTCCTTTCTGCTCCCTTGCAGGGGAAACCTCAGCAAGGTGGGTTTGCAGGACTTGTGCGATGGCAAGCTCAGGCCGGAAGCTACACGGCATTTATCTCTGTGGAAGGAGAAACACGCAGGGCTTTGGGCATGTGCGCGCTTCATAAATAAAACATTCCTTTCGCAGCTGAGGTTCTTGTGTCTCATTGACCTGACATAGCCTTCAGAATGCTGCCACTCATAGACACTAACAGGAATTATGCTGTCCGCTAACATCACTGGAATGCTTCATGGAAACCCCACAGAGATGGTTAGGACAGGGTCAGGACATGGTTACAAAGATCAAACTCTTGACTACTTTTTTTTTTTTTTTTTAATCATAGCACTGTACGATGCTTTGGGAAAGACCACAGAAAAGAGTTTATGGGCCAGGCGTGGTGACTCATGCCTGTAATCCCAATACTTTGGGAGGCCGAGGCAGATGGATCATGAGGTCAGGAGTTCGAGACCATCCTTGCCAACATGGTGAAAACCCGTCTCTACTAAAAATACAAAAATTAGCCAGGCATGGTGGCAGGCACCTGTAGTACCAGCTACTCAGGAGGCTGAGGCAGGAGAATCGCTTGAAACTGGGAGGCAGAGGTTGCAGTGAGCTGAGATTGTGCCACTGTACTCCAGCCTAGGCAACAAGAGCAAAACTCCGTCTCAAAAAAAAAAAAAGAAAAAAAAAAGAAAAAAAAAGAGTTTATGGCCATTAGAAAAGAGTGGCAAAGAGAAGAGAAAGCTGAGATTAATCTTGAAAAACCACAGGTAAACCCCCTCTGTCATTCAAGTTCAATGGTCCCTTTGTGATTGATTGCGCCTACCCTACAAAGGCTTGGAGGATTTCCACAGCATCACAAGGCATAAGTTTTGGAATCAGCTTTACTAGGAAAATTTCTAAAGCAAGAGTCAGCAACAGAAGAAGGTTCAAGTACTTCCCATGCTCACAAGGCACACCAGGGCCTCGTGGTGTGGGTCTGAGTTCAGCTGGAGAGAGTCCTGCCCCCTGTTGTTCTTTCTTTTAGGGAAAGCCTGAAAGCAACCTTGGCCAAGGGGTGAAGATCTGATCAGACCACATTGCAGCCAGGCAGGCTGGCTTGGCTGCCAGCGGTTTGGGAGCTGAGTGGAAGCACCAGCTCCCTGCACCTGGAGGCCCTAAGGTCTGTGGGATGTTGCCCTGGGGGAGGAAATCTCTGGTTTTAAGGGAAGCTAAGCTGGGATGCAACCTCTTTGCTGGAAGAGAGAGGAGCTTTCAGTTGCAGCTGGTTTGTCAAAACAGAGCCAGCCCAGAGAGAGCTCATGAATTTTTTTTTGAGAAATCTCCTCATATTACACCCATATACTTACATTTTTGACATATTAGCTCTCCGTACCAAGTGTATAGCAATTATAGAGGAATAGGGACATCTACAGCCTCAAGCTATATGGTACTAAGAGTTATATCATCCACTTTGGGTGATGTTTTTACTCTTTTTACAGAGCACAGCAGGAAAAACTTGCAATCCAAAGACCCGTGTTCCAGTGCACATGCTGCTACCTTCTTTAGGTCAACGATTTCATCCTTCTGACTTTGCTTTTACCATCTGTAACATAAAAATAATAATGACAGCTCCTCTTCAGAGGATTACTGTAGGAGTAAAATTCAAATAAGCTAATAATTATTAGCTATAAGTGTTTGGGAAACTCCAAAGTTAAACTAGTTAAACACAGGTTTAATCATGGTTCAATTTTCATCCCTCTGGTTTTTGGCTATGAGCTTCCTCTAACAAAGAATTCAGCTACAAAATTTGTCCTTGGAGCCAGTGTTCCCCACTAATTCAATTCAGCAAATATTTATTGAAAACTTATTTTAGTCCCAGCCATCGGGCCAAGTCTGGGGACCAAACGGGAGACAAGAAAATGTGGCCTTGGTCTCAGGGACCTCACAGTCTAAATCTAGTGCCTGGCTTCTCAAAGCCCAGTCTTTGGACCACCACAATGGGCACTGTTAGAAATGAATCATCTCAGCCCCCTCCCCAGACCTACTGAATGATAATCTTCATTTTAACACTCCCCCAGGTGATATGTGTGCACATTGAGCTGAGAAGCACTTCTCTAGGGATTATTGATCTGGTTCTTCACTGAAACCTGACAAGATTTAGTCTCAGTTGTTGATGGTTTAGAAATCAATCAAACATTCCCTTTGTTTTCCCTCAATTTACGCAGTCACTATAACTTGACCCTGCTCCCACCTCTAACAAAGGACTTCGTGTTCTGTTGTCATTGCCCAGAGGTGCAAACAGGAGCTGGCATGGAGAGGAGGAGGGCCTCATCCTGGACATGGGCCTCAGAGGGTGGCCTACCCCCACCCCATGATGCATGGGACGCTTCCTACAGTAGCCAAAACTGGTCCTGCCCACATGTAGACTCCCACGGATGACCTTTCTCAGAGGGTCCTTCTTTCAAAGTGTCTGTCAGGATGGCCAATCTCCTAGATGCTGGAGAAAACAAATGAGTAGAGTCTTCACTTGTTAGCTTGTTCGTTGTTCCCTCACTAACCAGAACCACCTGGTTGCAGCTTGGTGATGGTATTTGTCCGTTCTGACTGCCGTAACAGAATTCCATAGACTCAGTGGCTTAAACAGTCTCACAGTTCTGGAGGCCGCAAGTCCCAGGTCAGTGTGCCAGCATGGTCGGGTTCTGGTGAGGGCCTTCTTCCTGGCCTGCAGATGGCCCCCTTCTCACTGTGTGCCCCATGGCCTTTCCCCTGTGCACGTGCAAAGAGAAAGGGTGAGAGAGAATCTTTTTTTTTTTAAGACAGAGTTTTGTTCTTGTTGCCAGGCTAGGGTACAATGGCGTAATCTCGGCTCACCGCAACCTCCGCCTCCCAGGTTCAAGCGATTCTCCTGCCTCAGCCTCCTGAGTAGCTGCGATTACAGGTATGCGCCACCACGCTGGCTATTTTTGTATTTTTAGTAGAGGTGGGGTTTCATCATGTTGGTCAGGCTGGTCTCAAACTCCCGACGTCAGGTGATCCACCTGCCTCGGCCTCCCAAAGTGCTGGGATTACAGGCATGAGCCACCGTACCTGGCTGAGAATCTTTCACTTCTCTTTTTGTTTTTGTTTTTTGAGACAAGTTCTCACTTTGTCACCCAGGCTGGAGTATAGTCATGCCATCAGGGCTCCCTGCAGCCTCGAATTCCTGGGTTCAAGCAATCTTCCTACCTCAGCCTCCTGAGCAGCTGGGACCACAGGCATCCACCACCACACCTCGCTAACTTTCTTTTTTCTTTTCTTTTTTACAGGTAAGGTCTCACTATGTTGCCCAGGCCAGTCTTGAACTCCTTGTCTCAAGCGATCCCCTCGCCTTAGCCTCCCAAAGTGTTGGGATTATAGGCATGAGCTACCACACCTGGCCTCTTTGACTCTTCTTATAAGGCCACCAGTTTTATTAGATTAGAGCTCTACCCTTATGATCTCATTTAACCTTAATTACCTCAAATGCCCATCTCCAAATAGAGTCACATGGAGGGTTAGAGCTTCAACATATAAAATGGTCCGGGGGGGCGGGGTGGGCACAACTGAGTCCACAGCACCAACTCTTTCTAGAAGTTATTTGAAGCCTGAGCTTTGTGCTTCCTAGAATGAACCCAGGGGCTTGAAGACACCAATACAATCAAAATAGTACAATTCTGCTGCCCAACTGTTCTAACCCTATTTTAAGAGAATACCAAAACCTTTGCAGAGCAAGGTAGAATCCATTCTTAAATAAACCAAAGAATCTCACCCATCTGAATCTTTTTGAATAATCTAGAATAAAGATGAGGAATTTAAATTAATTAAAAATACTAGCCAATTACAAGAAAGCTATTAACATGTTTCTATGAAAATGTAGGTTTGGGGGTTATGTGCATTCTTACCATAAGCCACATAGCTAATTTCCTGGCTTCAGGTCTTTTCCTTGCTTAAACTTATATTCCTGACTTATATTCCTGACCCTATTTAAATAAGAAATGAAGGCCAGGCGCGGCGGCTCATGCCTGTAATCCCAGCACTCTGGGAGGCTGAGGCGGGCAGATCACGAGGTCAAGATATCGAGACCATCCTGGCCAACGTGGTGAAACCCAGTCTCTACCAAAAATACAAAAATTAGCTGGGCGTGGTGGCAGGTGCCTTTAGTCCCAGCTACTAAGGAGGCTGGGGCAGGAGAATCGCTTGAACCCGGGAGGTGGAGGTTGCAGTGAGCTAAGATTACGCCACTGCACTACAGCCTGGCGACAGAGCGAGACTACGTCTCAAAAAAAAAAAAAAAAAAAAGAAATGAATTAACATGGATGAACATGCTATACAAATCTGAGAAGTTCTCTTTTTAAAAATTATTACTATTTCACATAAGAACACATGGATCACCTAAACAGGATCTATCTAAAATACCATTAACTAGCTATGGGTTTACTTGTTTTTATAATTAATACCTTTTAAGTACATTTATTTGGAGAACTTTTTTCCAGCTTTCAAAAGCATCTTTTATTAAACTTCTCAACATCATTCTATTTCTTTACAACATGAGGTTGTAAGAAATATATGAAGAGATTCCATCTACCCTTCACTCAGTTTCCCCCAGTGGTAACAACTTGCATAACTGTGATACAAAATTATAGCCAGGAAATTGCCATTGATACAATTTACCCACTTACTCAGATTTCATCAGTTTTACCTGTGTGTGTTTCCATGCAACTTTATCGTGTTGGTAGATTCATGAAATCATCACCACAATCAATATGTGGAACAGTTCCATCACCATAAATATGCCACCTCCCTCCCTCAACCCCCCATAAGCCCTGGCAACCACTAATCTGTTCTTCATCTCTATCATTTGATCATTTCAAGAATGTTATAAATAGAATCATACAGTTGATAACCTTTTTTTGGATTGGCTTTTTCACTCAGCATAATTCCCTTGAGATCCATCCAAGTTTTTGTGTGCATCAATAATTCACTCCTTTTTATTGCTGAGTAGTATTCCATGGAGTGAGCTTACCACAGTTTGTTTAGCAGGTTTACCCTAAGCAGTTGCCAGCTTGAATTTTCCCTTTAGCTTAGTGATTTGGGGGCCCCAAGATATTTTCCTTTCACATAGGTATATGGTGATATCTCACTGTGGTTTACATTTGGTATTTCCCTAATAACTAAAATGTTGTACATCTTTTCATGGGTTTTTTTTTTTTTTTTTTTTGCTATTTTATAACCTCTGCAGTGAAATGACTGTTCATATCTTTTGCCCATATTCTGGTTGAATCATTTGTTTAGTTTTGAGAGTTCTTTATACGTATGGGATACTAGTCTTTTGTCAGGTATGTGGCTTGCAAATATTTTTTACCAGTCTTTAGTTTGTCTTTTTATCCCCTTAATAGAGTCTTTCACAAAACAAAGATTTTAATTTTGATGAGGCCCAATTTATCAATTTTCCTCTTGTGGATCGTGACACTTTTGGTGTCAAGTCCAAGAACTCATTGCTCAGTCCTAGGCCCTGTAGATTTTCTATGATTTTTTTTCCTAAAGGTTTTTGAGTTTCATATTTTACATTTAAGTCTCTGATCCATCTTGAGTTAACTGTATATAAAGTAGAAAGTTTAGATTGAGGTTCATTTTTTTAGCCTATAGATATTTAATTGCTCCTGCGACATTTGTTGGAAAGGCTATCCTTCCTCCGTTGAATTGTTTTTACACCTTTGTCAAAAATCACTTGGATGTATTTCTGTGGGTGCGTAGTTATTTTAAAAAATCATTGAATCTCTCTGCTCTTCAGTTTCTTGTCTGGATAATAACAGTTCATTCAGAAAATTATTTATTAATCTGCTATGAGGCAGACAGTGTGCCAGGCACACTATAGCTGCCCTTAAATTGTTATCAGTCTTGGAAGTGAGTAAACATCTAATCAAATACATCAAGATGGAACAAGGGTTATGACTGATCTCAGAGAGCTCTGAGAGCACCAATCTTGGCTGAGGGTAAGGGTTAAAGATCTCCCCAGGAAGACTGTTGCTTAACCCAAGTCTTTAAAGAAGAGTAGGAATCTCCAGGTAAGCAGGGGCTGCCAGTTGTTCTCCAATATCTGATGGAACCTCCTCTCATAGTAACAGAAAATCTCAATTTTAAACTGGAGCACATGGTTCCCCAGAACAAAGACTTACATTTCCTGACTTTACTTCCAGCTAGGTATTTGACTAATTCTGATTAATAGCATGTAGGTGGGAGCGTTGTTGGAAGCTTCTAAGATTATTACATTAAAGATTTGTGGAACTGAGGCCAGGCACGGTGGCTCATGCCTGTAATCCTAGCACTTTGGGATGCCAAGGGAGATGGATCGCTTTGAGCTCAAGAGTTCAAGACCAGCCTGGGCAACATGGCAAAACCCCATTTCTACAAAAGAAAAAAAATACAAAAAGTAGCTGGGCATGGTGTCACGCACCTGTGGTCCCAGCTACTCGGGAGGCTGCCAAAGGATCACTTGAGCCAGGAAGCGGAGGTCTGCAGTGAGCCGAGATCATGCCACTGCACTCTGGCCTGGGCAACAGAGTGAGACCCTGTCTCAATAAAAAAAAATTTTTTTTTAAGATATGTGGAACTTACTCTCTGCTCCTTTGTTTCTAGGTTCTTCTTGCTGCTATAAACTGGATGTGACATTTGCCTTCTTGGACCATAAATACAAGAGCCACATCCTAGGGATGTCAGAGTGGTGAGTTGGACATAGCCTAGATCCCTGAGAACCTCAGCAGATCTACCAGCTTTGGTCTGTCCTCCTCTAGACTTGAATGTGAAAGTGAAATAAGCCATCTTGTTTAAGCTGCTAGCTTTTATTTAAATCTCTGTTATTTACAGCCTGACCTAATGTTAACTAACAGACCAGGTGCAAACACATGGACATATACATGACACATCCAGAGAACAATGTTAGCACAGAATGGCTGGAGCACGGATGTTGTTGGTACCTAACGAGAAATGAGGCAGGAGCCAGAGACAAAGGCAGAAGCCAGGTCGTGAAGGGTGTGGTATAACAGGTCTGCTTGTATTCAGGAACACAGATCCTTTCTTTGAAATCTTTCCTGGAGGAGGATTTAGGAATACCCACACATCCAGATGTGCTCTTCCACAAACGATTGAGAGAGAGTGTGTTGGCCTTGGCTTTGGTGCTATGCCAGAGCCCTGAGCAGGTTGCTGCCTTCTGCAGCTCAACCCTCCTGGCTTCTTTGCTGCTGCAGCAGCTGACACTGCAGCTGTGGGTCATGCAGATGTTATGACAAATCATTCAGAGTCCCCCTGGTCCCTAGGTCCCTGCAGCAATAGCCTCACCAAAAATACCTAAAAAACAGTGTCTTCAGGCTCGCACAAACTCCTCCATTAGGGGGAACCCAAGCCCAGATGGGATTTTAGACACAATTCCACACGCTCCATCCCTCTCCTGGGGCCAAAGCACAAAACTCCTTCCTTCAGCTTCAGAATTCCCAAACACACACACATGCATACACACACACGCATGCACACCCATATAGATTCACGCAAATATGCATATATATACACACGTATATGAGGCAGCCCTGTGACTATCGCAGAGGCCTGATGTGGTCACATTTGCATCTAAGAAATTCTGTCTGCCTGCCTCTTGAAGAATGGTTGGAAGGAAGCAGAAAAAGAAACAAATAGAACTGTGGTTGCCCAGGGAAGAAATTCCGAGGGCCTGAACCAAAGCAGAGACTGAGGGGATATATTTGAGTATCCCATCCCCTCAGAGATATTTGCGTAGCACAAAATAAGTAAAATCAGCAGGATTTGGTAACCGGCTAGATGTAGGGGTGAGGTATAGGGAGGAGGGTAGGATGATTTCTGAGACTAGATGACTTAAGTTATTAATAATAATAATAGTGGCCGGGCACAGTGGCTCCCGTCTGTAATCCCAGCACTTTCGGAAGCCGAGGTGGGCGGATCACAAGGTCAGGAGATTGAGACCATCCTGGCTAACATGGTGAAACCCCATCTCTACTAAAAAAAATACAAAAAATTAGCCGGGTCTAGTGACAGGCGCCTGTAGTCCCAGCTACTCAGGAGGCTGAGGCAGGAGAATGGCGTGAACCCGGGAGGCAGAGCTTGCAGTGAGCCGAGATCCCACCACTGCACTCCAGCCTGGGCGACAGAGCGAGACTCTGTCTCAAAAATAATAATAATAATAATAATAATAATAATAATAATAATAGCGATAGCTACCAATGACTGACCACCTAGTGCATGCTATTCATTGAGTCAAGTGTATTCTGGCTTTGTTTTCTCTCACTCATCAGCTTCACACACCGTGGGGCAGACTTGCTTATGGTCCTATTATATTAGGACAAATTCATTTTCTTTTTTTTTTTTTTTTTTTGAGACAGAGTCTCACTCTGTTGCCCAGGCTGGAGTGCAGTGGTGTGATCTCGGTCACTGCAACCTCCACCTCCCGGGTTCAGGCCATTCTCCTGCCTCAGTCTCCTGAGTAGCTGGGATTATAGGCATGTGCCACCACATCCAGCTGATTTTTGAATTTTTAGTAGAGACGGGGTTTCACTGTGTTGGCCGGGCTGGTCTTCAACTCCTGACCTCAGGTGATCCACCCGCCTTGGCCTCCCAAAGTGCTGGGATTATAGGTGTGAGCCACTGAGCCCGGCCCATTTTCTCTTTTAACTCTCAAACTAATTCTGTGGTATATTGTCTTTATCCATACTTTACAAATAAGAAAACTGAGTACCATGCTTACAGCTTCCCAGCTTTAAGAAACTAGCACAGACGTGCTGCAAACCCAGCTTTTCTGGCTCAGCTCAGTTCTTTATTACACAACATATGCTACATCCCACCAGTTCAGCACTTAAATTATGTTAGAAATGGAACTGAAAGAAAATATACCAAAATGGTTATCTTTGGGTGGTAGGATTAGAAGTTATTTTTATTTTATACATACTATTTCTGTTAACCACATTTTCTTTCATGAGTATATATGCTATCTGTAATCTGGAGAAAATAATAAATGTTTTTATTTAAATAACACAAATAACCTTAAGAGAAAGAAAGAACAGCC
The DNA here is from genome assembly GCF_000001405.40 of Homo sapiens. Taxonomy (NCBI): domain Eukaryota; kingdom Metazoa; phylum Chordata; class Mammalia; order Primates; family Hominidae; genus Homo; species Homo sapiens. The sequence goes on from NC_000011.10 coordinate 107,678,387, forward strand.
TCAGGAGAGTGAATTTATGCATTTGGCAAGGAAGAGGAGACCCTCTTAAGTATTCAGGCCAGGTTGCCATTAGCAATGATAGCCAACCCTAGCAATATTCCAGATAAAAGCCTTGTCAGAGGAGCCCCCTGGGCTGGCGCTGACCAGGGCCCTCCTTTTGCTTAGCCATGACCTTGAGAGTTTGTCATCGTCTCGCTGGCTGTCAGAGACCACTGCGTTTTATTTATGTTTTGTTTTGTTTTGTTTTGCTTAATTTTACCAGTAATAAATTTAGGCACTGAAGCAAAAATTCCAGACAGTACATCCTCTGCCGACACTTCATAACTCTCTAAATAATGACATCATGAATATTTATGTCTTGCTATTATCGCTGCTGCAAGGAATGATAGTTTTAGCACAACTGACCGTATTCATTTTCCATCTCACTGCTCAACCCTGAATATTGTGTCTTTATTTTCTCCCGCTCATCAGCTTCACGCACCCTGGGGCCGACTTGCTTATGGTCCTGTTACATGGGAGGAATATCCCTCAAAGAAATGTTCATTTTTCCTGTTCTGGCACAATCAGAGAGTCAGGGAACCCTGCATTCTCTTTTCCAGGCTTTGGCAAATCTTCATCAAGGGCCTATTACATGCCAGGCATTCTGCTAGGTACCTGGATACAAGATGAATAAGACCTACTCCTCGCCTGCAGGTCCAAGAGTTGGGAGACAGACATTTAAACAGTTAATTATGCTGGAGTGAGCTGAGGGCAATGGTTGGTACCAAGTCCTAGGTATTATGGGAGAGGCCATGCATGGGGTCAACATGAATAAAGGCACTAAGGTGAGAAAGAGCACAGAACATTACAAGCAATTCAGTGTTGTCAGAGAGCAGGGAGCATGGGATAAAAATGGTGTTGTGTTACTTAGGTTTGTGCAGTCTAGATGTGCTAACTCTGACTTTCACAATGACTCAACCAATTAAATGTGCTCAAATTCACAGTTTGTTACAAGAGAGTCACATATGATTAATGAAGCAATAATATCCTGTATAACATCCATAGAAGCAGTAATTGGAGGTAACAAACCACAGCGATGGGTTGGGAGACCAACACATGGCTAAGTGGGTCCAAAGTCCTTGACTTCAATCAGCAATGAAGTCACTGCTTCTCTTAGACAGAGCCTTGGGAGTGGATGGGGAGGGGGCAAACGCCAAGTTGGGGGGAGGCCTCAAAAGGTGGTCAGAGGGTCAAAAGGTGTCCTGTCCAAGGTCAGGTTCTTGCTGCCTTTATGGTCCTCCAGAGGTGTGTCCATTCTCAGTATCTCAGCCACCTTTCTGAATTTACTTTTTATTGGTTCGTTTCATGTCTCAGTGGTTCTAGGCCACAGCAGGTATTGTCTTACTACCTCAGTCCATTACACATATGTTTATCACTTTGAGATGTAAACAACTTCACCATGGGCTCAATGTCACTTGACGTGAGTGACTCCATTTTCAGACATTAGGATCACAAATCATTATCATATATCATGGCAACTAGATCTTGGATGATGGCTTAGTTAAAGAGCTGGAACTTGGCTAGGCATGGTGGCTTATGCCTGTAATCTGAACACTTTGGGAGGCCAAGGCAGGAGGATCCCTTGAGTTCAGGAGTTCAAGGCCAGCCTTGGCAACAAAGCAAGACCCTGTCTCTACAAAAAAAAAAAAAAAAAAATCAGCCAGGCATGGTGGTACACACCTGTAGACCTAGCTAGTAGGGAGGCTGAGGCATAAGGATTGCTTGATCCCAGGAGTTTGAAGCTACAGTGAGCTACTGATTGTATCACCACACTCCAACCTGAGCAACAGAGCAAGACTCTGTCTCAAAAAAAAAAAAAGCTGGAACTTGAGGCTGAATTTAAAGCATCAAAAAGAAAAAGAAACAGCAAGATTGTTGGGAAATTGGTAGTGTAGTCCAGGTGACACATTATAGGGGCCCAAACTGGAATTGTAGAAGTGAGTATATAGATGAAGAAACAGATTCGGAGAATACTGGGAAGGTTAAATCAGGAGGACACAATTACAGGAGAAAGAAGAGTGTGCATTTGAAAGAGTTGGGGTAGGTGTATCAGGGTGTGGGACATGGAGAAAAAGGAACCAATCAGTAGACAAATTTGTATATTTTCTTATGGATATTTGATCCATTTAAAATATGGAATCTTCCCATCTAGGTTCTTGTTTCTTTTCACATATTCAGATCTTCTTCTGGTCTCTCAATAAAGCTTTGTCACTTTCTTCGTATAGGTCTCATTTCTTGCTAGGTTAATACCTATGGATTTGGTGGGGGGGCGGGTTTGTAATTTCCCCGTTACTATTATAAATGGACTCTTTTTAATATCTTGTTCTCTCATTGGTTGCCTAAGTTAGACTTCCTTTGATTGCAAATAACAGAAAACCCAACTCAAATTGCTATAAACAAGTAATAGCTCATATTGAGTGCTTATTATTGCTAGAAATGGATCTAGGTACTTTATATGTACTAATCTTTTAACATTTAAATAAAATAAAAAGATTTACTGATTACCATCAATAAATATCAATAAATGAATCATACATCTGGCTTCAGACATAGATGAATCTAGCGGCTCAAAAAATGTCACCAGAATTGAGTTTGTCTCCATCTCTTGGCTCCACAGTGGCAAAGTGACTGAAGCTGCTCCCATGTTATTTACTTTTAGGTTCAGGTCCTGGCAAGAAGTTTGGTAGGGCAGCCTATTTTAAATAAAGACCTGGAATTGAGTCTCTTAGTAGCCTAACCTGAGACATGCACTCATCCCTTGAACAATGACCGTTGCTAGGTGCTTTGACTAAATGTGGTCATGTGTCACTCCACCAAAACTACAGACATGAAGAGAAGAGGAGGAGTCATTCACCTCTAAATAAATCAGGTACTTTTGGAAGAAGTGGGACAAATGGACACTGGAGAAGGGCGACCAAAAACAACTAATGTCTACTCCATTGATTACTACTCCATTGGTTATTATTTTTATTTTGGATTAAAATTGCACACACATAGACATTCTTTATCTATCTATCATCTATTTATCTACAAATGCATTCTTATGTATATGCATATATATGACAACCAACCAGCTTGGATAGTTGGTGTTTTTGTTTGTTTGTTTGTTTTTTGAGACAGAGTCTCAATCCTTCACCCAGGCTGGAGTGCAGTGGCACGATACCAGCTCACTGCAACCTCTGCCTCCAGGGTTCAAGCAATTCTCCTGTCTTGGCCTCCTGAGTAGCTGGAACTATAGGCACCTGCCACCATGCCCAGCTAATTTTTGTTTTTAGTAGAGACAGGGTTTCACCATGTTGGTCAGGCTGCTCTCGAACTCTTGACCTCAGGTGATCCACTCGCCTTGGCCTCGCAAAGTGCTGGGATTACAGGTATGAGCCATTGTGCCCGGCCTTGGATAGTTTTTAAATTGTTTTAATATGGATGTTGTGCTAGATTGATTGCACCAGAAGCCTCAAGGTTCACACCTCCCTGAATCTGATTTCTCCACTCTCTCCACTGACTGTGGACTTGTGCCTTGCTTTTCACCAATAGACAGTATCAAACTTGACTCAGGCAGAGGCTAGAAAAAGAACCTTTTGCTTTGGCAGGCCAAGGCAAGCAGATCACAAGGTCAAGAGATTGAGACCATCCCGCCCAATATGGTGAAACCCTGTCTCTACTAAAAATCCAAAAATTAGTTGGGCGTGGTGGCATGTGCCAGTAGTCCCAGATACTCAGGAGGCTGAGGCAGGAGAATCACTTGAACCTGGGAGGCGGAGGTTGCAGTGAGTCGAGACTGCCTGGGTGACAGAGTGAGATTCCGTCTTAAAAAAAAAAAAAGAAAAAAAAAGAAAAAGAACCTTTGAGTTTCCTGTTCCTCTATTTGAGTGTGTTCACCACCATGGGAACAAGCTTGGGCTAGCTTGCTGGAGAACCAAAGACCACGTGGAGGCAAGTCAAGCTGTCTTTGGCAAAGTTACCCTAGACCAACAAGTCTCCAGCTGATCTGCCAGCTAACTACAGTTGCATGAGCAAGCCCAGCCAAGATTAGCCATGCTCAACCCAGATCAGAAGGGCCAATCAGCTGTAGACTCATGAGAAACAATAAAAGCCTGTGGTTTTAAGTCACTACATTTTGTGGTGATTGATAATGCAGCAATAAGTATCTGAAACAGACACTCTCCATGTATACCTAATAATATGATCATCAAAGTTAACAAAGCAACTAAGCCTAAGAGACTAATAATGAGCTAACTCTGATGGTTGAGAAGATAGCCGGAATGGGAAAGACACATGGCTGTAGCCTAAGCAGGTTGCTAGAGTGGACAGGCAGGCAGCCCGCGGCCATGGAGAGCAGGATCAAGAAGTGCTGAAAGCAGAAGTAAGCTGCAAAACAAAGACGATTGACAAACTAATCAACCTACAAGTTATCATTCATACATTGATTGAAATACTGTTAGGTGGTACAGTGTATCTAGGCAAAGATAAAGGAGCCAAGGACACCAGACAATATTCATGAAATGAGCAGAGCATAACAATCCTTGTGCTATGGTCGAGTGCACACTGGCAAGATACAGGGGCCGAGTGCCACAGAAACTGGAGAAGGGGAACAGCACTGGGGTACAGGAAAACCTTCAGTTTTTCTCTCCTTCAGAGAGAAACTGACTCACATTTTCCTATTGAATGAGGAGAATATATTCCCTAGAAATTTGGAAGTTCAGTTTTCTGAAGTATCTGAATTATGTTGTAAACTCTTAAAAAAAATCTGAGAAAAAATTATTTCATTGGCTATGTGCTAGGATGGAAAAAACCGAGTTGAGATCAGATATGAGTTTCATTTCTGCTTGACTTTGGGCTGGCCACAGAATGTCTTTGGATCTTAGTTTCCTCATCGAGAAAATGAAGACATTAGGTAATCTCTAATGTTTCTCCACTTCTGAAATTCTCCAACTCTCTGTATGAAAGAAGAAGTCAGCCATAAAACAGAAAATGTAATTTGGGGGATATGTCATCTACCTTAATTTTGGTGCAAGAATCAGCTCTTCATCAAGGAGCTGTGAGAAGAGAGAAAAAGCTGGTAAACTGTCATTTCAAAGCCAAGGATGAGGGAGCTATCCACATTAGACTTTGAATGTATGATGAAAAAGAATAATCTTTCAGCTATCATCTTTTTCCAGAAACCTTTCAAATCTCCCAAGAGTAATGAGGCCTATGTCTACTTTTTTTTTGACAGTGTGAAAAATGATCAAACATCTCTGTCTCTCTCCTTGGAACACAAAGTCTCAGAGTTCAAATAAATACCTGTTTGATGGCTTAGGGAATGGTACTTCAACATTAACTGTCATTACTCTCAATACATACAGTGGTCTAGGTCGTTACAGAGCTTTCAACATCCATCCCCATTCTATTAGCATCTCAATTTGCTGGCAGGGGAATAATTCTCCTCCTCTATGTAGTCATGGAGAGAGGATAATTCTTGAAAAACATTTCTCACACTAGAAGATGAAGAGTTAGGATCCTCCTTCCTCTGGTCTTAGCACGCAATACTAAGGTTGGCCAGTAGGACATTTCCTATCAGGACTTGGAATGTGAGCCAACTGGGGCTAGGATTGGATGTCATTCTTTCTAGGTGTTGCTCACCAGATGATTTTTTCCCCACAATGCCTGTTGAGATTTACATGGATTCTACATGTTTCTGAAGCCTGGTCCTTCAGGCTCATGTCTATTGTGTGGGCCCCTGGATGTTACCAACAAATTCCCTTTAGCTTACGCTATTTTGAATTCATTTCTATTGCTAGTAGTTAAAAATCCTGCCTGATTTAATGATATTTCACCAGAACCAGTCATGTGCCTAAGTCACAGTGTTATACTGTCTCTTATGTCCCAGATCTTAACATGCCGATTCCTCTGCATTGTGTGCTCTTCCTCTTTTAATAATGGTTCACAATGGCAAAGACATGGGATCAACTCAGGTGCTCATCAATGGGCGACTGGATAGAGAGATGTGGTACACATACACCACAGAATACACATAGCCATAAAAAAGAATGAGGCTGGGCACAATGGCTCATGCCTGTAATCCCAGTACTTTGCGAGGCCAAGGCGGATGGATCACGAAGTCAGGAGTTCAAGACCAGCCTGGCCAACATGGTGAAACCCCATCTCTACTAAAAATACAAAAATTAGCTGGCTGTGGTGGCAGGCGCCTGTAATCCCAGCTACTCAGGAGGCTGAGGCAGGAGAATCGCTTGAACCCGGGAGGCGGAGTTTGCAGTGAGCCAAGATCGCGCCACTGCACTCCAGCCTGGGTGACAGAGCAAGACTCCATCTCAAAAAAAAAAAAAAAAAGAAGAAGAATGAAATTGTGTCCTTTGCAGCAACATGGAGGGAGCTGAAAGCCATAATCCTAAGCAAACTAATGCAGGAACAGAAAACCAAATACCACATATTCTCACTTATAAGTGGGAGCAGCACACATAGATATAAATATGGGGACAATAGACACTGTGGAGTACTAGCGGGTAAAGGGAAGGGAGCAGGTTTTAAAAACTACCTATTGGGTACTATGCTCACTACTAGGGTGACGGGATCCATACTTCAACCCCTAGCATCATGCGATATTCCCATGTAACAAATCTGCACATGTACCTCCTGTATCTAAAAGTTGAAATTTTTAACAAAAATAAAAATTAAAAATATACTCTTAAAAAAAAATAAATCACAATTTGGGGGGACGTTTTATGGCGATTCTACAGTGTAGCAGTTAAAAGCACGGGTTAAAGTCCCAGTTTATCCACTTATGATCGATGTAACAAGTTAGTTGTTTTGGTTCTGTGTCCCCACCCAAATCTCTTGTTGAATTATGATCATTGCTGAAGGAGGGGCCTGTTGGGAGGTGGTTGGATCATAGGAGTGAATTTCCCCCTTGCTGTTCTTGTGATGGTGAGTGAGTTCTCACGAGATCTGGTTCTTTAAAAGTGTGTAGCACTTCTGCCTTCGCTCTCTCCTCCTGCTCTGCCAAGTGAAGAAGGTGCTTGCTTCCCCTTTGCCCTTTGCCATGATTGTAAGTTCTCTGAAGCTTCCCCAGCCATGCCTGCTGTACAGCCCGTGAGTAGATTAAACCTCTTCTCTTTATAAATTACCCAGTCTCAGGTAGCTCTTTATAGCAGTGTGAGAACAGTCTAACACAATACATTTGGCTTCAGTTTCTTCATTTATAAAATGAGGATAATAGAAGCATCCACATCGTAGGGTTGTTATGAGGACTCAATGAGTTATATCGCCTGAGAGTAACTGCCTGCAAAATTCAATAATACATTGAATGAGTATAATACTTGGCACCTGGAAAGTGCTGCATCATTATTAGCTATTGCATACGAAGAACTTTACAAACAACTCTCTCTGTTTTTCACAACAGTTTCATCCCCATTTTATGTATAAGGAAACTGAGGCCCAGAGAAGTTTAAAACCTGCCTTAGGCCCCATATTTACTAAATAACAATGGCAGAGTCAAATTCATGTCAGTATCTTGCTATCTTCTACTGCCTGACTCATCTCAAGTTTTATCTCCCCCAGAAAGACTTGAACCCCTAAGTTTTAGAATTTTAGTTGGGGGAGCTCTCTGCTGCTCCCTCAGCTCAGCTCAAGTCCTCTCCCACCAAAACAGCATTGCCAAATTGTAATCATGCCTCTGGACTTGAAGCTCCTTCAAGTCAGGGACTGGGCTTTCTTTGCTCAAGCACTGCGCAGCACAGCACCTGCTACACAGCAAGTTCTCTGCGGAATAATTGAGGAATGAATGAAGAGGAAGGTATGAAAACAGCATAGAAAGGGGAGGATGGAGGAACCTAGGTAACATTCACCTTCACCTCTGCTTTGCCTGGAGCTAGGCCTGAATCTCCCTGATTCCAACCACACAGAGTAATGCAGAGACTTAAAAGTCAAATCACAAGGCCATGGAGCCCAAAAGAGTGTGATTTTTAACCATGTAATTCACCTTGTGGGATTCAGTCCCTGGGATGTAATCTGAGATAGAGGAAAAAGGATTTTATATAAAGAGATGCTCGTGCCGGGCACAGTGGCTCACACCTGTAATCCCAGCACTTTGGGAGGCCGAGGCTGGTGGATCACTTGAGGTCAGAAGTTCAAGACCAGCCTGGCCAACATGGTGAAACCCCATCTCTACTAAAAATACAAAAAATTAGCTGGGCGTGGTGGCGCAAGCCTGTAATTCCAGCTATTCAGGAGGCTGAGGCAGAAGAATCATTGGAACCCAGGAGGCGGAGGTTGCAGTGAGCCGAAATCGCACCACTGCACTCCAGCCTAGGCAACGAGTGAAACTCCGTTTCAAAAAAAAAAGTAAAAACAATAGCATAGTGGTAAATAATGTTTTTTATAATATTAATAATAAAAAAGATAATGTTCAAAGCTAAATGTATTGCGTGCTTACACTACAACGTACAGTATTCAAGGCACTTTAAATGTATTAACTCAACCCTCAAAACAGTGCTGTGAGAAAAATACTACCATTATCCTGCCCCACCTCCTTTGAGACAGGGTCTCGCTCTCCCACAGGCTGGAGTGTAATGGCGCGATCTTGGCTCACTGCAGCCTCCATGTTCCAGGCTCAGGTGATTCTCCCTCTTCAGCATCCTTGGTAACTGAGACTACAGGCCCGCACCAGCACACCCAGATAATTTTTTGTATTTTTAGTAGAGACAGGGTTTCTGCACGTTGCCCAGGCTGGTCTCGAATTCCTGAGCTCAAGTGATCCTCCCGCCCTGGTCTCCCAAAGTGCTGGGATTACAAATGTGAGCCACTGTGCCCGATCCCATTATCCCTTTTTTATGATGAGGAAATTGAGGCACAGATGTTGCCTGGGTTCATATAGCCAAGAAGAGACAGTAATAAATAATAGGTAATAATATGGAAAAAAATACACTATAATTCATGTGAGAAAAACATGTTTATTTAGTCCTCAAATAAAAATAAATGTATGTTTATTTAGTCATCAAAATGCTTCTAAACAAACAACAAACAGAGAGACAGAGTTTCAACTCTGTCACCCAGGCTGGAGTACAGTGGCATGATCTCCGCTCACTGCAACCTCCGTCCCCTGGGTTCAAGAGACTCTTCTGCCTCAGCCACCTGAGTAGCTAGGATTACAGATGCCTGCCACCATGTCCAGCTAATTTTTGTATTTTTAGTAGAGACGGGGTTTCACCATGTTGGCCAGGCTGGTCTCGAACCCCTGACCTCAGGTGATCCAACCACCTCAGCCTTCCAAAGTGCTGGGATTACAGGCGTGAGCCACCATGCCCAACCTCTCTCTAATCTTAATAGAACCCCCCTGCAGATCCATTCCTCCTCTCCCACCGCCAGGGTCCACAGCCCACTCCCAACTGCCCACTCGCTGGCTCATCCGCGTCCTTATAAATTTGTATATGAACTATGTCTATGGACTCCAAATAGTTCTCCCACTACAACTTTCCCCCATTAATCTGTTCTACTCTTATTTGTGAAATTTAGCTTCCCATAGGCAGCTCGGATCACATTTTTCTTTTGCTGTAAAACCCTCCTTGATTCCCCACAAATTTTATGTAAGAAAAAATCTCCTTTAGACGGTATTTTATCCTTAAGGCATTTGAAACAACCATAGACAAGGCTCTTCTTAGAATGATGGAAACTTAACATACAGAAGAAATTTAGAGGTCATCTAGATTGATTTCTTACCCACATATTTAAACTCACATTTTTAAAGCTCTATGCACAATGAATTGGTGGGGACAGAGAATAGAGGAGGTGGTCTTGATTTAACTTGGAAGACTAGATAGACTAAACTAACATCATAGATTTTGTTCAAACCCACATCACCTGGTACTGCTGAATTCACTTCCTCAACGTTACTTTGCTTTTAATCTCTCCTCCCTTCAAACTTTGTATCATGTCACACTATCACAGTTATATTTCTAAGACCTAAACTTCTGTCATGCCTTTGAGAGCTTCCCATTCTTGCAAAATAAAGTCCATACTTGGCATTCAGATGGTGAAAACTCTTTGTTATCTAGTCTCAACGGAAATAGCTGGAGTGCAAACATGTCTCTAGTTCATGACCCCTCCCTGTATCCCCACCCTTTGTAATTTTACTTTGTAGCTCTTCCCATTAAGGGGTGGAGTCTATTTCCCCAATCTTTGAATTTAGGCTGTTCTTGTGACTTTCTTTGGTCAATAGAATGTGGTAGAAATGACAGAGTACCAATTCCAAACCTAGGTCTAAAAAGGCCTTGTCCACGTCCACTCACGTTTGTGGAACCCTGCCACTGCCACGTGAGCAAGCCCACGCTAGTCTACTAAATGATCAGAGACTCATGTCTCAGCCAACATCCAGCCAATCACCACATGTGTGGGTGAGGCCATCCGAGGCAAGCCAGCCCCCAGCCTATCCCCCAGGTCTCTTGAAATCATCTGGGCTGATTTCAAGCCCAGATGAAATCAGCCAAGTCTGGCAGAAACCCCCAGAGGGCTTGTATAAACAATAATACATACTTATTGTTTACTCCACTTGACTTAGGGTGACTTGTCACACAGCAGTAGCTAAATAAGACAACAACCGACCTTCCAGCTTCTCCTCCCACTTCCCACTTTGTACTCTGATTCTTACACCAAATTACTTGGTATTCCCTGAGTATCTCACAGTAATGTCTCAATGACTTTATTATGCTGCATCCTCTGCCTAGGAGGCCCTTTTCTCTTTCCTATCTTGTGAAAATCTACTTGTCATTCAATATCTAGCTGAAACATCATTCATTCATTCATTCATCAGATATGTATTGAGACAAGGCACTGAGGTCTCACAACTGAGCAAAACAGCCTGTGCACTCAACCAGCTCACAGTTGAGGAAAAGGTAAATGAGTAAATAGTCAATGCCACTTCTTGCTTTCTCCAACTCCTGTAGGTAGAAGTCTTATTCCTTCGCACACACTTTCATTCCTCGATTATAGCACTTCTCACAGCGTGATGCCAGCCATAATAATAATAACTAACTTGGAAAGCTCTTATGGAGAGTAGATGAGATTATAGAGGCACAGCCTTTAGCATGGTGCCAGAAACATAGTAAGTGGAAAATAAATGTTAGCTGTTGATATTTTTAGTTAACACACATGTTCATCTCCCCTGCCTGACTGCATATAAGCTTCTTGAGAACAGGAACTGAGCCAAATTCAACTTTGTGTCTGAAGTGCCTAAAGAGAATATGTGCCTGGCACATAATAAACACTCATTAGATGTTTGTTGAGCAAACATCACCAGAAGTGTAAGAATTGAGCAAAGGCCCAATAATCGCAGAGCTGCTCAGTGGCCCTGGGACTCTTGGATTATACTGGGGCGCCCTCTGCTGTGTATATGTTGGGTATAAAGTGAAACTTTTAAGGAAGCCCACGGGAAAGTTTCCAGAAAGGCTCATTCCGGGCAAAGGTTTCTCAACTTGAGGGGTACTACACCTTGCCCCAGTTCTACACCTGGGGTCAGTTTATTTTATCGCTGAAACCACCTATGTTATTTATGGGGTTTTTCTTGTCTTTGTGTTCTTTCTTTTCTTTTTTTCTTTTCTTTTCTTTTTTCAGGGTCTTGCTGTCGCCCAGGCTGGAGTGCAGTGACCCAATCATAATTCACTGTAGCTTTGAACTGCTGGGCTCAGGTGATCCTCTTGCCTCAGATTTTTGAGTCGCTGGTACTACAGGTGCATGCCACCACACATCCAGTTAATTTTTTAAAAAAATTTTTAGAGGCCAGGCGCGGTGGCTTACACCTGTAATGCCAGCAATTTGGGAGGCCGAGGTGGGTGGATCGCGAGGTCAGGAGTTCGAGACCAGCCTGGCCAATATAGTGAAACCCCGTCTCTACTAAAAAAAAATACAAAAATTAGCCGCACATGGTGGCACTCACCTGTAGTCTCAGCTGCTCAAGAGGCTGAAGCAGGAGAATCGCTTGAACTGGGGAGGCGGAGGTTGCAGTGAGCCAAGATCGCACCACTGCACTCCAGCCTGTGTGACAGGCTGGCTTCAAACTCCTGGCCTCAAGTGATTCTCCCACCTTGGCCTCCAAAAGTACTGCGATTACAGGCATGTTATTTGTTATTTGAAGGAACAAAATGTTTTGGCTTAGATTCTGTTTCTTATTTAGGTCACAAATAAACCCTTCAGAAGAAATAAAGTAATAATAAAATAAAGAGATGGTGGAATAGATGAAAAGATAGATCATCTGACTCTGTTCCCTGCCACGTTTGGAATCCTGTTGAGAAGAGAGAGAAGAAGCAACTACATACGGGGGACATATCCATCACTTGAGATTCTAGCTGACGACGTCCGAATATATCTCAACTCACAAAGTAAACGCCAGATCATATGCCATGATGACTTAATCATGTTACTATAAAGAAAATATTTAAACAGGAGAGATTTTAAAAATTGCAATTCATCTTGTGACAAATTACTTAAAATAATATATTTGCCTGGAAAGAACACATCTAATTTATATATTAGCAGACACTGTTGTGCACCGTGGTGAGAAGGGATATGTAAGTGGGATGATGACTTTTCCTTTCTGTAAAGAGGTTTCTATTTTTACTTTAAAGAAAACATGTTCAAAGAAAGTTGCTCTGAATAACTTAAATTACAGCGCTCCATAGACACTGGCACTATGCCTGGTTCTTTTTTATTGAGTACCAGACATTGTCTATGAAAAATAGTAAAGATAAGTTGATGCCTAGGATTATGCTATCTTTCTCCTAAGGGAGTTTTCGTTTGCTTTGGCAGGCTGCTGTGGCACTAGCAATCTTGTATCACCATTATCGACTCAGGGATTTAGATGATTCATGGCTGGATGTCAGAGACTTCTGATGTTAGTTAAAATGAGTAAAATTGTTCCACTCTATATCTTTCTCAAAACTCATAGGACAGCCATTACAACAGTGAGTTTCTTGTTTCTTTTGTTTTTGTTTTTTTCCCACCCATATATCCTAACTTACACTCTATGGCAGCCCAAATCCTGGAACTACACAGCAAAGGCAAGCAGAAAAGGACTAAGACAAATCCTCTTTATCTAGTCAGTGGACAAAGTGTGGGGGTCCTGTAGGATTGTGAATGTGAAGGGAATCCTCATTTTCTTTCTTTTAGTAATCTCCTGGCCCTGCCCTGTGGCAAGTCATGAAGCTGCACTTTTGCAACAGCAGCAGCAGTGGTAGGCTTGCAAGCACCTCAAACTCAGAGAAAATCCTTTTTTATTACCAGAGGAACTGGAAAAAGATGTCCCTGTGATCTGAAGAATGTTGGGGGAATCTCTATTAATCGTTTTCTTTCTTTTTTCTCTCTGCATTCTGCTCCTGAGGCAGACCCCATTTTGAGAAGTACACAACAACATGGAGAGGCTGAAACCCCAGCTTTTTAGCCGGAAGACCATGAAAAGAAGCCCTTAAGAACTAGAAAGTTTTGGGGAAGTCATGGAGAAGAGAGAGCTGGGGAAATGGATTCCTTAAATCTTTGTGTGAAGTCACTTCTGAGCTAATTGTAGGGGGAATTGATATGAAGCAGCACCGCAAAGGTTTTGAGAACCAAACCATAGTGTAGACCACTGCCCATGTGCCAAACTAGCCTTTGGGTGGGACATAAATAAAGTGAACCAAAATAGCACTGCAAAGGTTTTCAAAACAAAACTGACTTTGGAACCATAGAACAGAGAAGGTAGATTGGGATTTGTAATCTTAAACTACAAAGACTGGTTACCTGCTAAAACTAAAGATCAAATTATCCAGAGGATCTTAACAGAACCCAGAGTCTCATAACATAATATTCAAAATGTCTAGGAAACCATTCAAAATTCCTTGACATATAAAGAATAAGGACATTCTTAACAATTCTCAATAGAAAAGAGAATCAACAGTTAGCTCAGAGATGACCAGAAGTTAAAATTATCAGACAAAAACTTTAAAGCATCCATTCTAATTATGCTCCATGAAGTAAAAGCAATATGCTTGAAATGAATAAAGAAAGGAGTTCTCAGCAAAGAAATAGAGGCTGTAAAAAAGAACAAAATGTAAAATTTAGAACTGAAACATAAAATGAAAATATTCACTAATGGGCTCAATAGCAGAAAGGAGATGGCAGAGAAAAGAGTGGGGGAACTTAAAGACAGATCAGTAGAAATCATTAAATCTGAAAAACGAAGACAAAAACCATTTTTTAAAAATTGAACTGAGTCTTGGGAAACTGCAGGACAACATCAAAGGTCTAATAGTCCATATCACTAAGGTCCAGGACGAAGAGGAGAAATAAATTAATGCAGAAAAAAATTTGAAAAAATAATGGCCAAAAATATCCCAAATTTGTTGAAGGACATGGATTTGCAGATTTAAAAGCTCAGTGGACCTCAAACAGAGTAACTCAAAGAAAACCACAGCCAGATGGGTGGGGGGCAGGGGTGGTGAGGAAGAAAGAAAACCACAGTCAGACACATCATGACTTAAAACTGCTGAAACCCAAAAATAAAAGAAAAAGCTTGCAAGCAGCTAGAGACAAATAAAACACCACATATACGGCATGACAAATTGAATGCTTGTAGATCTCTTTTAAGAAACCATGATGGCAGGGCGCGGTGGCTCATGCCTGTAATCCCAGCACTTTGGGAGGCCAAGGCAGGCAGATCACGAGGTCAGGAGATCGAGACCATCCTGGCCAACATGGTAAAACCCTGTCTCTACAAAAATACAAAAATTAGCTAGATGTGGTGGCATGCGCCTGTAGTCCCAGCTACTCAGGAGGCTGAGGCAGGAGAATTGCTTGAACCCAGGAGACAGAGGCTGCAGTGAGCCGAGATCGAGCCACTGCACTCCAGCCTGGGTGACGGCGAGACTCTGTCTCAAAATAAATAAATAAATAAATAAAATAAAAATAAAAATAAACCATGATGGTCAGAAGACAGTGGAACATTTTTAAAGTGCTGAGAGAGAATAATGGCCAACCACAATTCTATATTTAGTGAAAATATTCTTCAAGGATGAGGTCAGATAAAGACGTTTTGAGATGAAGGAAAACTAAGGGAATTTGTTGGCAGCAGACCTACTCTAAAAGGGAAGATAAAGGAAGTTCTTCAGGTGGAAGAGAAAAGATACCAGAGGAATAATTGGAATGAAGAAAAAGCAATAGAAATGGTAAATATCTGAATAAATAGACTATTTTTCTCTTAAGTTCCTTAAAACATGTCTGACTATTGAAAGTAAAATTATAACATTATGTTTTCTGGGGGGGTTCAGTTTATATAGTTGCAAACATATGACAACTTTAATGTAACTTTACATTTCACTCAAAGTGGTAAAATATTAACTCTAAGTAGATTGTTAAAAGTGCATATTGCAATTCCCAGAGCAATTATTTAAAAATATATAGCCCAAAAAATAGACAGATTTATAGGGCATACACAAGAGAGTGGAAACAGAAAAAAATACCCAGAAGGAACGACAGAAAACAAATAATAAAATGATAATACTAAATATAACCATATTAATAGTTACATTAAATATAAATGGTCTAAAGAGAGATTGTCAACATAAGTAAAAGATTGAATGAAGGTTGGTTTACTTCTGGCTTACCCTTTTTCTTAGGGTACACTTTTGAGGGTCCCAAAAGCTATGGAGCTTACCATGATTTCCCTTCTTAGGGGACTCTGAATTCAAATATTTATTCCCTTAGTTCCTAATGGTGATCTAAACCACTGCTCACCCTCTCAGTCACTTCTTCAGAATCTAGAGACTAATGGGGAAAAAACAGTCCCAAATGCTGAGTTGACTTCTTGTGTTTCCTTTTCCTCCATGATTCTATCTCTGTAATTATTTACTCCCTTCTTAGCTCCTGAGGCCTTCAAGCAGATTTTTAAAAAAATTTTGTCTAGCTTTTTTTTTTTTTGCTGTTTTCAGAATAAAGGTTGGGTTGGGTTATCCACTTTCTATATATTTAAAATCCTAGAAGAAATGAAAGATTTTAAGAGAAAATATAAATTATTCAAATTGATTCATGAGTAGAAAATCTAAATAATTTATCAACCATATAATTACCCAAGATCTATCCCTAATCACTGTAGTCCACCAAGACAATTTTACCAATGAGTTCTACCAAATCCTCAAGAAAAGATAATTCCAATATTACATAAAATATGACATAATGTTACATAAATATTACAAACTATAAGGAAAAATTGAAATCTACCCAATCCAATTCATAAGACCAGCATGATGCATGATCCTATTACCAAATCTAGACTGAACAAGGAAGGCACAAAAAGAGAAAATTAAAAAACAATTCCACTTATGAATACAGATGCAAACCTTCTAAATAAGATAGTAAGCTGACTCTGATACTATAATGAAAGAATATGTTGTGATCAAGTAGGATATACCCCAGGAATATCCATAGTTTAATTAATTACCAGGTCAAATGAGAATAAAACTTTATGAGGATCTCAATAGATGCTAGAAAAGTGTTTGATAAAGAAAAAAAAATCCAAATTTTTTAAATTAACAAATTCAGAATAGAAGGAAAACTTTCTTTACCAGATAAAGACTATCCACCAGAAACTTATGTCAAATATCATACTTAGTGGGGAAACTGTATTTGCCTAACATGTGATTGTCCACCTGAAAATTCCAAAGCAACAACTGCCAAACTACTGGAACTGACAAAAAGTTTAGAAATGTGGCTAGACATAAAATAAATATATTATTATAAACGTATTATTGTTATTAAATTAATAGCAATGTTAGTTTTTAAGTTATTTTAAAATATTTTAATTATTTTCAATTAATAGAAAAACATTTCATTTATAATAGCAAAAAGCTATAAAATCTATAGGAATAAATTTAATAAGAAATATCAAAGACCTTTTAAATAAAACTAAACATTTTGCTGAAGCACTTTTTTTTTTTAAATAGACTACAAAATTTAGGAAAATACTTCACATTCATTACTGGAAATATTTGATCTTTTAATGGTGATAATTCTCTTGAAACTAACTTAAAATTCAATGTAATTCAAATCAAAATCCCAAAGGGCTTTTTACAAAATTTGAAAAACTGATTCTAAACTTCATTTGTAAAAGTTAATATGCAAGAGTACTTAAGACAATTTTGACTTCTAACAGGAAGAGCCAGCCTTGTTTACTTGCTAGCATTTCATCTCTATAGCATCAGCTATTTCGACTCTTCCCAGTCAGAAAAAAGGAATGACAAAGATGCTTCTGTTCACATTTTTAAACAAGAAGGTATTGATATATATTTTTTGTTTTAAAAGTATTTTTTAAAAGGAAATGAGAAAGCAATGAATGAGAAAGAGAAAGATGAAAAAGAATACTAACATTTTAGTTAAAAGATGAGAATCATTGTCTTGTTTTGTCTTCTCTCAACCAACTCCCTACTCCCAATACACACACATGCACCGGTCAGTGTTTAGGACTTGGTGGGGGGCAATAAACTCTCAAAAGCTTATCTTATACAGAAGTTGGGGTTCCATAGTATTAGCCCAATGTAACCTAAAAATTATGTTTAAATGTTATCATTTACCTAGATTCTACTATGTTTTGTACTTTGTGTGTATTTTTATATTCACCATTTCTACTTCTTCCATTACTTTCTGAGATAGGTAGCATTATTTCTATATTTAGATGAGAAAAGTGTGGCTCATGGAGTTTAATTTACTTGTGTTAGGTCAAACACTAATAAGTGGCTTGCTCAGGATTAATTAATTGTTGCCAAAGTCCATCTTTTTCCACTATGCCCTATTGCCTCTGTTCTGAGGAAGAAGCTATGGAAAGAATTCCTTTGGCAACTCTCAGAGAATAGGATACGTGTCACTAGGAAGATTTTCTAGCCAAGATCTTGGTGCCTGTGATGACTCATGTTTAGATCATGTTCCTTGAGAGTAGGGAAAGATAGGAAAGATATCTGTAAGCAGCTGGTTTTAGCATCTGAGAGTTGTAAATAAAGTTCTTAAGGAAACCATCCAATGATATTACATTGTAGGGAAACTTAGAGGTCATAGAAGCACTTATTCCTCTCCACAGCTAAAATTTCAACCCTTGCTGATATTTCCTTTCCACTTCCAGCCTTAATGATGGCTAAAGTGTCTATCACTAAACAGACATTAGAAAGATTCTGAGAGATTCAGAAGGCTTCTGATTCCAGCACCCCTGAGCCCACCCTTTTTCAAGTAACTGCACTACTAGAAGCTGAATCTTTAGTAAAAAAATACCTGGATATCCAGCCAGGACAAGTGTCAATACATTTTCCAGCCTATAAAAGAGAAACCTGGTCATGGGTAGCCACACAATTAAACACTTCCAATTATATATGTGTGGAATGGGATACAGTCTTTGGGCCACAGACAAAAGGAACCATATTTTGCTTTTTTTTCCCCCACCCGAGAGCTGTGAAGACAGATTCCATAAAGAAATCCAATTTAATAGAGTTGCCACTTGGAAACACATTGGTCTAAACATCAGGGGATCTGGCTTGTCACCCCAGCATTGCCACGAACAAAACATGGGTAGTTGTGTAACTTCTCTAACCCTGTCCCCCACCCCTATAAAATCTCACTGTTGAACCTAGTATCTTTGAAATCTCCTCTAGCTGGAACAGTCTGGAAACCTTATTGGAGGTCTGGTAGGAGACAATTACTCCCTGTGCTTGAAATTAAGCCCACATATTGTGGAGGTATCTCTCCTACTCTCTATTGAAACTTGTGCCTACATCATGTAGTCTAGTTTAAGTACCACTGGGTGATGTCCAGTGTGAAGCATTCATTTAAAAAGGCTCCACGCTTTCTATAAGACAAAAAGTTCTACCACATTAAAAGAGGCAGCGATAGACCTCACTCTTTCTCTTCTTTTCCCCTCGATTTCTTCATCAACCTCAATAACACAAATATGGCTACAGAGACCTTGATCTCAAGTATTTTATAGTCATAGAACAGTAAGATTAGGCTGGGCACAGTGGCTCATGCCTGTAATCCCAGCACTTTGGAATGCTGAGGAGGGCAGATCACTTGAGCTCAGGAATTTAAGATCAGCCTGGGAAACATGGCGAAACCCCATCTCTACAAAAATTACAAAAATTAGCTGAGTCTGGTGGCACACGCCTGTCGTCCCAGCTACTCTGGAGGCTGAGGTGGAAGGATCACTTGAGCGCAGGAGGTCAAGGTTGCAGTGAGCCATGATCATGCCACTGCACTCCAGCCTGGGTGACAAAGTGACCCTGTCTCAAAAAAACCCAAAAAACTAAAAGTTATGAAGTAGTTAGGTGTGGTGGTGTGTAACTATAGTCCCAGCTACTCAGGAGGCTGAGGCAGGAGAACAGCTCAAGCCCAGGAGTTTGAATCCAGCCTAGCCAACATAGCAAAACCCTGTCTCTTAAAAAAAAAAAGTTATGAAATATGACCAAGAAGTTTTTATTAATGAAAGAGGTCGGTGTTGATGATGAAAGAATGATTTCATAAACATGGCTAGAATCTAATATCACTTAGCCAAAGAGCCCTGATAGCTTCAAGGAAACTCCAGCCAAACAAAATTTGAATAAATTTGTCTCTTCCCAGAAAATATAAGACACTATAATGAAGGGTTATAATAATTTACAATTAAATAGTATTGTAACTTAGAACAACTCATATTTCAAGGCTGAGTTTTTGTTTTGTTTTGTTTTGTTTTTTGTTTCTGTTTTGTTTGAGACAGAGTCTCGCTCTGTCGCCAAGCTGGCGTGCAGTGGCACAATCTCAGCTCACTGCAACCTCCGCCTCCCGCGGGTTCAAGCAATTCCCCAGCTTCAGCCTCCCGAGTACCTGGGACTACAGCTGCGCACCACCACACCCAGCTAATTTTTTGTATTTCAGTAAAGATGGGGTTTCACTATGTTGGACAGGATGGTCTCGATCTGACCTTGTGATCCACCCGCCTCGGCCTCCCAAAGTGCTGGCATTACACACATGAGCCACCGCACCCGGCTGGTTGAGTTCTTTTTTGATTGGCACCCAGATTAACAACAACAACAACAACAAAAAACTCTTCTGGTATGTCTTTTTCAAATCATCATAAATAATATTCAAAAGAACATTAGCCAGCTTTGAAGTGCAAATCAAAAATGATGCTTATCTAAATATATGTCCTGCTGTCAGGTAATAATACGTCATTTTCTACCAGCAGAGATATACCTTCATTCTTATCTCCACAGATAAGTGTCCATGTGGTTTGTACAGCTAGGTCTGAAGAATTGGGCTTGCTTTACCTTTTCACTGCAGATAAAAAGGATGTCCTTTGATTTCAGAGAATTAATTGCAGATTAAATACAGCCTCAGCTGAAAGTTCACATCAGCCATTGTGGCATCAGAATAAACATATCTATGACACTGAAAATACTAGGAAAAGATGAAAAAGACAAGATGAAACCACATACAGAGGTCTTCAAGGGAAATACATTTATTTCACTATGTACATCTTTCTCAGGAGCAGAATGCTGTATGGCTCAGAGACTAATCATTAGTCGTATTACATGTCTGAGATGTGCCCTTTCTTTTTTAAAAAATTTTTTAATTAAAAAAAATAGAGATGAGGTCTCACTATGTTGCCCAGGCTGGTCTTGAACTCCTGAACTCAAGCAATCCTCCCAGCTGGACCTTCCAAAGTGCTAGGATTACAGACGTGAGCCCCCATTCCTGGCCTGTGATTTTTTTTTTTTTTTTTTTTTTTTTTTTTTTTGAGACAGAGTCTCGCTCTGTTGCCCACGCTGGAGTGCAGTGGCGCGATCTCGGCTCACTGCAAGCTCCGCCTCCCGGGTTCACGCCATTCTCCTGCCTCAACCTCCCAAGTAGCTGGGACTACAGGTGCCCGCCACCGCGCCCGGCTAATTTTTTGTATTTTTAGTAGAGACGGGGTTTCACCGTGTTAGCCAGGATGGTCTCAATCTCGTAACCTCGTGATCTGCCAGCCTCGGCCTCCCAATGTACTGGGATAACAGGCGTGAGCCACCGCGAGTGTCATTCAAAATGAACTGGTCTGAAACCATGCTTAAAGCCAGTGACATATGGTATAATTCAAAATGTGTCTCAGGTTGGCAGTCTCTCAAATTGCATGTGACTGTCTCTCATTTCCAAAATCAAGATAGTATGATGCATGAGATCAAATCCAATCTTCCAAGTTCGGCTTCCCACTGATTCTGCTGGTCTGCAATATGAATGTGACCCCAGTCATTCTGACAGGATGGGGTAGGGATGGAAATGGTGACTTACAAAAAGGGCCTTGCAATGTTGCCAATGGAGCTCTTTCACTCACAGAGACATCTCAAAATTGATTGCGAGACGCTATGAATGCCTTGTCATTCTGAATGAATGGAAAGCTCAGTGTGGATGTGGCAAACAACAGGAGCTGCTTTCGTGTTGAATCGTCAAATAATCACCATAAAACCTCTGGGCATCTGAAAAGCTTGCCATTGTGAAGTCGAATTAGCTTAGGACTTGGCAGGGTGTTTGTGATGTGGGTGGTGGGTATCACCATGCATGTCATCATTGTAGACACAGCATGTGTTGAAAATAGACTTCTTTCTCCATGTCCTTTTTGAAGCAGTGTCAGAGGAATATAAAATGAGTATGTTGTTGGAAGAGAGACAGCTCACAGTTGGATCTGGATCAGGCAGTATTGGCTGGAACCTGTGAACACTGCCCCGAGACAGATATCTTATCATGCAGACCCTGGCTGGAATTGCTGCTGTTGAGAAAACTCATTTTTTACTTACTTTCCCAGAGAGAAAGTCACAAGATTCGGAATTTTTTAAGTCTGAGGTCTAAAGTAGAGACTGTTTTATGCTGATTTTTAATCCTTGGGTGTAATCTGACTGCCCGGAAAAGTGAAAGCCAAAAGGAGACATAATTTGGAAACACCTATTGATGTTTAATATCTGTAAAGCCATTAAAATTGGAATGACAGTTCCAGCATCTTCATTGAAAATATGTCAAAATAGAACTCTTGCATACAAGTTAATACACTATATAACTTCAGGTTTAAAAAATAACTTTTATTAAGTGGCATCGTAGACAGGGTTTGAATCTCCAAGTACAACAGGGCAAACTTGTTTGGGAGAGAATAAAGACCCAGTGTGGGAACAGACTAGGAATGGGGGTAAAGGGTGCAAGGAAAGCTTTTCCTGGAGAGATGGGAAGATAAAGAATGTACTTTTGCAGTTCAAAGGGATGGGGGTAAGAATTTTGCAACCTCTCCGGAAAAGTGGAATTTTGTGAACTTCTCAGTCCAACCAGAGCCCAAGTTCTTGAAAACAGTAGAAATGCAGGGCTGGGAGCTATGGCTTGCTCCTATGATCCCAGCACTTTGGGAGGCTGAAGCGGTAGAATCACTTGGGCCCAGGAATTTGAGACCAGCCTGGAAAACACAGGGAGAATCCATCCCTACAAAAAAAAAAAAAAAAAAATACAAAAATTAGCCAGGTGTGGTGGTGCATGTTTGTGGTCCCAGCTACTGGGGAGGCTGAGGTGGGAAGATCGCCTGGGCCCAGGAGGTGAAGGCAGCAATGGGCCGTGATCTTACCACTGCACTCCAGCCTGGGGAACAAAGTAAGACTCCTGTCTGAAAGAAAAAAAAAAAGAGCAGAAATGCAAATCTTGGGTGCTGGTGCGGGAGGATGTTGTAGATCTGGGATTCTCAAACTTTAGTGACTATAACAATCACCTGGGGAGCTGGCTTAAAACATAGCAAGCCAGATCCCACTCTCAGAAGTTCCCTGGCAGTAGTTCTGGAGTTGGTGCAGGAATCTGCAATTGAAAAAGTATTTTGAGTATTGTAATTCAAGTAGTTCTTGCATTTTGAGAAATACATTGTATTCTTCATGAGCAAAGGGATTCTACAATTCAGTATCCCTATCCCTTTCCCCTGCTAAAGAAAGAAAAAAAGAAGCCACAACTTTCTCAAAGTGTTTTATTATCCTCTTAGAAGAAATAGTGTTGAAATAGCAGCAGCAGCAACCACCACCCCACCACCAATCCTTGATGCTTTCTTTAAAAGTGTACTAAAATCTTTGGCTGGGCATGGTGGCTCACGCCTGTAACCCCAGCACTTTGGGAGGCCAAAGCAGGAGGATCACTTGAGGTCAGGAGTTCTAGACCAGCCTGGCCAACATGGTGAAACCCCGTCTCTACTAAAAATACAAAAATTAGCCAGCGTCATGGTGCATGCCTGTAATCCCAGCTACTCGGGAGGCTGAAGCAGGAGAATCGCTTTAACACAGGAGGCAGAAGTTGCAGTGAGCTGAGATCGTGCCACTGCACTCTAGCCTGGGTGACAGAGTGAGACTCTGTCTCAAAAACAAAACAAAACAAAAAAAGTACTAAAATCTAACACTTCTTTTTAAAAGTGAGGCTATGTATCAAATATCGTACTTTGCTTATGTTATAACAAGATTAACTACCATTTATTGAGCATTTGCTAATGCCAGGCATTGTGCTAAGCACTTTGAAAATATCACCTAACTTAACACAGTGATCCTGCAAAAAAGGTATTATTCTCTATTTTTTTAATTGATACATAATAGTTGTTCATACTTACTGTTATCTTCTACTTTTATAGCTAGGGAAATTGAGGTTCACAAAAGTTCAGTAACTTATCTGGGATCACGTATTAGTAAGCAAAATATAGCCTGTGAATCCAAAGACCATGCTTTTTTCCAGTGCTTTATTTTAAAATGATCTAATGGGTGGGAGATGACAATTACCATGTGACAAATTCCTGCAAGTGTGTGTAACCAGCTAATGCTGTAGATGGAGCTGTCATTTCCACTTAATCCCCACGTATAAAACTGACACACTGAAAACAGCTAATCAACCATCAATACTCCTCTCTCTTATTATCTACTGCTCAGTTGACTGACAAAGACGAGGTGATTTCAGGGCTTGTTTCAAAGTCCTGGGAAACACAGAATTGTGTAAGTTGCCAACCATGTATGATTGAGCCGCAGCGATTGAGGCATTTACCTGGAGGCTTCTGACATACACATATTTTGGCTCTTTCAGCCCAGAATAAGGAAAGGTGCTTGTGCCCTAGAGTGATGCAGAAGGGCAACCGTGGTGACTGGGAAGAGCCCAGAAGGGCAACCGTGGTGACTGGGAAGAGCCAGCTCTCAGAATTGGAGAGAACTGGGTTTGCCTCTCAGCTTTGTGTTTTATGCTTGGCCACTTGTCCTTTCTGAGCCTCAGGCTTCTCACTTTTAAGGTACAAATGAAGATAAATACTTCACAATATAAAAGGGAATTGAGTAAAATAGAACACATAAAAGTGCCTCACATACAGGAGGCATGTAGTAAAGTTTGTTTAAATATGGTGTGTGTACATGAAGTTTGACCTTAACTTTCTACAGTTTGAAAAGTGGAAATTTCTCTGGTTTCACCCTGTTTGTAGACGAACTCATAAACATGCTCAACACATTGGGCTTTGATGAGTAATTCATAAACATTGTCAACTTGTTCAGGGTGGCGATAGAGACAGATCAAAAGAAGCAAGCATCATGAATTTTTCATAAAGAGCAAACTGCCTTTGGAACAACTGTTTCAACTGCCTAAAGTTTAAAAAGAAGTTTGGTTCTCTCATTAACCTAATAGAACTTTAGAACTGGAACTTTTTATGCCTCCTTTTTATTATACTGTGGTGAACACAGATCATGAACCTAGTCATAGAAATAGGTACATGTCTATTCCAAAAGTTTTTACATCTAGCCAAATAGTCACTGACATGTTCAACAGATACTTATCTAGTGATTATGACGGACCAGCTAGAAACTAAAATTAAACATTGAAGACAGTCCCCATAAACAAGAATTGCACATGGGAGAGACAAACAAACCAATACAATGTGATAAATGCTATGAGAGTTTAGGCATGAGGCCCAGAGAAGGAAATTATCTGGGGATAACTTTTGGGGTAATAACACTTAATGGCAAAGAGAATAGCTATGCAAGGACCCCACAGTAGAAGACAGCATAGCATGATTGAAAACCACAAATAGTAGGAAATGGTTGGAAATGAGAGTGGAGGTAGGGCGTGGGGGACAGGTAAACAGAGGAGAGGCTACAGGTAGACCTGGATCCGCTAAGAAGGGTCTTCTGTGCCAAAGTTTTAAAAAACATTCTGAAAACAGGAAATGATAAACTAGATCTACTGAAAGAATGATAGATAACATATTCAGAGGAAAAGGGAACAGAACCAGTTTAATTTGTCACTAACTACTTTCCGGGGGTACTCTAGGCATTCAGGACAGGATTCTGGGTAATGAGATTTCAAGGTGGTAACAGACATACCCAGCCTGCTAAGGAAAGGTCCAGGGATGCCATCTAGAAATGGCATTGATTATGCACCAAAATGCCTGTGGGGCAGGCAAGAATGGTAGAAAGACTGTGTTCCAGTGAAGCAAAAGCGACAGCAAAATGATAAAGGAATAGTAAAAGTAAAGAAAGGGCTGTCCCCTTGAGATGCCCTAAATTAAATTAGAGAACAATGGAAGCACTACCATTTTGTGACCATTTTTGCACACCCCATGTGGGTCCATGAAGCAAAGATGGAAATGTGATTATGGATGCTGATCAGGTTGGCGTATCTTGAGTCTCTTTTCTTAGAGCCACGGCTTGGGACATGAATTATCTGGATAATTTCTTATGCCTTATGGAGCCAACTATATGGCAGCCCCAGGAAGAGGAGTTGGGGACCAGTTATGGTGTTGAGACTGCCAGAAATGAATAAAAAGTATGTGTATTTCAGTGTAAGAGAATAGTTAGATAAAAACAAGAAGGTCCAAAGGATGTACACCTTAGTAGTGAGTTTAGAGAAGACTGGAAGGAAAGTCTAAGTTAGCACTGAAAGATGCCTTTTTAAAAAAAATCAGATGGTTGGTTGGTTGGTATGGTAAAGTGGGCAGCTCAATGCCAATACAGGCTGGAATCTTGGAATCCCAGGACTTATGGCAAGAAGAGGAGAACATCACCCAACAGAGAACTGCTCAATGGGGTGAGATGGTAAACGGGAAGAGCCAGTCTGGCTGCTGTGGACACAAGTGATAGGACAGCCCTAGGCCAGTGTCTAAGTTATATGTAAGCACAGACATGACTCAAACAACTGTTGGTGGCAAAGGGCCCCCTCAGTGCATAAGGCATGCCAGCAAGAATCTCAGAAATGATTCAACTTGGAAGTCAGAGCAACGTGACAGAATTGTGAGATCTGCTCTTATGTGGCATGACTACTGCCAGTGGCTGGAGAGATGCTGTGTGCTTCAACTACACCTAAATTCGCCATCCTCTCTAGCTTTTGGTTTTTCATTCCTGCTATTCCTTCTGCCTGGAATCTCCTTCAACAGCACCTTATCCTTATCTTGTCAAAGAACTTTTCACACCATTATAACTACCCATTTAACATATCTGTCTACCCCACTAAATGGTATGCTCCATGAGAATGGGGCTTGGCTTTCTCGCCATTTTATCTCCAGTGTCTAGTAAATGCCCAGCACTTAGTTTCATAATAAGTACTTGTTGAATGAATGAATGAATGCAAGAGAAAAAAGCCAGAGTAGGATCAAGTCTATGAGCTGGAACTTCAGTTAATAACTAGGATTCAGTGCTCTGGTTCTAGAGAACTAGCATCTTGTTTGGGATAATCA
Organism: Homo sapiens; assembly: GCF_000001405.40. Lineage (NCBI taxonomy): Eukaryota > Metazoa > Chordata > Mammalia > Primates > Hominidae > Homo > Homo sapiens. Next base: position 107,705,139 of record NC_000011.10, read on the forward strand.
GGCAGCGTTTCAGTGGATGGAGCCAACATTGAGGGACGCAGAGTTCTGTGATGAATCAGGGTACTTGAGGTCATAGGGAAGTTTGTACATAAAGGAGACTTATGAGTCAGACTGGGATTTAGCCATAATGACTAGGACTCCTGAATGTGAAAGACATTACATAATTCCTAGCCCCACCACTAAAGTTGTTAATGGATATCCTATACCTGCAAAGATTGCTCACAATGTGGTCTAAAAATGGGCCCTCTCAGTAGATTCAGTCACAGGAAGTTAGAGAAAGAAAGGAGTGAGGATTAACAGGCAAAAAGAAATGACATAGAGTACTGCAATTGTTACCTTGATCGAAACAGGCTGATATTTTAGAATACTAAAGAATGTGAGGGTAAAACCTAAAGCATAATCCAATGGTTTGGAGATCTATAACAAAGCATGATTTGTACTCAGTTCCCCATAGAGGTTAAGATGATCCTTTTCTCATTGTGGCTTCCCCACTCACATCTGTTTAGTGAAGTCTCTGATCCTCAGTTCCCAAATCTGCTAAATGGCATGAGTTATGGAAAGTGCCCAGAACAGGGCTTCATATACGGTAGACTCAATAAATGGTACCTGTTGTCAGTGTTGGCACCATCACTCAGATTTCTGTGAAAGGCCAGATGGTCCAACATCTGAAGGGAATGTTGTGGCTCTCCCCAACACACACACACACACACACACACACACACACACACACACTTTCTCAAACACATACACAAACAGTAGGTTTTCTGCAAATAGGGGAAAGACGGCTAACCGTCTACTGAGGGCCCTAGAGCCACAAGTCTGTGAGTACATATGCTGCCTACTAAATCATTAGCAGTTGCACATCCATATGTGTAGTCTAACTGAAGTTAGGGACAACGCATTGAGGACTATATGCTGCTATTTCCCAATTTGGAGAGGAACCTCTCAAAATATAACATTTTTTCTTTAGCTATTTGAGGATTCTTAATCCTGGCTGCACATTAGTGTCACCTGGACTTCTTCGAAAAAAAGAATAACATTCAGGTTCACCCAAGGCCGAATAAATTAGAAATGGCTAGGAATGGGGCTCAAGCTTGCGTGGTTTTGCTAAGGGTCCCCCCAAGTGATTCTAATATGTTAATCCAAGGGTAGCAGTCTGGAAGGGCAGCACTGGCATCACTTAGGAGCTTGTCCAAAATGTAGGCTCTCAGGCCCCACCCCAGACTGAATCAGAATTAGAATGGAATTAGAATCTGCGTTTAAATGAGACTTCCCAGTAATTCACAATCACATCAAATTTTGAGAAGCAAGGGTTGGTATCAGTGATTCTCAATTCTGGCTACACAGTGTAATCATCTAGAAGATATTTTAAAAAGATAGATACTTGGGCTCTATCCCCTGGGATTTTTATTTAATTGGTCTGAGAAGGACCCAGCCTCAGTATTTTGAAAAATCACCCCTGGGATAATTGACTTTCTTTGAATGCAGCCAAAGGTTAAGAACTATAATGTGATGTAGTCAATGCCTCAATGACAGGTCAAATTCTTGGCAAGAAATGCCTTCATGAAGGCGGCTATGTAAGATGAGGTTTAACAACATTCCCTTTCTCCATGGTTACCTCAGCACAAATAGCAAATTTGTTCTGTCTAACATGGGGTGTTCAGGCAACACGTTTAAGAAACATCTATTTTATATGTCTTTTATAAACATATAAGTTTGCATTTTCTATTTTCCTCCTTTTAGAACTGTAGTTGATTAAAGACTAGCTCCATTTGTGTAATAACAATAATCAAAATAGACTATGCTACTCTTAGGGACATGACTCATGTTCTTGTGTTACTTAGTGTAAATAATTTTAAATATTTATATGAAAACAAACATGAAGATATTATAAGATAGAAAATACATTTCTTGTGGATTCTAAAGATAAAACACAAGACTTCAAAGAAATGTTGCACTTTTAGCCAGCAATTCAGCCTGTGCTTCAGACCCCGTAGTGGAATGGATTTATTCTCCCTCTGCCCTTCAGACTAGTTTAGGGGAAAAGTTTGAGGAGCGCTGAACCAATGGAATTACTTGAAATATGACACAGTGTGTTGACTTGGTTTCAAATCTTCAGCAGTTGGAGCATCTTGGCTTACCTCAAATGCTAGAAATACGGTAGCACTTGTCACTCCAATCCCAGCCAAGGGTCAAATGCTCTGTCACACATGGAAGCTAAAATAAGTTCTAGAAGTTGTTTTTGAAGTTGACTTAACTTTATTCACATGATAGCTATAAGGGCTGACAAAGACTTCCTCTAACATTCCTTCTGGCAGGTTGAATTAGAGTTTGGTTGCAGACCGTGTGGGTTGAAGGGATGTGTGGTGAGACAGATCAGGGGCTTGTAACAATCCTACATCATCATGAATCCAGTTTAATTTTAACTTTGTGGCTTGTCTAACACATTTTCAGTTAAGAGTTGGGGAATAAATCTACCGTTCCCTGGCAAACACTTGGCAGCCCTTGGGAGCAGCATCTTTGGAGAACACATAATCAATCCTAGCACTACAGCATAGCAGATATTGTGAGTGCAGGTCACAGGTGCCCTCGGATGGAGAATGGCATCCTGTGACAATGACAGCAGTGGGGTCTCAGGGCATAGAGCAGGCAGCTCCGGAGCATCTCAGTCAATCCCAGGACCATGGCATGGCCTCTCAGTACTGATAGGACCTCACAAGGAGCCACATAAGAATAACCGTAATCAAGACAATAGTGAAGTTGAGAAACAGCTCCCGGGTGTTTATCCCCATTTTCACAGCGGCTTGGTGAGAACTGCAGGCAGATTTCTGAGGGCACACCAAGGACCTCTGGCTTCTCCTCACCTCCTGATAAAACATAACAAAGAAAACACAAGGAGATTAATGGGCATTCCTGTATAACAATGCTCGTTCTTTCCTCAAAGGAAACAGAAGTGTTGTGGAAAAGGAGAGTGTGATGGGCTAAATTGTGTCCCCCAAAAATCTACATGTCAAAGCCCTAGCTCACAGTATCTCAGAATGTGACTGTGTTTGAAGATAGGGTCTTTTAAGAGGTAAATAAGTTAAAATTAGGTAATTAAGGAGGGCCCTAATCCAATATGACTAGTGTCTTTATCAGAAGAGATTAGGACACAGACACATGCAGAGGGGAAGACCATGTGAAAACACAAGGAGAAGATGGGCATTTACAAGCCAAAGAAAGGACTCAGAAGAAACCAACTGTGCCAACACCTTGATCTGGGACATGTAGCCTCCTGACAGTCTTTGGACTGGAGACTTCCCTAAGTCTCCAGCCTACCAGCCCACCCTGCAGATTTTGGACTTGCCAGTCTCTGCAATCGCACAAGCCAATTCCTTAAAAACAGACACCAATCCCCTCAACACAACACATTCTATTAGTTATGTTTCTCTGAAGAGCCCTAATGATTACAGAGAGAGAGCCTGATTTCTCTGCCTGATGTCATAAAGACCACCATTTTTGTCCTGACTTTTTTCCTGTGATGATCGTATTGGTGCTTTTCATAAAATGTGAAATATTACATTTTTCTTTCTCCAACTTCTGTGTGTGTTTGCGTGTGTGCGTATGCATGTGTATACTTTTCTTAAGAGTATCAATAAGCAGGGGTACCAAAACAAAAAAATTTTATGGTTTAGTATTGTTCTTGCTTTGAATTACATAGATAAGTGGGATGCCATAATCTTTCAGGCCTCAGGCTGCTGTAGGTCTTCATCTAACTCTACGGAAAGCAGAAAGTACTTTCAACAGCTGCATGGCCTCTGACAAGTCCTGCATTGGGCACATAGCCTACTGGGATCAACCAAAAGCCCCTGGCATAACAGGCATTCAGCCGAAAGAGCAAGTGTTAACTTCATGGGTACTTCGGTTTCAACAAGGGCTTGTGCCAGCTATTTTTAGTCAGGTCCAGGATGTGCCTAGATTGTAAACATTTCAAAGAGCAGGGATGGTATCTTCATAGTATGTACAGATTGTCCATACAGGAAATCATACTTTGAGAACATGTGCAATGAAGTCATCAAACTATTGTCTTCAGTGAGATGGTGTAAATTGCACATTATTTATGCAGCCTAAATGAAATTAAAGATTTATATATTTTAGATAATTCGATATCTATGTTTTAGACATTTAGGACCAAAGTCTACTGTAGAGTGAAAGTTTAGGGAGAAAGGGTATTTTGTGTGTTTGCTAAAGGTGAGAGTTCAAGAGGCTGAAAGGGTTGTTAGCAAGCTTTTGGTCTGAGTGGTATTTTTAAACTATCTAGCATGACTGAATTATTAATTGTAATTACTGTATTGATTATATTATCAATGGACCAAATTGTTAATTGCATAAATGCCAACTGAATGATCATTTTTCATATTGTGTAATTGGCATAACATACAGGTTCAGCCAGGCATGGCAGTCGGTACCTGTAGTCCTAGCTAATTGGGAAGCTGAGGTGGGAGGATCCCTTGAGCCTAGGAGTTTAAGACCAGCTTAGGCAACATAATGAGACCCTGTCTCAAAAAAAAATACAAGTTCAAATCAGATGGTGCCAACCAGTAGATATATAGCCAAATGATGACAGATTTATATTTCATCTCCCTTTTAATTATTATCCATCTTTTAGACCTCAGCATGAAGGAAATAGTAAATTGCCAATGAAAACCATTACAAATGGCTGGGCGTGGTGGCTCATGCCTCTAATCCCAGCCCTTTGGGAGGCTGGAGTGGGAGGATCACTTGAGCCTAGGAGTTCAAGACCAGCCTGGATAACACAGCAAGACCCTGTCTCTCCAAGAAAATAAAAAGGGGAAAAAATAGAAAATCTTTACAAAGATTTGCATGGAGGAGAAAGTAAACAGAATAAAATGAATGGATCAAGGAAAAAGGATTTATGAGAATGTACAAAAGAGCAGAGGAGAACAGAACGGTAATGAGTCTTGCCAAGGTGCCTGGAGGCAAAGGAATGAGAAACGAAGACAGACTCTTTCTTATAAACTTATCAATGAAATAAAACCATAGTCCAAATGTCCATCTATTTGGGTAAGTTCTCAAGAAATGCAGAGATAAGCAGAAAATATGAAGCCTGGCTTATAATGGTCAAAACAATTCAAGGAGAGCAAAACAACGGTCCCACCAAATCTGCCTATTAAATTAAGCTGTTAAGTCATGGGAATCATGGATAGTGATCCAACAGGATATACTCAGAAAATGAGAAAAATACTATTGAAAGCTGTTCCACAGCTCTGTTTGTGTTACCTTCGCAACAACTCAGGCAAGTGTTACTGCAGTTTTTATCTTTCTCAAGATTACAGCTGAGAAACTGACTTTTAGAGAGAGGAGATTAAGATGTTTGTGTAATGACAGATAACAAGTTAGAGGCAAAGCTAGAATTAGCAGACTGGAACTAGTTACTAGAATTCCTAGGAGTTATGACACAAGTGAATTGTCACTGCAATTAACTGGCCTGGCTAAACAAAGTTAGCATAAATTTTCAACCACTTTGGAAAACAATTTAGCTTTCTTAGAATTAATGTTGAAAATGTTCATTCTCTAATATCTGGCATTTCACTTCTACCTTAAGACAGTCAAGGACGTGCGTGCCAGGTTACATAAATAAAGAGTTCACAGCAATATTATCACAATAACTCCAAACTGGAAACAACTCAAATGTTTATCAACAGCAGAATGGATGATAAATTGTGGTATAGTTATACATTTGAATTTCATAAAGCAAAGAAAATATATGAACTATAGCTACACAGAAAATGGGTAGATCTCACAAATATAATTGTTGGGTGAAAGAAGAATTTACAAAAGAAACAGAGAATATGACTCCATTTATATGATGTCAAAAATAGGGAGGTTAATCATATTGTTTAGGCATGCAGACATAGATGGTCAAATTATAAAGAATAACAGGGACAAGAGGATCCCAACATCTTGGGGCAGAATGGGGGTTGATCAAGAATGGGCTTCTGGGTGCTGGCAATGATCTGTTTCTTGACCTGGATGATAATTATAGAAGTGTTGCCTTTCAGTTATTGTTTAAACTGTGTATGTTTATGCACTCTTAACTTTTTTTTTTTCAGTCATTTCTGAATTAGCAGGCTACCCATCACACTTCTTTCTTTCTTGGGATTTACCTCTTACTACTTCTTGCACTTTAATGGTGACCTTGAATATTTGTTGTTTTATGTGATTTTAGATGAATAAAACATGAAGAGTTAAGGTGAGAATTTCTAGTGAATTCAATTCAATCAACACATATGCTAACTGTAAGGTGTGGTGTGAACATTCCTTTCACACACATTTATACACTTTAGGAAGAATGAACCAGTTAGGCAGAAATTCAGATCAGCCAAGTTCCATTTTTCTGCTTTTAACCAATAAAGACACTTTGGGTTTCATTTTAAACATTCCCTGAAGTCAAGGTCATGCCATATGATCCAGTGATTGCAAATGGATGAACTAAAACCCAAAAAGCTCTGAATAAATTGTGCAGGAAGTTTGACATTGGCTTTCTTTGAATGGAGACTTAGAGAAGATAGAAAAAAGACCATCTTCCATAATACAAGAAAGAAAAAAAATTTTTTTTTACTAGGAAGGGAGAAAATGCATACCCTTAGGAGAAAAAAAAAGGAAAACAGAAAGCAATAGTACTCACTTTATATCTTAAGGCATGCTGTATCCAAGGGGCATTGCCTATTTCATTAAGAAATGCAAACATTCCTCTGCCTTTCTCATTTGCAGCTTGTACACACACACACACCGTATGCTAAGCATAAAAATCCTGCAGTTACCTGAAGAGGATCAAAGACACACCCTGGCTATGGCAGGTTTCTCCTCGCTGTCTCCAACTTGAGCTCCAACTCCTTCTCCCCTCCCAGGCTGTCTGGACTCCTGGACTCTGGGCAGCGCCTAAAGTAGTCCGTGGAAGCTGGCAATCACTGTGATGTCACTGATGAAACATCTCAAAGGAACACCCTCCGAAGGTTCGAGGCTATTTGTGTTCGGGGGACATGGAAATATGTTGACTAAGACTTTGTTCCTTTGGCTGCCAATTTGCCACCACCAGGATTTAAAAACCTTCTGTTTCCAGTTGACTTTTAGTGCAATTGATGTGGGTTTTAAATGTGTCTTTTACATCTTCATGAATAACTTTAACATGTCTTTAAAACATCATAAACCAAGAATGATAGACTAATTTTAACCAATCGATGCTGCATTTGACTGCTCTCCCTAGTCAGCCTGTGAGGTGTAAAAATGTGACTTCATTTTACCACCCATATCTTTAGTTATTTGAAATGTGAAGAGTTTGCTGCCTTACACCCACACATATGCACACCCATACACACACACACACACTCCAGAATTCAATAGGCATCTTTAGCTCTTTCAAAACTGACTTTAGTCCAAGCAGTGAAAGCTATCCCCTCCGTCACCTGCTCCACGTAACTTTCCAGCTAAGCTGTGCATTGCAAGTTTACACGTGGATCTACAGTTTCATCTGAAACAGCCGAGGAAGTCATGGTTTGTATATCTCTGGCAATAAATTAATAGAGCAGTAAACTCACACAGTTCAACTCAGTTATTTGGATAGATTGGGAGTGGAAGGAGAACTGGGTAAAATTAGTGAAAAATGTGAATTATAGAATATATCTGAAAGAAAGAAAAGTATTATATAACTTTCTAATATGAACACTAACTAAAATTAGACTAAGATGAGTTTGTAACCAATGTATCACATGTTTGGAGCCCCTGAAGTGTTAAATTAGACTTGAAAGCAGATCAATTAAGTACTTTAAACATGACCCTAGCAATTGTGTTTGCTCAGCAGATCCTTTCTTTATAGATAATAGAGGAAATCTCCCCCTCTGAATTCCCAATTAGGGTCAATCAAAATAATGCATTCCCAAAAGGCATAAACAAACAAAATTCTCTATGCAGTTATGCTCATAGTCAAACCTTTCCCTCCATTCCTCATACCCCAGAGACATTACCAAAACAAGACTTTCCATTTCATTTCCTCATTTTAACATAAGCTTAGCAACGGGTAATCTTAATACAACATTCTGTCACCACTTGTCTTGTGAAAAGAGCGCTTGCTGAAGTGACAGAGAGTGTATAATAATTATAGTGCAACCGAACATTGGCAGTTATCTGTTGCCATCTGGCAAACTCCTTGAATGTAATCAGAGTTCTGTCTTCTGCCTCCAAGCTCTCACTAGATTGTTTCCCAGGCTGGGAATGTTTTTCTAGTTACCAAGCCACACCTGTCCCTTTTTGTAACCACTCAAAATTATTTTTTGTCAAATTAAAAAAGTTATATATTTATTGTAGGACATGTGAAAATATATTAAAGTATTTAAAACTTTTAAATTACTTTTAATCTCACCACCCAAAGGGGAAAAAAACAAAACTTTACTTTACTTTTTTTTTCTTTTGAGATGGAGTTTTGCTCTTGTCACCCAGGCTGGAGTGCAGTGGCGTGATCTCAGCTCACTGCAACCTCCGCCTCCCGGGTTCGAGCGATTCTCCTGCCTCAGCCTCCTGGGTAGCTGGGATTACAGGCATGCACCACTATGCCTGGCTAATTTTTGTATTTTTAGTAGAGATGGGGCTTCACCATGTTGGCCAGGCTGGCCTTGAGCTTCTGACCTCAGGTGATCCAACCGCCTCAGCCTCCCAAAGTGCTAGGATTATAGGTGTGAGCCACCGGGTGCCCGGCCTACATTACTTTTTATTCATCCGTTTGAGGCTGCATAGGCACAATCTCAAATTCCCAGGATATTTTTGGTAAAAGAATCTGAAACTTGAAAACCTTTTTTCTTAATTCATTTGGAATCAAATTATTTGTAGTATATCATGTGTTGATATTAGGTTTATGGGATAAGCATTTATTTTGTACATCTCAGATTATGAATTAGCTCTACAATATTTAAAATGTTAAATACAATAGCGAAATGTTAACGTATCACCAAAAGAGCTCTCCAATGTTGTCATTTTGTTGAATTGGTCAATTTCAAAGTAACTTAGAAGAAAAATTCTACTTCTTATTTGACCGAATTGATGGGTTAGTCTGGTTTGCCTCATTTAAGCATGTCTAAGCTGCACCAAGGACTACTGTGCCCAGTGCATTGACAAATTCCCAGACTTCAGACGCTTCTGAAAATTAGTGGTTTCTTCTGTAATGTCAAGAGATTGGGATTACACTTGGAATGTAGTTATCACTAGTTTAGCTTTACCCTCTCCAGAAACACATGCAAGCCGCCCCAAATCACCTGACAACTACTCAAAGGCATAAGGAGGGTTTAACCCTCAGGATCTGCAGGTTTGCTTAAAAAAAAAAAAAAAATCTTGTTTCCTGCAAGGAGCCAAAATAAAATAAAAATAAACTCAACATTATTTTACAAAATCAACATTATTTTTTCTCATTTAAGAAGTTGAGAATTCCAACATTTCAGACCTTAGTACCAAAGCAAATTCATCCTTTGCAATTAACGTTACTTAACTCTGCTAATACTTTCCTTCCTGAGAGCAATTGCCATGACTTAGCAGCATTCATTTCATATCAACTTTCTTTCAAGGTACTTCTCTGCCCATTGGCAGGACGACATTCTAAATAAACTTTGAAATTATTTCTCTGCCTACTAATCTAGAACTTAGCCAACGGCCAAAAATGTTAAGAAAACAACATTCACATTGACGCTGGCACTGAATCTCTAATTGGTATCTCCCCACCACCATCACCATATACATTCTCAGGTGTGAAAATGACATCCTTTGAGAATCAGTGCTGAGCTCTTGTGCCTGATCGGTTGCTAAACTAGCTCGTTTCATGTACTCCCCTCGTCCACCCGCCTTTTTACCCTGAGAACTGAAAAGTGAAGACCTATGTCAGTCCTAGAATTCTGCAAGTCTGCAACATGATGAGAGAAGTCACCAAGGCCTTGATGAAGGTGATAAGCTCTCAGCACTTCACAGTATCGAGCATGATCGTCTCAGTGGCCTTCTCACTTTGCCATCTTCACATCCAGCTGGTCATGGAGCTGGGAGAAAGAGAGCAACAGCTTTCTGCTATTCTCCCTCACTTTCCCAAACACATGAGTGAGCGCATGCCCAGAGAGAAATGAAAACCCTACTTCTTGAAGTTTTCTCCACGTCACTATTGCCACAGTCATCAAATAAGCCCTGCCTTTCTGGCCACGGGGAAAGCCCATGTAAAAGTCATGAAGAAACTTAAGTGGCCACTGGCAGGTCGACACAATACTGCTAATTCAAACACTTTAGCCCAAGCCATCTGCGGGAAAGTGGAAAGCAAATGGACCTTGAAGTGACAAAGGCCTGTGTTCGTATTCTAAATTTTCCACTTACTGAGTAACATTAAAAAAATGATCATCTATCCTTTCTGGGCCTCAGTGTCCCCATCTATAATATGGGAATACTAATAACCCTCAAAGATCTGTGATCAAGATCCAATTGATAATGTACGTAAAATCAACTTGTTCCTTTCCATCACTAAGATTTGGTACTACACCGATGTGTGTAAAGCCAAGCATAGAGCCTGCCTGGTCATAAGTTAAACCATGCTAGTTGTTTGAGGTTTTTTTCAATCCTAATCATTAAAAGTAAATAAATAAATGACAAGGAGGAACTCCTTTCTCTTGGACAAGTACAAAGCTTCTCTTTTCATTTATGACCAAAGGAGAATGGGCTGAGTGTCACTTCGTGTAAAAATCCTGTGAAACATGCACTAATATAAGGACTGACTTGAGCCCAGGCAGTGAATGGAGGGCATGGAGTTGAAGAAAGCTTGGCCTCCTTGACTCTGTCTCTCTCCTGCCACCTGTGTGTCTCTCAGATGCTGCCCAGGTACTGCCACTACAGAGCCGAGGGGATGTACATCAGAAGGCCAAGTCATCACCTTTGCCATTACTTCTGCAATTGTTCAACTGGTATCAAGTGAACACTACTAAATACACAGCATTGTTCTAGTCACACAAGAAATAATAATGACACAGAGTAGGGCTACTGCCCCCCAAAAGAAGAAGATTAAGAAAAGTAGACACTATTTGCAGTCCATCAACAGATGAATGGATAAAGAAAATGTCATCTATATACACAATGGAATACTATTCAGCCTTAAAAAAGAAGGAAAATATTGGAGAACATGATGCTAAGGGAAATAAGCCAGACACGACAAATACTGCATGTTCTTACTTATATGCGGAATCTGAAACAATCAAACTCATAGAAGCAGAGTAGAATGGTGGTTACAGAGGCTGGGGAATGGGGTGAATGGGGAGATGATGGTCAAAGGATACAAGGTCTCAGGAAGAACAAATATATTTTAGGCCTATTGCACAGGATGGTGAATATAGTTAATAACGGTGTATTGTACATTTCAAAACCGCTAACAGTAAATTCCATTGTTCTCACCATGAAAAATGATAAGTATTTGATGTAATGGATATGTCAATTAGCTTGATTTAATTATTCCACATTTGGTAGCCTATAAATATCTACAACCACCAATTGTCAATTTACAATAAAATTTGAATTTTTTTTTTAAAAAGGGGCAGCTGGCCGCAGTGTCTCACGCCTGTAATCCCAGCACTTTGAGAGGCCAAGGCGGGTGGAACACTTAAGGTCAGGAGTTCAAGACCAGCCTGCCCAACATGATGAAACCCCATCTCTACTAAAACAAAAATTAGCCGGGTGTGGTGGCATGTGCCAGTAGTCCCAGCTACTGGGGAGGCTGAGGCAGGAGAATTGCTTGAACCTGGGAGGCAGAGGTTTCAGTGAGCTGAGATTGCACCACTGAACTCCAGCCTGGGTGACATAGCAACACTCCATCTCAAAAAAATAAAAAGAAAGGGACAAAAAAAATTAGAATACAAGACAGTGTGAGAGAGGTGGCATCAGAATGACGTCAGGAAAGATGATAGGAGTACCTGGGTGAGATTAAAAGAGAGCAGAGCAACTTCTTACAAAGCATAGAGAGTGGTACTGAAGATGAAGCAGACTCATAAATGATCAACTAGAAGACTTGAGTTGAGCCTCAAAAAGAGAAAAAAAGCTACTTAGGGCTAAAATAATAATAATAACCACAACAATGTCAAGTAGCACTTACTAAACATGAATCACCTTATTTAATTCCTTCAACAATCCTGTGAGGTGGGTACAACATTCCTATCCCATGGAGGAGAAAACTCGGGCCCAGAGAGGCTGTGCCTTGATAAGTCGAAGAGTGCCTAAGTGACAGAACTGAGATTTAAAGCTTTTGGACCCAGCCCTGAGCTCTAACCACTACACGATAGTGCATTCAGGACAACTATGAAAGCATCCTCTAGCCCAGGAGCCTCCACCTCCTTTTGACTGTGCACTTTATTGATAAAAAATTTTACCATGATCACTGACAGAAAATGTATGTATTTTTAATAGATTATATGCAGGTGCTACTATACTAATTTATTGTGCATATTTTACAGCACACTAATAAACATTTTAAAATATGAGGCCAGGTGCAGTGGCTCAGACCGGTAATCCCAGCACTTTGGGAGGCTGAGGCGGGTGGATCACTTGAGATCAAGAGTTTGAGACCAGTCTGGCCAACATGGCGAAACCCCATCTCTACTCAAAATACAAAAATTAGCTGGGCATAGTGGCAGGTGCCTGTGATCCCAGCTACTCAGGAGGCTGAGGCACGAGAATTGCTTGAACCCGGGAGGCGGAGGTTGCAGTGAACCAAGACTGCACCACTGCACTCCAGCCAGGGGGACAGAGCAAGACTCCATCTAAAAAATAAATAGATAAATAAATAAATAAAATATGAGGCACAAAGCAAGAGAAAGTAAAAGTCTACTTTGTTTGTTTTTCCCCATCAGGAGACTACTTTTCCCCCATTTGGAGACCTCTGCAATACTCTATGGCACCTAAAAAAGAATGCCATAAAATTTAGCTTTTGGTTATACATTGAATACTGGAAGGTGAACAATAAATCCTTGTTGAAAATATAAATGATTATTACCTCTGTCATTACCCACTTGTGACAACTGTGATTTTTGTCTCACTAACTGAATTTAAACTTCAAAGTCACAATTGCTTGTATTTCTTTTGTTTCTCTAACTGTGCCCTGAACCAGTGAAGAAGCAGAGTAGATGCTCCAAAATGCATAGCATTGATGCATTTTGAATGATGCATTTTGAGTGATGGAGGTTGAGCCTCCATCACTTCACATCCCTGCTGATGTCCAGGTATGTCTGAGCATGGTAAAAGTCAGTGGGGAAGTCAAGGTCAACATCAAAGCTACTCATACATGGACCTCAAAGCCTCCCAGGAGAAACTCCTCTGAAGGGAAGTGAACCAAGAAGATACACATAGGGCCAGGTGTGGTGGCTCACACCTGTAATCCTGGCACTTTGGGAGGCCAAGGCAGGCAGATCATCTAAGGTCAGCAGTTCAAGACCAGCCTGGTCAGTATGGTGAAACCCCAACTCTACTAAAAATACAAAAAAAAAAAAAATCAGCCAGGCGTGATGGTGCACACCTGTGGTCCCAGCTACTTGAGAGGCTGAGGCAGGAGAATCGCTTGAACCCAGGAGGCAGAGGTTGCAGTGAGCCAAGGTGGTGCCACTGCACTCCAGCCTGGGCAACAGAGCGAGACTCGTCCCAAAAAAAAAAAAAAGATACACAAGGGTCAGCAACAGGGAGAACAGACAATGCTTCCATACCAGGGAACACACATTCCCTGTGTTAGTTCAGTCCCATGAGAAGCAGATGCCAAGATGACACTAAGTGTGCAAAAGTAAAGCATATTAGGGGGAATGACTCTGAGAGAAAATAGAAGGAAGTGGGGAAACTGAGCTAGTCATCAAATAGCAATCCAGGTCTGACCCCAAGAGGAGAGAGGGCCAGGGGACAAGAAGACTGGATGGCAGCATCTTAGACTGCAATGCTAGGGAAAGTCTGACAGGGCCATCAGGAAACCTCAAGTCAAAATCTCCTGTTACAGGTGCCCTGTGTCTCCCAGGGATAAGTCAGCCCTAGTGTTCCTCTCATGCTCAGTCATCTACTGGGAGCAGCCTGTGGGAAGCCGGCCTCTGTGTAAACGTGATTGTGATTTCAGAGCACAGCAGCTGGTCCCACCCCCATTATGGTGCAGTCAGTTCTGAGAGGCGCATTCTCATAGCTTTCACACTCACATTCTGCCCATTCTACTTCCCTAGAGCCTGGCCTGGTAGGGGAGAGGGCTATGGGCAAAAACTCCATAACTCTTTACTCTTTAACAATTAACCTCAACAGCATGTAGCACTGAAAGGGAGAGAGAGTTTCTCCCTGAAAGTGTCATGTCGCAGACCTCAGCATATCCACGGAACCAGTGGTGTAATGTCCTTCAATAGAAGTGTCACGGAGCCTGGCAGAAGCAGCAAGACTGTCCAATAATCACTTACCTGCCGTTTATATTAATCTCTGCAGGCCTCAGCAGCAGACAGCAGCAGAGAAGTGCCAGAGCTCAAGAGCAAGAAAATGACAGACCGTATGTGATACCTGACAGTACTTGTTCATGAGCACACGTGAGCCACCCCCAAAGTTGCTGGAAATAATCAGGAGGAACATCATAGTGGTATGCAGTCTTGCATAACAGGTGGGAAAAAGAGCCAAAAAAAATATGTGTTACTCCTATTTATAATAACCCATCTTAAGTCCTGGATTGGTGAGGTGACGCCTGTTAGCATCATTTGACTTGGAACCAATTAAACTCCTCTTCTCTGGAACAAGTATATTTCTGTTCTATAATAAGATTCTGTAAACAAATGGCTTTCTCTCAGCACATTAAACATAGTTACCAGGGGGAAAAAAGAAAAGAAGCAGCCAAAAATATGTTTACTACTGGGCTAATACCATCTGCCCTCAGAACACTTCCAGATTTCAGATTGGCTTTGTTATTTTTTGGACGGGGAAATAAGAATTCAGCAGTCTGTTGATGTGCTGTTACTGAACTGTCCAGGGAGATTCTAGCCAGACACGCCCACTTGAAATATGCTGTTCCTTTGTGAATCTGATCAAGGGTATTTTCACTGAATCTCTTCTGGGAATCTGTCAGTCAGAATAACACAATTGCAGTTACAGCAAGAATAATAAGGATTAGATAAAATTGCTTGTTGTTCTCTGTGAAGAAGTTCATTTGGCTTTAGCTTTTGGCTATTAAAGCAGAGAGAACAGAGTCCTGAAGAATCATGAAAATCTATCTCTGCTCTCTGTATGAGTAATGAGAAAACTGAACTCCCTGTTTGGAGCAATGTGGAAGAAGATTAGCTGGATGCAAGCTCCAGGCTAGGTTTTCTTTTGGATTAGGGATGTGCTATCTCAGAAGGCAATCAGGCACATGTTCGACAGGCTGGGGAGTAACCTAACCTTTTACACTTTTACAGTGAGAGAGAATGTGGAGTTGCCAGGGGCTAGTGTTCTCGGAATTTGGGCAGCTTATCTTGGAGAAGTGGTTCAGGGCTACTGTATGTAGCTTGCATTTCACTGGTTCTTACCCCATTTGGCAGTGTAGAACAGAAAACCAAATATACACATCCCTCAGGCCACCACTATATCTGTGTCATCACGGGGGTATACCTCTTGTACAACAAAAGTCCAATCAAGTCAGACACGATGGTGTGTGCCTGTAATCTCAGCTATTCCGAAGGCTGAGGCAGGAGGGTCTCTTGAGCCCAGGAGTTCAAGGCCAGCCTGAGCAACATAGCAAAACCCTATCTCTTAAAAAAAAAAAAAAAAAAGTCAAGGGCTGGGCACGGTGGCTCATGCCTGTAATCCCAGCACTTTGGGAGGCCAAGGCAGGTGGATCATCTGACGTCAGTAGCTCGAGACCAGCCTGGCCAACATGGTGAAACCTTGTCCCTACTAAAAATACAAGAAATTAGCTGGGCGTTGTGGTGGACACCTGTAATCCCAGCTACTTGGCAGGCTGAGGCAGGAGAATCGCTTGAACCTGGGAGGCAGAGGTTGCAGTGAGCTGAGATCATGCCATTGCACTCCAGCCTGGGCAAAAAGAGTGAAACTCCATCTCCAAAAAAAAAAAGAAAAAGAAAAGAAAAGAAAAATCCAATCAGCAAACACTTTCTTCCCTTCCTCCTATTCTATTCCTTTTTTAATTAGATGTTGACAGCATTCATCAGGCATTTACAGTCAACCCTTTAGTCCTACCACACCGGCTGAGAACCAACACATACACCAGACATTCATCCCTGCCACTTCCTCTATGGACAATCACATCTGCCAAGCACCACCACTGCTTGCCTTGGGCATTGTCCACTACTACAAGGAAGGAGCCCTTTCTCTGCAGCCATCTATGCTGGATCCCAAAGCTTTTAACCACTGGAGGTACGAAAGTACACTTACTTCTGGAGCAAAATTGGGGTAGGTGTGGAGAAGTGTGTCTCTTTCTGTGTGTTACAACCTGTTGAGGAATACTGTATTAGTCAGGGTTCTCCAGAGAGAGAACCAGTAGGATATATTCAGACATCTAAGAGGATATTTATTATGGGAATTGGCTCACATGATTATGGAGCCTAAGACCCACAGTATGTCATCTGCAAGCTGGAGAACCAGAAAAGCCAGTGGTATAATTCAGTCTGAGTCTGAAGGTCTGAGAACCAGGAGAACCAAGGGTGTAAGTCCCAGAGTTCAAAGGCCCAAGAACCAGGAGCACCAATGTCCAAGGGCAGGAGAAGATGGGGGTTCCAGACCAAGAAAAGAGAGAATTTACTCTTCCTCTGCCTTTTTGTTCTATTTGGGTCCTCAATGAATTGGATGCTGCCCACCCACACTGGTGAGAGCAGTCTTCTTAGTCCCTGATTAAATGCTAATCTCTTCCAGAAACACCCTCACAGGCATACCCATAAATGATGTTTAATCTGGGCACCTCTTGGCCCAGTCAAGTTGACGCATTAAATTCACCATCACAAGTACTAAAGGAATACTATCTTGCTCTCACTCCAGTGTCTGCACAGACATGAGTTCATGCAGAAGTTCAGCCAGGGAATACATAGAAGTAATAGGCATCACCCTTCTTCTCTTAGTATGAATTCTCCTCAGGAGGTGCCTAAATTCCCAGAGCAAATCAACTTCCATCACACCTGCTCCATTTGCACGTGAGACATGCACTGACAAATCTTGGACTTGAGACACTCCAGAGTCTCCTTGTTTGTATATGCTTTCCTCTTAATTAGAGCATCTTTCTTTCTTCCCTCAATGGCTCCTACCCTTATTTGATGATTAACAATAGTACTTAATTCAAGGGCCACATCCCCTGATCCTCTAAGCTAGGATGGATGAACCTCTGAGATCTACCTAGCCCTAAACACTACTGATTTCACCATATAGTTAGCAATGACTTTCTTATTCATCTCCTCTCCTATGAATAGGGATTGTATCACTCACCTCTGTAGACTTAGTGCTAGCTATGTAGTGTACAATATGTAGTAGGCACTCCATAAAAGTGTTAAATAAATATATGCATAAACATAAAGTGGTTCATTAATAACTGTTCAACTCTGAAGAGTTACAGCAAATAAATGTTTTCAAAATAAAATGCTCTAATCTTTCATCAGTTTATGCTCAGAAAAGATGGAGATGTTTACAAGAGCTGTAGTAACTTGAACTACTCAGAATTTCTTGATCTAAAAATAGTACATGCTAGGCTTCCTACCACTGAGCAAGTCTGACAGCTGTTCATTAGGTTGGCACATATTAATAATATGCTTTAAAGAGATGGTTTTGTCTTCTGTTGAAGTTGAACAGCAAACTATGATTTGCTGTAGATTTTTTTGAAAAAATGTAAAAATTTACTAAAGTAAAAAATAACAAGTGTTTCTGTCACATGAAATTAACAGTTCTTAATGTCTTTGTCATATTGCTTCATGTCTTTTTAAATAAAAGCATTAAAATATTATAAATCAAGCTGAGATCTCATTGAACCACCCTTCCCATGTCTATCTTCCTTCTCACCTTCCCAGATAAAACAGCTGATATGAGTTTGGGGCATAATCCAAGTTCCTATGATTGATTCTTTTAGATCTAGCATCCAGATTACTTTAATTTGATAAGTAGGTTTCCCTCTTTCTTTTTTCTCTGAAACAGTGTGTGTAAAATAGGTACAGTTGACCCTTGAACAATAAGGGGGTGAGGAGCACCAAGCACCTGCACAGTTGAAAAATTACCTATAACTTCTGAGTTCCCCAGAACTTAAGTACTAACAGCCTTACCCATAACTGCCATACCTATACCTTACCCATAACTACCATACCCATACTTTACCCGTACTATCAGAAGCCTTACCCACAACATAAACAGTCTGTTGTATAAACAAATTAACACATATTTTGTATGTTTTATGTATTACATACTGTATTCTTATAATAAAGTAAGCTAGGAAAAAGAAAATGTATTTAAAAATCATAAGAAAGAGAAAATATATTTACTATTCATTAAGTAGAAGTGGGTCATCATAAAGGTCTTCCTCCTTTTCATCTTCACATTGAGTAGGCTGAGAAGGAGGAGGATGAAGAGAGGCTGGTCTTGCTGTCTCAGGAGTGGCAGAGGTGGAAGAAAAGTCACATACAAGTGAACATGAGTTCAAACTCATGTTCTTCAAGGATTAACTGTATTATCTATACTTTTTCTTTTGAAGGTTTGCTACAAGTAGCCCATTAAACTATGAGCCTGGTGACCTTTTTGGAGTGTCAGAGGAGATTTTTGACAACCAATTTCATGATTTTTTTATGGTTATAGGTTCTGTTTATTAGGTTTTCTATTTATTCTTGAGTCAATTCTGGCAATTTATTATATTATTAGAAAAATTTCCATTTAATTTTTTTGTAATTTTATTAATATCACTTTTCATTGTATTCTTCTAGACTTTCAATTTTTCTCTTACCTATTTTATGCTCCCTCATTTTAAAACTTTTTATAATAAAACTTCTCAACACACACAAGTAGAAGAAATAATATAATGAACCCTAAGTTTCAACAATTAATAAAATTTTGCCTATATTTTTACACTTATTCTTATTCCCCTCACTTTTCTTTTCTTTTTCTTTCTCTTTCTTTTTATCTTCCTTTCTTTCTTTCTGTCATTATTTCTTCTGGAGTATTTCTGTGGAAATCCCAGAAATAATGATCATTTCATATGCATCTTTAACTGATAACTTTTTTTAACAGAACCACGATACCATTATCATATCTAACAAAATTAACAATAATTCCTGAATTCTATTTAGTAGCCAATCTATATTAAAGTTTCCCTGATTGTCTCAAAAATGTCTTTTTACAGTTGTCCAAATTAGGATCCAAAGTCCATGTGGTATATTTGGTTAATAAATCTTTATTTTCTAACAGTTTCCTCTCTTTTTTATGATATTTCTTCGTCAGATAAATATGCCTCTATCCTGTATGATGTCCACATTCTGAATTGGAGGCACTGCTTCCCTGTGATGTTATTTAACTTGCTCCTCTATCTTCTGTAGTTTCCACGAAATGCTAGTTAGACCTAAGTTCATCTAAACTGGTGATTAGATTCCGGCTCAATTTTTTTTTTTTTTTTAGCAAGAATACTTCATAGTTGGTGCTGCATACTTCTTATTACAGAGGATTGTGAGGCAGGTAATGTCTGGCTTTCCAAGTTATAGTGTTGCTAAGACTGATCAGCAAGTTCTGATAGTTTTAGAAGCTTTTAATAATTGTTGCCTTGATCTATTATTTAGTGGGAATTGCAAACAGGTGATATTAATTCTATCTACAGATGTAATATATCTACATATATTCACAGAAATTCTTCCCTACAGCACTTCCCTTCATCAAATCTATTTGATTATCCCAAAAATATAGTTCGGATAGGAAGGCAGGATAAATGCTTTATTCTTCCCCTTTGCATACCAATTTTCATATTAATGAGTTGATGCCCTATTAACTTCCAGTGGTTACCAATGAGGATTTCTTAATACCTTTATGAACTAGAGGATTTTTATTACTGATGTTTCAATCAATAACCACTGATCAATTCTTTCTGCTGTTCAAATTTGTTCCATCTTAGGCCAGTGGCACCTTAAAAATGGTTTTTATGTCCTCCTTTTGAAATGACTCCTTCCAGAAATCATCCATTTTGCAAAGGACCCCTGATTCCTTTCATTGAGAAATGGTATTTGGAGAGTACCATCTGGATACTAGGGGTGGTTGTTGCTACTGGATTGTCATTGTTTGTAAGTCTTTTTGTTCCTAATATTATTTCGTGTTCCTTTCTTTTTTGTTTCCTTAAATGAGTCTTCCTGTTTATTTTTATTTTTATTTATTTTATTTTATTTATTTTTTGTTTTTTGAGACGAAGTCTCGCACTGTTGCCCAGGCTGGAGCACAGTGGCATGATCTCAGCTCACTGCAACCTCCATCTCCCAGGTTCAAGCGATTCTCCTGCCTCAGCCTCCCAAGTAGCTGGTATTACAGGCACCTGCCCCAACGCCCGGCTAATTTTTTGTATTTTTAGTAGAGACAAGGTTTCACCATGTTGGCCAGACTGGTCTCGAACTCCTGACCTCAGGTGACCCACCAGACTCGGTCTCCCTAAGTGCTGGGATTACAAGCGTGAGCCACTGCACCCGGCCAAGTCTTGCTGTTTATTAATTTGTTTTCTATTTAATTAATTTCTCTTTTTACATTTATCGTTTACTTCCTTCTATTTTCTTTGGGTTTATTCTTTGTCCTGTTTCTAGCTTCTTTATTTAAATGCCTAGAGTTTTTTCTTTCTTTTCCAAGTATATGCGCTTGAGGTTATAAATTTCCTACATTCTAAGTTAGCTGCTGTCAGTATGTTTCAGCACTCTTGGTATGTCACCTTTAAGTGTTATATCTTTTTCATTTGGACTTCCTTTTTAATCACAAATTATTTACAAGGGAGTATTTTTGGCCTGTTTTGGTTTTATTTCAAATATATAAATATTTTGGTTCTTTTTTACTATTTAGGTCTAATTTACTCATTTGCCAAGAATGTGTTCTAATGGTATGAATTCTTATAGTTTTATGAAACTGTATTTGGGGTATAATATGGAATAAATTCATGTAAATCTTCTCTGTACTTGAAAAGAATGTGTATTCTCTGATTATCAAAACTAAGATTTAGTGCATATCCATTACAGCAAACTTGCTATTCGTATTTCTCAAATCTCCAATACCTTTACTAATTTTTATCTGCTTGATTGAGCTATTTCTGTGCAAGAAATTCTTTGGTATTAAACTCTACCAAAGTAACTGGATTTATATGTTTTCCTTGTAATTTGGAATATTTTAATTTATATTTTTGAGCCTTTCTTGTTATATTTCCACATTTCTGATGAGCTTTTTTCTGATTTAAGAATATTTTTTCTTGTTATTCAATATTTTTCATTGTATTCTGTATTATCTTGTTTAAATAATGTTGTACTAGCTGTCTTTTGATTGATATTCACCCGATAATTTTTAAATCTCTTTATTTTTGACATTTCTATATAGTTTACTTTCATAAGTATCTCTGTAAGTTGCACATATGTAAATTTTTAAGATTCAATCTTAGTGTTTATATTCAAATGAGTAGGTTCAACCTATTAGTATTTATTGGATTGTTCTGAAACATTTCTAACATCTTATTTTGCTTTTTCTATTTGCCAGATTGTTCTTCCTTTTCTTTGCTGTCTGGTCTCATAAAGTTGGTTTTGTTGTTATTGTTGTTTGTTTGATTTGTCTTTCCATTTTTTCCCCTCCTTTGAGTCTATATAGAAGCTATATATTCTATGTTTTTTGAAAGATTGTCGTTATTTAATCAACACTTATATATTGAGATATTTTCTGAAAGTATTGTTACACCCAGGAGTCTCGCATTCTACTTCTACCGAGTTCACTTTTGTTCTTGCCAAAGTTCATCTTTTAATAATTCTTTCATTAAGAGTCTGTAGTAAGCCTTTTTAGTCCTCATATACTTGAATATGTGCTTTCTTCAGACTTCTCTCTTCACTGATATTTTTTCTGACTATTAAATTTCATTCACACTTATTTCCCCTCGCTACTTTGAAGCAATGACTCCATTGTTCTCTGGCTTCCGTTTGTGTGGCGGAGAAGTCTACTGTTGATCTGATTGATGTATTGTTGCAGATGATCTGTCCTTTCTTGCTAGTGACTTCTAAGACTTTAACTTATTTGTAGGGCTTTGTATCTCATTCTATCTCTCGTCCATATTTCCCAAATTCTCTTTCATTTTCCACATCTTTATTTATCTCTACATCCCTAGAAATTTCTTCTGTTCTATCTTCTAATTCGTTTTCTCTTTGACTCTTTTAAAATTACTATTTAGCCCACCCATTATATTTTTAAATTTTGTAACTATATTTTATTTTCAAGATTTCCAATAGTTTCTTTTCATATCTTCCTCTTCTGCTTTCATAAATACTTAGTCTTGTTTTATGGATAACAACTTTGCTTTGGAGGGGCTTTTCTTGCAGAGGGGTTGACAATTTTAAACTTCATGTCCTCCTTTTTTTTTTATTTTTGGGGAGGTTGACAGTTTTAAACTTCACGCCCCTTTCAGATTATTCTGTTAGCCCTCTTTCCTTGGCTGTGAATTTTCTTATTTATAGGTTCTATTGACTATTTTTCATAACACTGAGCTTCCTTGTATTCTTTTGGTTTGAGTTCATCCTCAGTAAAGGGTTTCTCCTATATTTTGCCTCACCAGTTATCTGGCCTCAAACCAAGTCATACACTAATCTTGCCTTTGGATTCCCACCTATTCAGGCAGCCCAGTTACAATCATGTATATTATACAAACTCAAATTCCAGTCTCATGCAGAAATGTCTGTTTCAGCTACCAGGCTTGAACAGAAGTATTAGGTCGGTGCAAAAGTAATTGCAGTTTTTGCAATTAAAAGTAATTGGTTTTTGCAATTAAAAGTAATAGGTTGGCCGGGCATGGTGGTTCACGCCTGTAATCCCAGCACTTTGGGAGGCCAAGGTGGGTAGATCACTTGAGGTCTGGAGTTCAAGACCAGCCCAGCCAACATTTCTTCTAAAAAAAAAATAAAAATAAAAAAAGCCAGGCATGGTGGCAGGCACCTGTAATCTCAGCTACTTGGGAGGTCGAGGCAGGATAATCGCTTGAACCCGGGAGGTGGAGGTTGCAGTGAGCCGAGATAGTATCACTGCCTTCCAGCCTAGGCAACAGAGTGAGACTCCATCTCAAAAAAAAAGAAAAAAAAAAGTAATAGGTTTCCAATGATAGGTGAATTTATTTCAGATTTATTTCAGTTGCCTTTTTTTTTTTTTTTTTTTTTTGAGATGGAGTTTCACTCTTGTTGCCCAGGCTGGAGTGCAATGGTGTGATCTTGGCTCACTGCAACCTCTACCTCCCAGATTCAAGTGATTCCCCTGCCTCAGCCTCCCAAGTAGCTGAGATTACAGGCATGCGACACCGTGCCTGGCTAATTTTCTAGTTTTAGTGGAGATGGGGTTTCTCCATGTTGGTCAGGCTGGTCTCAAACTCCCGACCTCAGGTGATCCACCTGCCTCAGCTTCCCAAAGTACTGGGATTACAGGCATGAACCGCCACGACCAGCCTCAGTTGCCTTTTAAACACAGGACATGGTTGATATTTGAAAGCAAAGAAAATAGCTCTTTGTCTCCAGACTGAAAAACCTGATTTCCATTCTCATCAAGTCTGGAGCCCGTTTAATTCTTGATCTCATAAAGGCACTGACGTTTGTTCTGCCTCCAATCCTAGCTTCCCAAGAACTGTGTATCTTCAGGTCCTGCTATCTCTGTAGTTTCTCTCTCTAAATGTGTCTATGGTGGGCTTTTTGCAATTGTTTTTTAGTTTGATTGTATATATTGTTTAATATTTTATCTCTCATTTCTATATAGGTAGGACAGAAGGTGGAGATTTCTGCATATCCTCATTCAGTCATGCTGACCCAGTAATTTTACTTTTATTCTTAAAATAAATTATTATTGCAGGAAACAGCAAAATATAATTTTTTATGAACTTAAAAATAAGAAAACTCGAACTTGATTCTCTGAACCTGAGGTTGGGATTATTTTTTTCAACTCTCTTATTATGCTTCATATCATTATACAAATGATCATGAAAATAGCTGTCATCACAGTGACATCTAATATTTTCAAAATATGTGGCATCTTCAAAGCACTTGAGACTCATAAAATTCCCATAAGAATAGTTTGTATTATTATCTCTACTTTTCAAATGAGGAAAGATAAATGAGCCACACAACTAGTTAAATGATCAACCCAGAACGGAATCTTACCTTTTATAGATGAAAGTAATATTTATGGTCATTTGAAATACAGATTTCAGATCAAGTGTTTATTTCACTACATAAATAATTCCCAATCTTGTAAAAAATATTTATTGACAACATGCACGCTGACAAAATGGTTTCATAGTTTTAAATGAATTCACATTATATTAAATGCTGTATAAATATTTGAAAAATAGTAGTAAATATTATGTTTTCAGTCCTTTAAGTTGTACTTCATATGAATAAGGATTCATGAGCCTCTGTAGTAACTCCATGTACCCAGGCATTGATCCCGTCTACATCATTAATGAAACATCCTCAGTCTCTTAAGTTTCATCAACCAGATGACTTCATGAAATTCTACTTGAACTTCTCAAAGAATTAGTGTAGTCCTGCCATAATTGGATGATAGAGGAATCCAAAATGGATCATTTAATGAGAATATAGATAGATAGATAAATAGGTAGATAGATGCTAGATCCTACTGATCTTTTTATAATTCCTAAAAAGCAATAAAACCAAGATATTAAGAAGGTGAAAAATATTAGACAAGAATGGAGATCCACCATCCCTCTTCCAAGTCTGATAAATTCTCAATTCTATTAATTACTGAAAAATGTTAGAGAAATTTTTCTTTTTAAAGAAATCTGCCCCTGAACTCATTACTGAAAGGAATACCTTACTGATAAAGGCCAGCACTTCCTTTTATGAATATTAAACATGGCAATCAGAAATTGAAACATGGCCTTGCTGTCACTTTTTTTAAAAGTAACAGAATAAATTTTCACAAATAATTTGGTGGAGGCAAAATATAATTACTAGCTAGAACTATCTCCACACAATATTTTTAATCAAATGGATAGCTCTCTTTTCTCTTTGACAATAAGAGATAACATGCTTTTGTTATTCTTCATCACAGTAAACATTATTTTATTTGAATAATTAACTTTTTAATTATAAAAGTAACATATGCAAATTGTGGAAAAGGAGAAAAGTTTAAGGACCAATTAAGCAGAAAATAGCAGTGTTAACTATGATTAATATTTTGTCACTTATCTTCCAGTCTTGTATACATTTATGGTTTTCGTGTCTGAGAGCATAATGTCATGTACTCAGAACAAATGAAGAGTGACATGCCGGGCCTGAATTAATGAGGGTCATCCTTGCAAAGAGATTGATGGGGAAGGAAAGATGTTTCAGCTTTATCACTTCTAAACAATATTTATGCTTTAGTAAAAATGAAAAAATAAAATTCAGTACAACTATATAATTGAGAAGACTAAAGGGAAAAAAAATCTGTTGTCTTTTGTTTTTTTTTTGAGATCAAAGTCTTGCTCTAGCACTCAGGCTGAAGTGTAGTGGTGCAATCTCGGCTCACTGCAACCTCCACCTCCCGGGCTCAAGCAATTCTCCTGCCTCAGCCTCCTGAGTAGCTGGGACTACAGGCATGCACCACCACACACGGCTAATTTTTGTATTTTTTTGTACAAACAGGGTTTCACCATGTTGGCCAGGCTGGTCTGAAACTCCTGACCTCAAATGATCTGCCCACTTCAACCTCCCAAAGTGCTGGGATTACAGGCATGAGCCACCGTGGCCGGCCTGTTCTCCTGATTTTTAACTTTGATTATAATGTTCTTACATTCCTAAATTTGCATAAACTTGTAGAAGCTGTGAGTTGAGAGATTATTTTGTCCAACTTTTATTTTATAGATGAGGAAATTAAGACCAAGAGAAATCAAATGACTTGACAGCAAGGTCACGTCTCTAATGCCTTTGGCCTGTATATTACAGGTTAATATTAATTTACTTTGAATGGTTAAAAAGCATGTGCATTTTATTGATCCACTTTGGCATATGTGTTATTCTCACTCATTAAGATATTTTTTTTCCCAACAGCTAATCCAAGCGAATTCCCCCTTATTATTCCCTTTCATGGCATTCTGTTTTCTTTTATAGCACTTATCACACATTTTAATTATATACTGCTTGTGCTTATATATTGTTTTCTCCGTGACCACACTCTAAGCTCCTTGAAGGCTAATCTTCTACATGTTCTGTCTTCATTATATACCCAGTGCCTGGCATAGTGCCTGGTTTGTAACGCGTGCTCAATAACGTGGAATTGTTTATATGGTTTCCCTTTTCTGGCTGTCTTTTCATGGGCACCCAAGTTACCTCAACTTATTGAGCATTTACTGTCTTCTAGAATTTAGACAATGTAGGAACATCATATACTTTAAGCTCATTAATTAGTTACATTATTATCTCTATTGTACAGATGAAAAATACTGAGGCTGGGAGAGGTTAGGTAAATGTCAAAAGGTCAGAAACCTAGCAAATGACAGACACAAGGTTCAACCTCAGGTGTTATTGCAGAGTCTAAGATCTGAACTTGTATGCTACCTTCTTGCTAGTTTCCTGGCTTCAATTGATGTTTGAGATTCAGCAATAGGAATAGTATCTCTTGACCCATAGCTTCTGGATTAGTATAGCAATAGAAGCAGACTGAACATATGTTTCTAATTTTAATCCCTTGATATGGTTTGGCTGTGTCTCCCGCCAAATCTCATCTTAAATTGTAGTTCCCATAATCCCCATGTGTCGTGGGAGGGACCAGGTGGAAATAATTGAATCATGGGGGCGGTTTCCCCCATCCTGTTCTCCTGATAGCGAGTTAGTTCTCATGAGATCTGATGGTTTTGTAAGGAGCTTCCCTCTTCGCTGGACACTCATTCTTCTCCCTCCTTCCACCGTCTAAGAATGCTTTTGCTCCTCCTTCACCTTCCGCCGTGATTTTAAAGCCTCCCCAGCTGTGTGGAACTGTGAGTCCATTCACCCTCTTTTTTATAAATTACCCAGTCTTGAGTGTGTCTTTATTAGCAGCGTGAGAATGGACTAATACATATTAAAATGACAGTAGAGGGACTTTTCTTAAAGCATAAAGCCATAAGAACAAGGAGAACTGAAAGGAAAAAGTAGCAAAGAAAGGTGTAACTGACTCAGCAAAGCTAAGACAGCTGAATCTTAAACTGGTAGTAGGGGAAGCCCAGCCACCCTGACTTATACTGTTCAAATTGGTGGCAGTGGCGAGGAAGAGACGGGCGGCTAAAATAAGAATTGGTTGAGAGCTTCTAAAAATATTATTTGGTCCCAAGATTCCTTCCCCCACCTCAACCTTGATACAACCAATAACTGCCCTCCCCCTACCCACATTTTATTTCTTGGGGAGAGTTTCTGGACTGGAAGACTACAAGCATAGGTGAAGGCAAAAGTATCTTACCGAAACGGGGATTTTTAAGAATGTATATGCCATCGGCTGGATGCGGTGATTCATGCCTGCAATCCTAGCAGTTTGGGAGGCCGAGGCCGGTGGATCATTTGAGGTCAGAAGTTGGAGACCAGCCTGGCCAACATGATGAAACCCCGTCTCGACTAAAAATACAAAACAAATTAGCCGTGCATGGTGGTGCACGCCTGAAGCCCAGCTACTCAGAAGGCTGAGGCAGGAGAATTGCTTGAGCCCAGGAGGTGGAGGTTTCAGTGAGCTGAGATTGTGCTATTGCACCCCAGCCTGGGCGACGGAGCAAGACTCTGTCTCAAAAACAAACAAAAAAAGTGTAAACATTAAATGAATGAGCAAAAGTAAATATGTAAGTAGACATGAAATGAATTTGCAAAAAGATGAAGGTGGTGGGGATAGGAAGAGAAAGGAGTGAGAGGAGCACTGCTGTTGTTTGTTGTAAAGGCAACCAGTCTCATTAAACTATTGCATATATAACTTTAAAAACTACAACCAACGAAATCTTTTTAAAATGTAAGGAAAGCTATGTATAGACTTCTCATTTTCCAACTCTTAGAATCAGGAAGTACACAAGCAGGTTTATTACATAGGCATACTGTGTGATGGTAAGGTTTGGGGTATAACTGAATCCATCACCCAGGCAGTGCACGTAGTACCCAATAGGTAGTTGTTCAGTCCTTGTCTCCCTGTCTCTTTCTCATCCCTCTCGTTGACCCCAGCGTCTATTGTTCCTGTCTTTATGTCCACCTGTACTCAGTGTTTAGCTCTCACTTATAAGTGAGAACATGTGGTATCGGGCTTTCTGTTTCTGCATTAGTTCGCTTAGGATAATGGCCTCCAGCTGCATCCATGTTGCTGCAAAGAACATGGTCTTATAAGTGTCTTCTTTTCTCCATAGCCTCACCAACATCTGTTATTTGTTTACTTTTTAACAAGTCATTCTGACTGGTATGAGACAAAAATCTCACTGTGGTTTTGATTTGCATTTCTCTGATGATTAGTGTTGATGAGCATTTTTTCATGTTTGTTGGCTGCTGGCATGTCTGCTTTTGAGAAGTGCCTGTTCCTGTCCTTTTCCCACTGTTTAATGGTGTTGTTTCTTGCTTGCTGATTTAAGTTCCTTATAGGTTATGGATATTAGAACTTTGTTGGATGCAGTTTGCCAATATTTTCCCCCATTATGTAGGTTGTTCATTTACTCTGTTGATAGTTTCTTTTGCTGTGCAGAAGCTTTCTAATTTAATTACATCCCACTTGTCAATTTTTGGTTTTGTTGCAATTGCTTTTGAGGACTTAGCCATAAATTCTTTGTCAAAGCCAATATCAAGAAGGGTATTTCCTAGGTTTTCTTCTAGGATTTTTATAGTTTTAGGTCTTACTTTTTAGTCTTTACTTCATCTTGAGTTGATTTTTGTATATGGTGATAGGTAGGGGTCCAGTTTCATTCTTCTGCATATAAATAGCCAGTTATCCCAGCACCATTTAGTGAACAGGGAGTCTTTTCCCATTGCTTATTTTTGTTGACTTTTTTGAAGATCAGATGGTTGTAGGTGTGTGGCCTTATTTCTGGATGCTCTATTCTGTTCCATTGGTCTATGTGTCTGTTTTTGTGACATCATGCTGTTTTGGTTATTGTAGCCTTGTAATATACTTTGAAATCAGGTATGGGATGCCTCTTGCTTTGTTCCTTTTGTTTAGGACTACTTTGGCCATTGAGGCTCTTTTCTGGTACCAAATGAATTGCAGGATAGTTTTTTCTAATTCTGTGAAAAATGATGCTGGTAGTTTGATATGAATAGTGTTGAACCTGCAAATTGTTTTGGGCAGTATAGCCATCTTATCCATATTGATTCTTCCAATCTATGAGTATGGAATATCTTTCCATTTATTTGCTATCTCTGATTTCTTTCAGCAGTGTTTTATAGTTCTCCTTGTAGAGATCTTTCACCTTCTTGGTTAGCTGTATCCCTAGGTATTTTATTCTTTTTGTGGCTATTGTAACTGAGATTGCATTCTTGACTTGGCTCTGAGCTTGAATGCTCTTGGCATTGATTTTGTATCCTGAAACTTTACTGAAGTCGTTTATCAGTTCTAGGAGCCTTTTGGTAAAGTCCTAAGGGTTTTCTAGGTATAGAATCATATCATCAGTGAAGACAGATGGTTTGACTTCTTCTTTTCCTGTTTAAATGCCTTTTATTTCTTTCTCTTGCCTGACTGCTTGGTTAGGATTTCCAGTACTATGTTGAATAAGAGTAGCAAGAGTGGGCATCCATGTCTTGTTCCAGTTCTCAAGGGGAATGTTTCCAGCTTTTGCCCATTCGGTATAAGGTTGGGGGTGGGTTTGTCATAGATGGCTCTTATTATTTTGAGATATGTTCCTTTGCAGCCTAGTTTGTTGAGGGTTTTTACCATGAAGGGATGTTGTATTGTATCAAAAGCTTTCTCTGTATCTATTGAGATGATCATATGGTTTTTGTTTTTAGTTATATGGCAGATCACATTTATTGATTTGTGTATTTTGCATCAACCTTGCATCCCAGGAATAAAGCCTACTTGATCACGATAAATTAACTTTTTGATGTGCTGCTGGATTCAGTTTGTTAGTATTTTGTTGAGGATTGTTGCATCTATGTTTATCAGGGATATTGGCCTAAAGTTTTCTTTTTTCACGTGTCTCTGCCAGGTTTGGGGATCAAGATGATGCTGGTATCATAGATGAGTTAAGGAGTTCCTCCTCCTTCATGTTTTGGAATATTTTCAGTAGGGTTGGTACCAGGTCTTATTTGTATGTCTGGCAGAATTTGGCTGTGAATCTATCTGATCCAGGGCTTTTTTTCTTGGTAGGTTTTTATTACTGATTCAACCTCAGGACTCATTAGTGGTCTATTTAGGTTTTCACTGTCTTCCTGGATCAATCTTGGGAGGTTGTGTGAAATTTATCCATTTCCTATAGATTTTCCAATTTCTGTGCATAAAGGCTTTCCTAATAGTCTCTGAGGGTCTTTTGTGTTTCTGTGGGATCAGTTGAATGTCACATTTGTCATTTCTGATTGTGATTATTAGCATCTTCTCTCTTTTTTCTTTGTTAATCTAGGTAGTGGTCTATTGATCTTGTTTATTATTTCAAGGCACCAACTTTTGGTTACATTGATCTTTTTTTCATATTAAACTTTTTATTAAAACTAAGTCCTTACAACATATTTACAATATCATGTTCCACAGTCAAATATTTAACAGAAAAATCTATACACAATTATTGGCACACAAATTCAAGAACATAATTAAAACCAAGCTAAATCTCTCTCTCTGTATCTATATATCTATATATGTATAGACATATATCCATACAAATAGATATATAGATATATCATCAAATTCATGTTAATGAACTGGAGTACCTGAGGTTTCAAGTTGTTGGTTTTTCCAGATAGTATAAAACATTTGTCATCCACTTTATAAAGGACATGGCAGATCCAGAAAGAATAACTTTGGTTGATAAATGTTGTCTCCCAAAGATTAAACAGAAGTCCTTAGTGGGATTAAGGTTTATCTTCAGAGGCTTCTTCCAAGTGGAGGTTGGTGATGTGAGGAATGGTTCCCATGTAGTAAGGCACTGTTCATAATAGTGGATACTCTCCTCAGCCATATCTGTAAATGCTAACGATATCATTTTGCATATTTTGTTGCCATCTTTCCCATTCTGCTTTCAGGGCATTATTAACATATTCTACTTTATCTTCAAGTTTTCCAATCTCCTCTGTAAGCAGATCACTATCTGTCTTTTTATAGGTCAAAGCTTCAACTTTGGAATCCAGTTCTGCTTGTATTTGGTCTCTTCTTTTCATAACACCCATTAACATTTCACTATAAAGCACGTACTCATGTACAACAGGAAGCAGGGCCTCTGAGAGTCCAGACTTCCATTTTTCAGTGGCCTTACAGCATCTGTCAATGCAGCTGTCAACATCTTTTAGAGTATCAACCAGATCCTCTTCTGACACTAACCACAGAATATGAATTGGACCATATTCTTTCATTTCATCAAAATATTCCCTTTCTTCCTTGAAAATTCTCCAAGATATTTTATCTATCAAATTTGTTTTCTGGCTAAAAATTTCAATAAAGTTATTCATTTCCATGAACTCTTCTAGGCGGTTTTTTTAAATGTCTTTTAATTGGGGCTTTTAGCCCATTTACATTTAAGGTTAGTATTTTGTTTGTTTGTTTTGTTTGTTTTTGTATACTTTAAGTTCTAGAGTACATGTGCACAATGTGCAGGTTTGTTACATATGTATACATGTGCCATGTTGGTGTGCTGCACCCACTAATTCATCATTTACATTAGGTATTTCTCTTAATGCTATTTCTCTCCCCTCCCCCCACCCCACAACAGGCCCCAGTGTGTGATGTTCCCTGCCCTGTGTCCAAGTGTTCTCATTGTTCAGTTCCCACCTATGAGTGAGAATATGCAGTGTTTGGTTTTCTGTCCTTGCGATAGTTTGCTCAGAATGATGGTTTCCAGCTTCATCCATGTCCCTACAAAGGACATGAACTCATCCTTTTTTTATGGCTGCATAGTATTCCATGGTGTATATGTGCCACATTTTCTTAATCCAGTCTATCATTGATGGACATTTGGGGTGGTTTCAAGTCTTTGCTATTGTGAATAGTGCTACAATAAACATACGTGTGCATGTGTCTTTATAGTAGCATGATTTGTAATCCTTTGGATATATACCCAGTAATGGGATGGCTGGGTCAAATGGTATTTCTAGTTCTGGATCCTTGAGGAATCACCACACCGTCTTCCACAATGGTTGAACTAGTTTATAGTCCCACCAACAGTGTAAAAGTGTTCCTATTTCTCCACATCCTCTCCAGCACCTGTTGTTTCCTGACTTTTTAATGATCCTGACTTTTTAACAATGGCCATTCTAACTGGTGTGAGATGGTATCTCATTGTGGTTTTGATTTGCATTTCTCTGATGACCAGTAATGATGAGCATGTTTTTATGTGTCTGCTGGCTGCATAAATGTCTTCTTTTGAGAAGTGTCTGTTCATATCCTTCATCCACTTTTTGATGGGGTTGTTTGATTTTTTTTTCTTGTAAATTTGTTTAAGTTCTTTGTAAATTCTGGATATTAGCCCTTTGTCAGATGAGTAGATTGCAAAAATTTTCTGCCATTCTGTAGGTTGCCTGTTCACTCTGATGGTAGTTTCTTTTGCTGTGCAGAAGCTCTTTAGTTCAGTTAGATTTCTGGGTGGTTTTTAATTCCTCTCATTGAGGATGCAACAGTTCTGACTGTTGGCCCCATCCTGCTTAGCAATCCAGGACCCTGCTTCTTGTGAGAAGAGAGTTATGCAGTGAGAAAAATTTTGAAGACCTTATTAAATGTTAAAGTTGGATGATCAGCAGTTCGGCTCAAAAATTTATGTAAAGCCTTCCTGCATGTCTCAATGAAGTCATCTTTAAAGTGTTCCACCATTCCTTTTACTATAAATTTTTCTGGAAATGGTGGAATATTCAGAGTGGGTTGTGCTTCTTCAAGTTTTCTCTTCAACCAAAGGAAACCTTGATACCGTCTCCTAACTTCAAATTCACTGGAGTCAAATTCTCCACAAGATGACTTAGTAATAATGCTATACGTAATGAAAGTTTCTATTGTAGTAACATAACTTTCAGGTTTATCAACTGTAATGAAGTGTTCCTTTAAATCTCGTTCATCTTCAAACTTGATTTGGTTTATCATTGATAAAGGGGATGTTGGCATCATAGTGCTGAAGGAATTCATGTCCATCAGTGAGGCATAGTTGCTGAAAACCTCCAGGTCATCCTCGTCCTCGTCCAGAGCCAGCACCTCCACCTGCAGCAGGGCGGAAGAGCCACTGCTGCCCAAGAAACGGGCACCGGAGGCCCAAGGAGCGTACCTGAGATGCCCGGCACTTGCTCTCCTACATTGATCTTTTGTATGGATTTTCAAGTCTCAATTTCATTGAGTTCTCTGATTTTACTTATTTCTTTTCTTCAGCTAGATTTTGGGTTGATTTGTCCTCTTTTTTCTAGTTCCTTTAGGTGCAATGTTAGATTGTTAATTTGAGATTTTCTAGCTTCTTGATGTAGGTGTTTGGCCCTACAAACTTTACTCTTAACACTGCTTTAGCTGCATCCAAAAGATTTTGGTATGTTGGGTATGTACTTTTATTGGTTTCAGAGAATTTTTTGATTTGTGTCTCGATTTTATTGTACACCCAAAAGTCATTCAGGAGCAAGTTGCTTAATTTCCATGCAATTATGTGGTTTTGAGATATCTTCCTGGTATTGATTTCTATTTTTATTGCCCTATGGTCCTAAAATGTGCTTAGTATGATTTCGATATTTTTTAATTTACTGAGACTTGCTTTATGGTTGAGCGTGTGGTCAAACTTAGAATATGTTTCGTGTGCAGATGAGAAGAATGTATGTTCTGTAGCTGTTGGGTAGAGTATTCTTTTAGATGTCTATTAGGTCCAATTGGTTGAGTGTCAAGTCCAGAATTTCTTTGTTAGTTTTCTGCCACATAATCAAACACTGTCAGTAAGGTGTTGAAGTCTCCCACTATTATTGTGTGGCTCTCTAATCCTTTTCGTAGGTCAAGAACTTGTTTTATGAATCTGGGTGCTCCAATGGTGGGTATGTATATATATTTAGAATAATTAAGCCTTCTTGTTCAATTGAACCCTTTATTATTATGTAATGCCCTTCTTTGTCCTCTTGACTATTGTTGGTTTAGTGTCTGTTTCATCTCATGTAAGAATAGCGACTCCTACCTTCTTTTGTTTACCATTTGCATGATAGATCTTTCTCCAGCCATTTACTTTGAGCTTGTGGGTGTCATTACATGTGAGGTGAGTCTCTTGAAGGTGAAAGATAATTGGATGCTGTCTTTTTATCTAACTTGCTACTCTATGCCTTTTAAGTGGGGGGTTTAGATCATTTACATTCAGGATTAATATGGATATGTGAGATTTTGATACTGTCATCATGTTGTTAGCTGGTTGTTTTGTATACTTGATTGTGTAGTTGTTCTATAGTGTTCGTGGACTATGAGCTTAAGTGTGTTTTTGTGGTAGCAGGTATTGTTCTTTTGTTTCCATGCTTAGCTCTCCCTTAAAGACCTCTTGTAAGCCTGGTCTAGTAGTAATCAATTCCCCCTTGTGTTTGCTTGTCTGAAAAGGACTTTATTTCTCCCTTGTTTATGAAGCTTAGTTTGGCAGGATACAAAATTCTTGGCTGGAAATGCTTTTTTTTTTTTTTTAAGGATACTGCAATTAGGCCCCCAGTCCTTTCTGGTTGTAAGGTTTCTGCTGAGAGGTCCACTGCTAGCCTGATGGAGTTCCCTTTGTAAGTGACCTGACCCTTCTCTCTAGCTGCCTTTAAGATTTTTTTCTTTCATGTTGACCTTGTGTCTTGGGGCTGGTCATCTTGTATAGTATCTCAGAGCGGTTCTCTGTATTCCTTGTATTTGCCGTCTCTCTAGTGAGATTGGGGAACTTTTTGTGGATTACATCCTCACATATGTTTTCCAAGTTGCTTACTCTCTCTCCTTCCTTCTCAAGAACGTCAATGACTCATAGGTTTGGTTTCTACAAAATCCCATATTTCTTGGACATTTTGTTCATTTTCTTAAATTCTTTTTTTTTTTTTTGTCTGAGTTGATTTGAAGAACTGATCTTGATGCTCTGAGATTCTTCAGCTTAGTCTATTCTGTTGCTAATGCTTCTAATGGTATTATGGAATTCTTGTGGTGAATTTTTTAATTCCAGAAGTTCAGTTTGGTTCTTTCTTAAAATGGCTATTTCGTCTTTCAACTATTGTATTATTTTACTGGATTCCTTGAATTCCTTGGATTGGGTTTCAACTTTCTCCTGAACCTTAATGAGCTTCCTTGCCATCCAGATTCTGAATTCTATATGTCATTTCAGTCATTTCACTCTGGTTAGGAACTATTGCTGGAGAGCTAATGTACTCATTTGGAGGTAAGGAGACACTGTAACTTTTTGGATTGCCAGAGTTCTTATTGCTGATTCTTTCTCATCTAAGAGGACTGGTGTTCCTTGTCTTTTTGGATTTGCTGTCATTTGGATATTGTTTTTATATACTTCATTTCCCTTGAGGGTTCTGTGGTGTAAGTTGAGTATAGTCAATAAGCCTTTGTTTCTGGGTGTTTTCAGAGAGCCAAAGCTCTGTGCAAGATCTTTATTTGTGGCTAGATTCTTGCCCTGCATTTCACAGATAATGTATATTGGAAGAGTATTTTTGGTGTTGTAACTTGGGCTGTCATCCAGTAGACGGCGCTTAAGAGTAATGGCCAACAGATATGCTCTTATTTAGCTGAGTAGCTCTTCCGTATTTCAGTGGGTTTATTGCAGTGCTCTGTGGTGGGGAGGGAAGAGAGATGACTTCTTTACCAGGTCCATTCCCCTGCCTTAGGGGAGGTCCCTCCTAACACTGGCACCATGCCAACATTGCCTTCGTTAGGTGTTCCAGGTCACAGGGCTCCTTCAGGCAGAGGCTTTGCCTGCCAGACAGGCCTCACCCTTCCCAGACTGGCACTTTTGAGGGAGGCATACCCCATTCCTGCACCTGCCCAGGAACCCGCTTCTTACTCTTCTCAGTGTTCTGAGTGTGCAGGTTCCTCTCCCACTTAATCACTGGCCAGATCTCAGCCTGCCACTTCTGAGCTATGTGCTGCAACCCAGGGGTATTGGAATCTGGCCTGCAGCTTCATCCTCTGCGTTGGGCATTGGTTGTGCTGGGGGAGCTGGAGTGCTCTCAGGCTGTGAGGAAAGCACTCTGCCTGGGCAGTGGAGGCCGTGCTGTGTACCTGCTCTTGTAGGAGTGGCCAGGCAGGGGCCTTGGGAGGGGCTGGTGGATAGAGGAGCATGCAGAACAGACATGCCCCAGTCCCACAGGAAAGATGGCCCCACTCTCTCCTGGCCCAGCAGCCAGCCAAGGTTAGAGCTACTCAGAGGAAGACAGAGAATCCTGTGGGATGGGTGCCTGTGGCCACATTTTGCTGCAGCTTCTCCATGTGCAAAACCTTCTAGGCTCTGCACAGCCTGGAGCACTGTTTCTGCCTACTCTCCAGGCAGATTCCCTTGACAATTCAAACATCTGTAGGAGTCATGGGACCTCTTGTAGCTAATATCTGAGAGGTCTGTGGTGAGAGTGGGTTACCCCGCCATCACTTCACTCACCCCTTCCTTAGGAGCTGTTCAGGGCCGGGAACCAGTCCCAGTGCTCTGCAAACCTGTGCAGGGTTCCCAGCTTCCTCCCTCTTCAGTCTCAGTGTCTGCCTTACCTCTCTATTACTCTGTGTTTTCTCTCCAAAGATCTGTCCTAAGGATGTTGGTTTATTCAATATTTTGGTCTCTCTCATTGGGAGATGCTCCTTGACTGTATCTATTGGCCATCTTGTCACCTCCATCCACTTTTTTTTTTTAAGCTGGAGTTTCACTCTTGTCGCCCAGGCTGGAGTGCAGTGGCACAATCTCCAGTCACCACAACCTCCGCCTCCTGGGTTCAAGCGATTCTTCAGCCTCAGCCTCCCAAGTAGCTGAGATTACAGGTGCCTGCCACCACACCTGGCTAATTTTTGTATTTTTAGTACACACAGGGTTTCACCGTGTTGGCCAGGCTGGTCTCAAACTCCTGACCTCAGGTGATCCACCTGCCTTGGCCTCCCAAAATGCTGGGATTACAGGCATGAGCCACGGTGCCCAACCCATCCAATATTTTTAAATGATAAAATATATTCTCAATTCCCCTTCTATCCTCTTTCTCTCTTTAAAGTTATAAATCTTATGTTCGTCCCTGCAGCCACTCACCTGGAGAAGAAGGCTTGTTTAAAATGCCAAATTGGCCAGTAGCAGTGGCTCACGCCTGTAATTCCAGCACTTTGGGAGGCTGAGGTGGGTGGATCACTTGAAGCCAGGAGTTTGAGACCAGCCTGGCCAACATGGTGAAACCCCATCTCTACTAAAAATACAAAAATTAGCCAGGCATGGTGGCAGGTGCCTGTAATCCCAGCTACTAGAAAGGCTGAGGCATGAGAATTGCTTGATCTTGGGAGGTGGAGGTTACAGTGAGCCAAGATCATGCCACTGCACTACAGCCTCTGCAACAGAGTGAAACCCTGTCTCAAAAATAAAATAAAATGCCAAGTTGACTTAGATAAGTAAGCAGAACACAGGAAAGAAGTTCATTTCCATTCTATCATTCCATAGGAATCAGCCAAAAACTTGCTGAAAGTGGAAATTCAGTTTTGCCATAAAAGGACCCCTTTAATGATTTATCTTTCACCTCTATGTAACTCTGTATTTCTTTCTACTGATTTCTCCATAAAAGCTCTGCATAATGGTGTGGGTTGATTTATGAGACTCCCTTCAGCCTTTATTCCATTTTTACTTTTTCTTACTTTGTTATTTCCCCTGGTGGATGCCAGTGTTAGTATTTGACCCATACAAGGGGTGTTCAGCCAAAGACAGTCCTCAGTCAGACTGTGGCCTGAGACAGATGGTGAGGCCAGTTGGTGCTTTGGGGCAGTCAGATTACATTTCCAAGGCGTTCTCGTGTGACAGCTGTGTGCCTTTGATCAAAACATTGAGAAACAAACCCTCACGTCTCCCTTAGCACAAAAACAGCCAGGACCCTGTTTTCCTGGATCAAAGAGAGGCATGTCAGATACTCTATAGGACTTCATATGCATTAAATACCACATTCTCAGAAGAGCTGCAGAGGCCCAGGATGACAGGGGTCACTACAGAAAGAGGACCTCTGCAGGAGGTGAGGAGGGGCTCCACCAGGGCGGACTCTCTTTGTATCTGTTGTACCCTCAGCACCTACAACAGTACCTGGAGCAATGTAGAAGCTCAATAAATATTTTTTGAATTAATTATTAAATAAGTGAGCTGCTTCTATCTGGCAAGTCCCTTACTTTACTCAGATTGACACATCATTCCTGCTCATTTTTGAAAATCCAGCTCATCTCTTTCTCAGAGTGCTTTCTTTGACCTGTCTAAACACTTCTCTATATATAAAGCTGTACTTTCAAATGGATTTCTGTTGCTTGTTCTTATAATACAGTATTGCAGTTACTTGATTGCATGTCCCTCCTCCCTTCAAGACCTTTAATTCCTTCATAGCTAAGGACAATTCTTATTCATCTCTGTACTCATGCTGCCTAGCATAGTTCCTGTATATTTACTCCTTCATCCAACGGGATTTGAGCACCCTGCTTTATTCCCAGCACTGAAACAGGCTCTGGGGATACAGCAGCGAACAAGAAATGAGCCCTCTCTATTCCCCAAGCTTAAATTTTATAAGGATTGCAGACAATTAATACGAGTAAGTGCAATGGTGGAGGTTATGAGGACACCATGGAAGCACATAGGAAGGACACCACTGCATAAAATTTGATGATCATTAAAAGCCTCCTAGAGGATGCTTCCCAGGAAAAAAACAAAGAATATCTGAAGGATAAATAGAATTGAGCCAGTAAAGTGGGGGAGTGTTCCAAGAATAGAAGAAAGGAAGACAGAAGGGAGAAACAGATGAAAGGAAAGCAGGGAAGAATGGGAGAAGTGAAGAAGAGAGGAAGGCAGGGATATTGCATTTTCTTATTTGCCTTGTAATATTTCTTCCAGTAGGTGGCCTTACCAAGAGCCCCATAACTGCTAGAGGCCACCTGCTACCCCATCTTACTTGGAGGTTCTGTTTTTACCCCTAGTCACAGAATCACAGGCTATTGTAGAGCTGAAAGGGGCTGTTAATACCTAGTCCCATCCCTCTTATTCTACACATATGAACGATGAAGCCCACAGAGGTTAGTAATAACAGTATTTTGCTTTTATCTGTTATCTTGCAAAGCATTTTTACCCCTATCCAGCGTGCATCCAACAGCCCTGTGAAGCAGCGTTATTCTTTTCTACATATCAGGAAACTGGGGTTTAAATGGAATTAGTGGTAGAGCTGGAAGCCAGGTCTCTACCAAGGGCACACCATGAGGAGCGGAGCCAGCAGGAGATGACTCCTCATCCAAACTCCTTCCAGAAGGCAAGAAGAGCTCTCTGACACCTGATGGGGACTGGCCATGCTAATTATTCACAGCATGTCCCAATTAAAAGAACACTTGTGCTGAATGCCTTATTTGCCAATAGCCTGGAGATCACTAGAATGACTGGAGTTGACTGGTCTTGCCTTCATTTGGTGTCAGATGGTAGGTCAGTCTTTTTACAAATAAAAAGAGTGTTCATTTTGGACTATTTAAAAATGTGAAATGTCTGTAAAAGCAGGACTCTATAAACCAAGTTAAGAGATAAGCCATACAATAACAAATGTTGGCAAGGATGAGGAGAAAAGGGAATTCTCATACACTCTTGGTGGGAATGTAAAATGAGCACAACCACTATGAAAAACAGTTTGGAGGTTCCTCAAAAAACTAAAAATAGAGCTACCATATAATCCAGCAATCCCACTCCTAGGTTTATACCCAAAAGACAGGAAATCAGTATATCAGAGAGATATCTGCACTCCCATATTTATTGCAGCACTGTTCACAGTAGCCAAGATTTCGAAGCAACCTAAGTGTCCATCAACAGATGAGTAGATAAAGAAAATGTGGTACTATATATAATGGAGTACTATTCAGCTACAAAAAAGGATGAGATCCTGTCATATCCAACAACTGAGATGGAACTGGAGGTCATTATGTTAAGTGAAGTAAGTCAGGCACAGAATGATAAACATCACCTCTTCTCACTTATCTGTGGGAGCTAAAAATTAAAACAATTGAATTCATGGAAATAGAGAGTAGAAAGATGGTTACCACAGCCTGGGAAGGGTAGTGGTGAAGTGGGAGTGGGTATGGGGGTGGGGAATGGTTAACGGCTACAAAAAAAAGTAGTTAGAATAAATTAGAGGCTGGGTGCAGTGGCTCACGCCTGTAATCCCAGCACTTTGGGAGGCCAAGGCAGGTGGATCACTTGAGGTCAGGAGTTTGAGACTAGCCTGGCCAACATGGTGAAACACCGTCTATACTAAAAATATAAAAATTAGCTGGGAGTGGTGGTGCACACCTGTAATCCCAGCTACTCGGGAGACTGAAGCAAGAGAATCGCTTGAACCCAAGAGGCAGAGGTTGCAGTGAGTCAAGATTGTACCACTGCACCCCAGCCTGGGTGACAGAGTGAGATCCTTCTAAAAAAAAAAAAAAAGAAAAGAAAAGAAAAATAGATAAGACCTAGTATTTGCTAGTACAACGGGATGACTATAGTAAAAATATATATAGATATATGAATTTTTAAAATAACTAAAAGAGTATGTCAGAATGTTTGAAACACAAAGGATAAATGCTTGAGGTGATGGATACCCCTATTTACCCTGATGTTATTATTACCCATTGCATGCCTGTATCAAAATACCTCATGCAACCCATAAATATATACACCTATGTACCCACAAAAATTTAAAATTAAAAAAAAATATTAGCCATAGACTGGGGAAATGTTAACTTTATAAAAACCATCAAAGAAATAATATCCAGAGCTCAAAGAATTCCTAAAGTCAATAAGAGAAAGACTAATAACCCAATAGAAAAAATGAGCAAAGGATATAAACAGGCAACTCTCAAAAAAACAGGAAATCTTAATGACCAAAAAAAAGAAAACATGAAAAATATTCCCCGTTAATCAAGATGCACCATAAAACAGTAAGACAAACTTTCACCTCAATTCATTTTATAAAGGTTTTAAAGTCTAATAAGAAGTGTCGATGAAGATGGGACAATGCTATCTAGGGAGGGAATGAGACAAGATCTAATAACACTGAGAATGCTCTATATTTAACAATGAATTTTACTTCTAGATATATACACATATATAATAGTAATATATGTAATTAATGTTATATATATGATTTATGTAATGTATATTAAAGAAACTCACGTATGTGCAAGGAGGTTCACTGAAGTATTATTTGCCACCACAGTTTAAAAAAAAGCAAATTTCAAGATGTTATAGACTGTGTTACCATTTCTGTAAATTAAATTATATTTATTAGTACATATATATGGAGCAAATGTGTCAAAGCACTAAATCCATTATAATGGTTAACTCTAGGAAGGAGAGGAATAACATAAGAAAGGGAAATATAGGGACTTCAAATTTGTCAGGGTTTTTTTTCTTAGAAATTTTTTCAGACCAGGTATAGTAGCTCCCACTTATAATGCCAGTGTTTTGGGAGGCCAAGGCAGAGGGATGGCTTGAGACCAGAAGTTTGAGACCAGCCTGGGCAATATTGGGAGACTCCTATCTCTACAAAAAAATATAAAAATCAGCCAGGAGTGGTGGCACAGTCCTGCAGTCCCAGCTACTCAAGGCTGAGGAGGGGGGTTCGCTTGAGCCCAGGAGTTAGAGGCTGCAGTGAGCCATGATCACTCCACTTCACTCCAGCCTGGGTGACACAGTGAGTCTTTGTCTCAAAAAATAAATAAATAAAAATAAAATAAAAATTTCTTTTTGAAAATCTGAACCAAAGCCTTAAAAATATTTTTTAATCATTTGTTCATGCCTATACCAAAACTATTTGTTTTTGTTTGTTTAGATATGCGGTCTCCTGGCTTCAAGTGATCCTGCCCCAGCCTCCCAAAGTGCTAGGATTACAGGTATGAGCCACCGTGCCCAGCCCAAAATTGCTTTTCAAAACATTTTTAATAAGCCTGACTTTTCACACGGAAAATTCAAGTACTTATCCTTTCACCCCAGATTTAATCCCACCAGTTTCCTCATCTGTTAATTTAAAAAAGAACAGATTAGATCACTTCTAAGATCCTTCCAGCCCTGACACTCTAGCCTCCTGTGAAATCTCAAAGGCTTTGAAGAGATTGTAGATGAGTGACCTTTTGTTCAAGTAAGTTCTGGAAGGAGCTAGGAATGTACCGTCAGCTGTTATAAGGGAAAGAAGCCTTGGAACCTTTTTTTAAACCATGAAAGCTGCTTCTTTTCACGTAGCCTCACCCCAGAGGCATTCCCCAATTAGTGTCCTAGCTATTTATATTCCTGGGAACCCTATCTAAATTTAGCTTCCACACAAAAAGTTTGTACTGTGATGGGGTCTGGACACTCTGGTACTGTTTTCCTCCCCCTACCCCAAGTGAAAAGCCTTTACATAAGACCTGGTGGTCATTAATTATTGTGTAAAACTTTAGGTTTAGAAGTTTGGTGGCCATATATTGAACCCAGTAGTAGACCTTGTAATCTGTCACAGGTCTGATGATGTGGTAGATTATTTTGCATTCAGGATGGTCCGAGCAAAATCCTTGTCTTGTGAGAAGCTGAAGGAGCCAGTTAACAGGTTAAATGGGAGACTTGTGGCAGACTCAAGGATTTTTGTTTGTTTGTTTCTTTAGAGATAGGGGTCTCACTATGTTGCCCAGTATGGCCTCAAACTCTGGGGCTCAAGTAATCCTCCCACCTCAGCCTCCACAGTAGCTGGGGCTACAGGTGCATGCTAATACATCTGGCTAGAACCAAGGATTTTATACACAGTCAGGCAGTCTTTCTAGGGCACACAGCCCCTTCCTAAGGAATCTACCTGGACTCTCATTTAACCAAGGGGAACTGAAGAAACTTCAGCAAAAGGACTGATAATGAGAATCTAATATATTTAGTTGTAAAATGAAGAATAATAGAAGGGCTGGGAAATAGGTGGAAGAATAGTATGTGAACAAAATAGAAATGATGCAGCAAAAATTATGGGAGGAGAAGAGGTAAAGGAGAAAATAGAAAAAGATTCTGAAAAAGGATCCCATCTTAAACTGAAAGTATATGTTTACTTTTTAAATGGTGAACCAGAGATACTAGAAAAGCTTTTAAACAAAGATACCCATTAAAACTAATAAAACAAACTTTCCTAAATAACAA
The DNA here is from genome assembly GCF_000001405.40 of Homo sapiens. Taxonomy (NCBI): domain Eukaryota; kingdom Metazoa; phylum Chordata; class Mammalia; order Primates; family Hominidae; genus Homo; species Homo sapiens. The sequence continues at coordinate 107,748,769 of NC_000011.10, forward strand.
AAGAAACGTTTTTAATTTTTAAAATGGTACAGAAACATAGTAAATACACACAATAATTAGAGTATTAAATAAATAGCAACATTGAAGGGTGATTCCATGATATATTGTTAAGTGAAAAAAATAAAATCTAAAGAGTACAGATAGCATGCTGCTTTTTGTGTAAGAAAAGCAGGAAGACAAGAAATATACATATATCTATTTCATTTTTTGCAAAAAGAAACACAGGAAGGGTAATCAGAAAACAATGAGATTACCCAGATATAAGGAGGGAAATTAGGAGGATGAAGGCAAGAGAGAGTGATGCTTCTCTGAGGGTAGTTTTTACTTTTGGAAGTGTGTGAATATATTCCACACATTCAAATAATAAAATGGAATTAACAAGAAGAAACGGCCATGCACAGTGGCTCATGCCTGTAATCCCAGCACTTTGGGAGGCTGAGGTGGGAGGATCACTTGAAGCCAGGAGTTCGACACCAGCCTGGCCAACGTGGCGATACTCTGTCTCTATTAAAAAATACAAAAATTAGCCTGGGGTGGTGGTGTGCACCTGTAGTCCCAGCTACTCAGGAGGCTAGGCAGGAGAACTGCTTGAACCTGGGAGGCAGAGGCTACAGTGTGAGCCAAAATCGTGCCATTGCACTCCAGCCTGGGCAACAGAGCAAGACTCTGTCCAAAAAAAAAAAAAATTTAAAAAGGAGGAGTAAGGACTTAAAACTGAGAACAGACAGAAAACCTGAGTGTATTTCACATTAATAACATAACCTCAGTAAAGGGCAGGGAGGCTGACGAGGAACTTTTGGACACAACACTTTGACCATAACCCTCATAGTAAAGGTGGGGAGTGAAGGGATAACAGACAAATCCTGAGCTCTTTTCTGTTTGTGTGTTTTTTATTTGCTACTGCTTCTCCAGAGTTTTGTATACCTTTGTTTAAACTTTTATTTTAGGTTTGGGATACATGTGCAGGTTTGTTATATAGGTAAATTGCACGTCACGGGGTTTGTCGTACAGATAATTCATCACCCAGGTAATAAGCATAACACCCAATGGGTAGTTTTTCCATCCTCACCCTCCTCCCACCCTCCACTCTTAAGTAGGCCCCAGTTTCTATTATTCCTTTTTGTGTGTGTCCATGTGTACAAAACGTTTTGCTCCCACTTATGAGAACATGTGGCATTTGGTTTTGTTTCTGCACTAGCTCGCTTAGGATAATGGCCTCTAGCTTCACCTACGTTGCTGCAAAGAACATGATCTCACTGCTTTTATGGCTTCATAGTGAAATGGGAAAAGTTCCCTTGTCCCCCTCGCAGGGTGTGCGATGGGGATGTGACTCGCTTCTTCAGTGTCCCGCTGCTCAAACCTCTATGGGGGGCATGCAGACGGGCAGGCTGTGGGGCTCCGACCCCAAGGCAGTGTCTAGGGGTGAAGCCCCAGTGGGCGTGTGTTACAGGGTGCTCTTTCAGTTTAGCCGTCCATAGGCGGCTTGTGTACTCAGCTCAATTAGACCCCTGCCTTATCGCAAGGACAGAGGGCTTTCTGTATCCCTGGGTTCTTGCCTTGGTGTACTGGAAGAATCGGATCACACGTGGGCTTGGAGACTGAGTACAAGGTTTTGTTGAGTGGAAGTAGCTCTCAGCAGTTGGGGGAGCCAGAAGGGAGATGGTTTTCCCCTGGAATCTGGCCATTCAGCAGCGCAGGCTCTCCTCCTCCGACCCTGTCCAAACTCCATGTTCTGCCGGTCGATGGCCTGCTGACCTGCCGGCGTCTGTCGGTGTGCTCTTCCACTGGCGTGTTCCCCTTGAGTCCTCTGGACGTCCAGCCGCTTGTGTCTCTGCCCGCTAGGGCGTTGGGTTTTTATGGGTACAGGATGGGGGCATGGCAGGCCAGGGTGGTCTTGGGAAATGCAGCGTTTGGGCAGGAAAACAGAAATGCCTGTTCTCACCTAAGTCTGTGGGCACAGGCCTGGGGGTGAAGCGCTAGCCAGGGACCACGACCTCCTGTACCCAGCACTTCTCTGCCCCCCTTCCCTATCAATAGTACTCCGTAGTTTATAGGTACCGCATTTTCTTTATACAGTCTACCGTTGATGGGCATTTAGGTGATTCCATGTCTTTGCCATTGTGAACAGTGTTGCAATGAACATACGCGTGCATGTGTCTTTATGATAAGACAATTTAGATCTCTTTACGTGTATACCCAGTAATGGCATTGCGGCTTGAATGGTAGTTCTGTTTTAAGTTATTTGCTGAGTTCTTTTTTAATGGGTTTGTTTTTCATAGTGGTATGGATGTACCAATTCTGAATCTATTTTATATTTATTGAAGAATTAAGTGTGTAAATATGATTATGTTTGAAGAAGCCAGCGTTCTCACTGTGGAAGAAAGGAGGCAGAATTATGGAATGGAGAAAAGAAAGGAAGATCTCTGTGGTGTTGTTGAATTGGCACAGGAGGTCTCAGTATGAACTCATGATTTCTAAAACAAACAAACACGTCAATAGCGATGAGTGTCCCTAATGCCCAGATCTTAGTTGGTTTATAATAGAAATGGCATCATCTAACTAGAGGGAAAGATGATGTTGCAAAGCGTGGCACTTTTTTTTTTTCTTCTTTTTTTGAGACGGAGTCTCACTCTGTCGTCCAGGCTGGAGTGCAGTGGCACAATCTCGACTCACTGCAACCTCCGCCTCCCGGGTTCAAACAATTCTCCTGCCTCAGCCTTCCAAGTAGCTGAGATTACAGATAACTGCCACCATGCCCGGCTAATTTTTGTATTTTTAGTAGAGAAAAGCTTTTACCATGTTGGCCAAGCTGGTCTCAAACTCCTGACCTCAAATGATCCGCCCTCCTCAGACTCCCAAAATGCTGGGATTACAGGCATGAGCCACCATGCCCGGTGGAACGTGGCTCCTGACATGAAAAAAAATTAACATGAGTCCACACTTCACACCATAAATGAAGGTGAATTCTAGATGGATTAAGTAACTATATGTAAAGGGTAAATCTGTAAAGCAAACAAGCAAAAAATTTAAATAAATTAAAAAAATCAAAAATATAAACTCAGTGAAGGATTTTTTAAACAAGACCCAGAAGGCAAATACATAAGGAGATAAGTTGATGAGATTTGACTACATCAAAATCAAGAATGTCTGTTCAACAAATCATGCCATACCAGCAAGTGGTCTAGTGACAAATTAGAATGTGTTTGTGACATATAAAACCAATAAGGAATTAATTTTAGGGTATGCAAGGGTCACTTGAAAACATACAAGAAAAAGCAAGGACATTCCATTTTTTCAAAGGTAAATAATATGAATAGGTGGTTCACAAAACAGAAAAACTAAATGATAAACAGGTATATGTCCCTCAAGCCAAGGTCTTTCTCTTCCTCCAGTACACATCAAATTTCTTTTTTCTTTTCTTTACACTTAATCTTTTTATTTTTAAATTTTTATACCGAAATTTTTAAGTTCAGTGGTACATGTGCAGGATGTGCAGGTTTGTTACATAGGTAAATGTGTGTCATGGGTGTTTGTTGTACAGATTATTTAATCAGCCAGATATTAAACCTAGTGCCCATTAGTTATTTTTCCTGATCCTCTCCCTCCTCCCCCCGCACCCCCCGCCCCCCCTCTGGTAGGCACCAAGTTTCCCTCTATGTGTCCATGTGTTCTCATCATTTAGCTCTTGCTTATAAGTGAGAACATGTGGTGTTTGATTTTCTGTTCCTGTGTTAGCTTGCTAAGGATGATGGCCTCCAGTTCCATCCATGTCCCTGCAAAGGACATGATCTCATTCCTTCTTATGGCTGCGTAGTATGCCGTGGAACACCCACCAAATTTCTTATCCTGGCCATTGAGTTTTTACCAGCCGTTGCTTCAGTCTTGAATGCTTCCTAGGGCTGCTTCCTCCTTGCTATTCAGGTCTCAGTTGAAAGGGTGCTTTCCATCCATCCCCACCTAAAGCAGCCATCCCACTTCCTGCCCCAACATTCCCTATGACATCACCATCTTTTATTTTCATTAAATATTATTCAGTAGCATGTTCTTCTATATGTGTCAATGTACTTGTCTCTCACCAGAAAGTTAGACTCACAAAATAAGAAACGTATCTGTCTTGTTCAACCTTGCACGCCCAGTGCTTGACACATAGTTGGAGTTCAACAAATATTTGCGAAATTAATGAACACATTAATGTATAAAAAGGGTCATGCAATCCCTGTTGCTGGAATGATGAGCTTTCCAGACAAGGATGTTCAGTCATCATCAAATGACGAATTAATGGAATCTTGCTAAGTGGTGCCAAACATCAGATGGAGAACTGGACAGGATGACCATTTAATATACTCCTTCTAAAAATAATATCTACTGAGTCAAAAGAACACAGTTCCCTTGGATACCTTTGTTTTGACTACAGTGCCTGGGGCTCAGTGTTTGAGTGAAATAGATTAAGCCACTTGAAACTCAACCCTCTTTAGGACTGTGCACATCACCCAGAGGGGCTCTGATGTGAATTCCATCAACAGGAGATGGTGGCTTATACTGAATATTCCAGCAGGCAAAAATATTCTAACCATGAATGTGACTCAAGGTCATTGACAGTTGCTTCCCATTTTAAAGCCTGTGAAGTGACAGTCACCACACAATAATGGAAAACTGCATTTTGCTAACCAAATCCCATGTGAGAAAATCCAGTGAGTGTCTTATGATCAGGTCCCAGGAGGGAGCAAAATGTCATAGGTACCACATCTGCCATTTCACTTAAGGCATAGAGGCTTTGATTTAACAGAGTGCTGAATTTATTTCAACAGAGTGCTTACATGCTTAGAAAATCTATCATTCACCTTCTTAGCATGCCATGAGATTTCTAATGATTCACTTATGTAGCTTTCGCTTGCCCAGTGTAAGATGAGCCTAGTCCCTGTGGATTTGTAGGGATTTCTGTTTATGAGGTTTTGTTGTGTGTTGTTCTACCTTAGGTGAAGGATTAAATTAAGCATGATCCTAATTCTTAACACATTATCATCATCAGTCCATGCAAAACATCCCTCCTGCTTTATCTCTTTAATTTTTGCCTTTATCCTTTACTCCTACATCACTAACTCTGATGCATATTATATAATGTCCTGAAATAAGCATATTTCATGAACTCATGAAAATTGTGATGAGTTTGTATATACTTCTAATATAATTTCAATATGCTTCTTACTTTTGTCACTTCATTACCATGTTTAAGACATATGAATTCCTGCATGAATATCTACTTCAAAGCTTCTAACGATTTCAGTCTTTATCCACTATGTTTTTTGTTTTTTAAGATGCAGTCTCACTCTGTTGCCCAGGCTGGAGTGCAATGGCACAATCTCGGCTCACTGCAAACTCCGCGTCCCGGGTTCAAGTGATTCTCCTGCCTCAGCCTCATGAGTAGCTGGGATTACAGGCACCCGCCATTACAGGCACCCACCATTATGCCTATCTAATTTTTGTATTTTTGTAGAGACGGGGTTTCACCATGTCGGCCAGGCTGGTCTTGAACTCCTAACCTCAGGTGATATGCCCACCTCAGCCTCCCAAAGTGATGGGATTACAGGCATGAGCCACCATACCCAGCCTGCCATGTTTTAATGATCCTTTCTCTTACAGACTTGTTACTGCTATTGTCAACAAAATCTTATTTTCTATATTATTTTCAAGTTTGCTATTACTAGCCTAGAGAGAAACAATGTTGATTTTATAAGTTGATCCTGTCTCCAGCAATTTTGCCAAATATTTTTATTTGTTATATATTTAGGCCAGGCATGGTGGCTCATGTCTGAAATCCCAACACATCGGGAGACCAAGGTAGGAGGATTGTTTGAATCTAGGAGTATGAGACTGGCCTGGGCAACAAAGCGAGATCTCATCTCTATAAAAATTTTAGAAATTTAAAAACAAAAAGTAATATATTTAGATGTTGAACAGATGTGGTTTTATCTTTTTCATTTCAGTCCTAGTATCTCTTAGACCCTTTTCTTGTTTAACACTGGCTAGGACCTTCTTCACTATGTTAAAAAGTAGTAGTGGGCTTGGCACAATGGCTCATGCCTGGAATACCAGCACTCTGGGAGGCCGAGGTGGGCAAATAGCTTGAGCTCAGGAATTTGAGACGAGCCTGGCCAACATGGCAAAACCCCACCTCTATAAAAAAATACAAAAATTAGCCAAGTGTGATGGTGTGCCCCTGTAGTTCCAGCTGCTGGGGAGGCTGAGGTGGGAGGATGGCTTGAGCCCCAGAGGTGGAGGTTGCACTGAGCCAATATCGCACCACTGCCCTCCAGCCTGGATGACAGAGCCAGACCCTGTCTCAAAAACAAAAAAAACCAGGGATATCCATTGCAGTAAGACTGAAAAGAATTCAAATATCAGTCAGGCACAGTGGCTTACTGGCTCACGCCTATAATCCTGGCACTTTGGGAGGCAAGGCAGGCAGATCACGAGGTTAGGAGTTCGAGACCAGCCTGGCCAACATGGTGAAACCCCGCCTCTACTAAAAATAAAAAAAAATAGCTGGTCATGGTGGCACGCACCTGTAGTCCCAGCTACTCAGGAGGCTGAGGCAGGAGAATTGCTTGAAACCGGGAGGCAGAGGTTGCAGTGAGCTGAGGTCGCGCCACTGCACTCCAGCCTGGGCAACAGAGGAGACAGCATCTCAAAAAAAAAAAAAAAAAAAATGCAAATATCATTGCTGAGGGATATTTGGGTAAACTATAATGCATCCACACAATGAAGTAATGTACAACTATAAAAGAAAATGAGGAAGAAGAAAACAAAAACACACACATACAAAATATAAAATGAGGAAGATCTTTTATTTTACTATGGAATAATCTCTGGACATTTTTGTTTAATGAAAAAGCAAGGTGCAGAACTGTGCATATATGGTACTTTATATCTAAGAGAGAAAAGAAATACAAATGAGGACGAGTGCAGTGGCTCATGCTTGTAAACCCAGCACTTTGGGAGACCAAGGGGGGTGGATCATTTGAGGTCAGGAGTTCAAGACCAGCCTGGTCAACATGGTGAAACCCCGTTTCTACTAAAAATACCAAAACAAAATTAGCCTGGCGTGGTGGTGCACACCTGTAATCCTAGCTACTTGGGAGGCTGAAGTGGGAGGATTGCTTGAACCTGGGAGACTGAGGTTGCAGTGAGCTGAGATTGTGCCACTGCACTCCAGCCTGGGCAACAGAGTGAGACTCCATCTGAAAAAAACAAAAAACAAAAACAAAAAACAAATACAAGAGAGGAGAGACAGAATTTGTTCCTCCAAACTCCAGTACTTGTTGCAAGTTCAGGCTAGGGCCTTAATTCTTTAGGCACCTAAGGCAGTTTCTTGACCTGATATTCTAGCTCAGTAATTATTGTCTATATTCACTCTTCTCAGTGCCATATCGGTTGAATCCATATTTCAAGTATTATACTTTTTATACCTGAGATATCTACTTGGATCGTCTTAGTTGTTTTTTTGTCCTTGCTTCATATTAACCAATATAATCTCCTGTTTCTTTGAGGATATTTATTAAGCTTATTTTTAAATCATGGTTCATGTCTTACACCAATTCTGGTTCCTCCAGGTAGGTCATTTGGGTGGTGGTTTTTCCGTCAAACAGATTGGACTCCTCCACTATTTCAATATTTTGTTGCCTCTGAGTTCATTTTCCCCTGGTAATGTGTACCCAGAATGAGGAGCTAAGGCCCAGACTCTTGCTTGTGCCATTTCTGGGGAGTTGGGGAGGATGAGTGTCATTTCATATTTTACAACTTCACCAGGTAATTCTGACCTTCATACCAGATTATTGCAGAAGCTACATAAACCTTTACCCTCAAAGATACCCACTGAAAGATCCTTTCTCACCCCATTTCAACTCTCCAATCCTAGAAGTGTGGGGAGATGGGAGAGAGCAGGGAACACACAAAGACTCAATTATCTGACTGCCCCATTGTTAACTGTTCCTCACTCCAGCCAACCACGCTGCTTTTGTCCCACTGACTTGAGGCTTTGGACTGGAACTACTACATTTATTTTCTACTTACAATAGAGATATCAATGATCTACCCAGGACAATATACAAAAAAAAACACATATCTCAAAGTCCCCTTGCCCCTCCATCCCACTGGAGCCTGGCCTTCTGCCCAAACTGAGTTTTCCTTTTCATACCAGGTCATAATCACTTTGCATCTCCTCAAAGGTTTCTCACGAATTTTGCGTTAGTACTTCAAATGCCAGAGCTTTTCTCTCATTTCCGTGGCATCTCTACAGTTCAGTTAGAAGAGACAGCCAGCAGCTCTGCTCATTCACCATCATATCTGGAATCGGAATCAGAAGTAGCCGCTGTTCCTTAGCAGCACTGATTGAAGTCTCATTTGACCTACGATTTTTAGGAAATTTTATAAATTTTAGCCCTTTTTTTTTGTTTCTGAGACGGAGTCTCGCTCTGTTGTCCAGGCTGGAGTGCAGTGGCGCAATCTCAACTCACTGAAACCTCCACCTCCTGGGTTCAAGCGATTCTTGTGCTTCAACCTCCCAAGTAGCTGGGACTACAGGCATGTGCCGCCATGCCTGGCTAATTTTTCTATATTCAGTAGAGATGGGGTTTCACCATGTTGGCCAGGCTGGTCTCAAACAAACTCCTGACCTCAAGTGATCCACCTGCCTCAGCCTTCCAGAGTGCTGGGATTACAAGCATGAGCTACCATGCCCAGCCTATTTTATACATTTTAACTCTGCTTCTTCCACTCATTAGCAATTGATGTTGGACAAGTTAATTAAATTCCCACAATCTCTATTTTTTTAGATCCCATCTCGTGTAGTAATTGTGAAAATTAAATGAGACAACATGCAAAATCATCTATGAAATTTGTTGTACAAAGTAAGTATAATCTAGAGGCAGCATAGTGTGTAGTCAAGTATCAATTAGCTTCTGCTGCTTAACAAACTATCCCAAAGCTTAGTAGCTTAAAACAGCACAATTTATTTATGTTTTTGTAGGTTGGCAATTTGGGCTGCACTCAGCTGAAGAGTTCTGGGAATTGTCTACTGCCATCTAGAGCTGAGGAGGTAACAGTGCCAGTGTCTCTCATTAGCCAGGAGGGTAGCCCAGGCTTTGTTCACATGGCAGCAGGCGAGTTCCCAAGGGTGAGATAAGAAGCATGTATGGAATGGTTTGGATCTGTGTCCCTACCCATATCACATGTTGAATTGTAATTTCTTGTGTTGGAGGTGAGGCCTGGTAGGAGATGGTTGGACCATGGGGGAATATTTCTCACAAATGGTTTAGTACCATGCTCTTGGGACTGTCCTCCCCATAGTGACTAAGTTCCTGTGAGATGTGGTCATTTAAAAATGTGTAGCACCTTCTGACTATGATCATCATGGCAGATGGGAGGCAGGAGTAGATTGCAGCTCTGACTCAGATGGACAGAGCATTGTGTGGAGGCTCACATCGTGAACTTAAGCTCCAGAACAACTTCAATAACAAACCAGGAGTCCCGAGAGGACCCACAGACCCTCTGAAGGAAGTGGACTGCTCCTGCAAGACCCAGGAGACACCCCAAACACTGTGCCCAAACTGCAGAAGTGGGAAAGGGAGATCCTCCACTCCTGAACACACACCCCCACTGGGGAAACTGAAGGTCTAGTTTGCGGGAGAATTTTCTGACCATACCTGGAGCTGAGTCAATTTAGAGAGCCAAGTGAAATACAGGGGTAGAGGAAGCAGCGAGAAAGGTCCTGGGAGCTCGCTGGGTCCCCAAGCAGGCCATTCCTGCCTAGCACCACAAGGATTCTTTGGGAGGGTGGACAGAGGTGCAGGGGTAAACACCACAGGGAGAAGGAAGTCTCCAGGTGAACTTTGTAACAATTTGAACCTGGTGAGAAGCCTCCTGGCCAGAACTCGGGGGAGGGTGCAAATCTGGTGTGCAGACTCTGTAGATGGGGGAAGAACCAAAGCCCTTTATTTTTGCAGCTGGGAGACAGGTAGCCTGAAGCAGGTTCTCAAGCCCTGCTCTCCCTCTGCCTGGAAACAGACTCAGGGCTGTTGGAGGGGCACAGTGGGAGTGAGATCGACCCTTTGGATTGCGTGGGAGCTGGGTGAGGCCTGTGACTGCCGGCTTTCCCCCACTTTCCTGATAACATGCGTGACTCAGCAGAGGCAGCCATAATCCTCCTAGGTACATAACTCCATTGACCTAGGAACCTCACCCCCATTCCCCACAGCAGCCGCAGCAAGACCCACCCAAGGAGAGTGTGAGCTCAGACACACCTAGCCCTGCCCCTACCTGATGGACCTTCCCGACCAACCCTGCTAGCTGAAGACAAAGGGCATATACTCTTGGGAGTTCTAGGGCCCCACCCACCACCAGTTCCTCTCTATACCACCACAGCTGATGCTCTCTGGAAAGTGCCAACCTCCTCCAAGTGGTTGGCAGGAGGCCAACTGGCACAAAAATAGACCATTAAGCCACCAAAGCTAAGAACCCTCACAGAGTCCATTTCAACCCCCTGCCACCTCCACTGGAACAGGTGCTAGTATCCACGGCTGAGAGAGCCATAGACAGTTCATATCACAGGACTCTGTGCAGACAACCCTCAATACCAGCCCAGAGCCTGGCAGATTTGGTGGCTAGACCCAGAAGAGAGATAACAATCACTGCAGCTCAGCTCATAGGAAGCCACATCCATATGAAAAGAGGACTACATCAAGGGAACACCCCGTGGGACAAAAGAATCTGAACAACAGCCTTCAGCTCAAGACCTTCCCTCTGACAGAGTCTATCCAAATGAGAAGGAACCAGAAAACCAACTCTGGTAATATGACAAAACAAGGCTCTTTAACACCCGCCAGAAAATCACACTAGCTCACCAGCAATGGATCCAAACCAAGAAGAAATCCCTGATTTATCTGAAAAAGAATCCAGAAAGTTAGTTATTAAGCTAATCAGGGAGGCAGTAGAGAAAGGTGAATCTCAATGCAAGGAAATCCAAGAAACGATACAAGAAGCAAAGGGAGAAATATTTGAGGAAATAGCATAAAGAAAACACAATCAAAACTTCAAGGAACATTGGACACACTTATAGAAATGCAAAATGCTCTGGAAAGTCTCAGCAATAGAATTGAACAAGTAGAAGAAAGAAATTCAGAGCTCAAAGACAAGGTCTTTGAATTAACCCAATCCAACAAAGACAAAAAAAAAAATAAGAAAATATGAACAAAGATTCCAAGAAGTCTGAAATTATGTTAAACAACCAAACCTAAGAATAATCAGTGTTTCTGAGGAAGAAGAGAAATCTAAAAGTTTGGAAAACATATTTGGGGGAATAATAGAGGAAAACTTCCCCAGCCTTCCTAGAGACCTAGACATCCAAATGTGTCTGGAATGGTTCCCGTGGGTTCTTGGTCTCGCTGACTTCAAGAATGAAGCCGCGGATCCTGGCGGTGTTACAGTTCTTAAAGATGGTGTGTCCGGAGTTTGTTCCTTCAGATGTTCAGATGTGCCCAGAGTTTATTCCTTCTGGTGGGTTCACGGTCTTGCTGTCTTCAGGAGTGAAGCCACAGACCTTTGCAGTGAGTGTTACAGCTCTTAAAGGTGGCGTGTCCAGAGTTGTTCGTTCTTCCTGGTGGGTTCGTGGTCTTGCTGACTTCAGGAGTAAAGCCGCAGACCTTCACAGTGAGCGTTACAGCTCTTAAAGGTGGTGCGTCTGGAGTTGTTCATCCCTCTCGGTGGGTTCATGGTCTCACTGACTTCAGGAGTGAAGCCGCAGACCTTCGCATTGAGTGTTACAGCTCATGAAGGTAGTGCGAACCCAAAGAGTGAGCAGCAGCAAGATTTATTGTGAAGAGCAAAAGAACAAAGCTTCCACAGCATGGAAGGGGACCCTAGCGGGTTGCCGGTGCTGTCTTGGATGGCCTGCTTTTATTCCATTATTTGGCCCAACCCACATCCTGCTGATTGGTCCATTTTACAGAGAGCTGATGGGTCCGTTTTACAGAGTGCTGATTGGCCCATTTTATAGAGTGCTGATTGGTGCGTTTACAAACCTTTAGCTAGACACAGCGCTGATTGGTGCATTTTTAACAGAGTGCTGATTGGTGTGTTTACAAACCTTTGGCTAGACACAGAGCACTGATTGGTGCATTTACAATCCTTTAGCTAGACAGAAAAGTTCTCCAAGTCCCCACCCGATTAGCTAGACACAGAGCGCTGATTGGTGCGTTTACAATCCTTTAGACAGAAAAGTTCTCCAAGTCCCCTACCTGATTAGCTAGACACAGAGCACTGATTGGTGCATTTACAAACCTTTAGCTAGACACAGAGCACTGATTGCTGCATTTACAATCCTTTAGCTAGACATAAAAGTTCTCCAAGTCCCCACCTGACCCAGAAGCCCAGCCGGCTTCACCTCTCACAAATACAAGAAGAACGATGAACACCTGGGAAAATCATCATAAAAAGGTCATCACCTAGGCACATTGTCATCAGGTTATCTAAAGTTAAGATGAAGGAATGAATCTTAAGAGCTGTGAGACAAAGCACCAGGTAACCTATAAAGGAAAACCTATCAGATTAACAGCAGATTTCTCAGCAGAAATCCTACAAGCTAGAAGGATTGGGGCCCTATCTTTAGCCTCCTCAAACAAAACAATTATCAGCCAAGAATTTTGTATACAGCAAAACTAAGCATCATATATGAAGGAAAGATACAGTCTTTTTCAGACAAATGCTGAGAGAATTCATCACTAACAAGCCACCAGCTACTATAAGAACTGTTAAAGGAGCTCTAAATCTTGAAACAAATCCTGGAAACACATCAAAACAGAACCTCTTTAAAGCACAAATCATATAGGACCTATAAAACAAAAATACAAGTTAAAAAGCAAAAAAAAAAAAAAAAAAAAAAAAACAAACAAAAAAAACCAAGGTACACAGGAAACTAATAGCATGTTGAATGCAATGGTACCTCACATCTCAATACTAACATTGAACACAAATGACCTAAATGCTCCACTTAAAAGATACAGAACTGCAGAACAGATAAAACTCACCAACCATCTGCTGTCTTCAGGAGACTCACCTACTACATAAGGACTCACATAAGCTTAAAGTAAAGTGACAGAGAAAAGCATTTCACACAAATAGATACCAAAAGTGAGCAGGGGTAGCTATTCTTATATCAGACAAAACAAACTTTAAAGCAACAGCAGTTAAAAGACAAAGAGGAGCCGGGCACAGTGGCTTACGCCTGTAATCCTAACATTTTGGGAGGCCAAGGCGGGCAGATTACCTGAGGTCAGGAGTTCAAGACTAGCCTGGCCAACATGGCGAAACCCCGTCTCTACTGAAAATACAAAAAATAGCCGGACATGATGGTGCATGCCTGTAATCCCAGCTACTCAGGAGGCTGAGGCAGAAGAATCACTTAAACCCGGGGGGTGGGGGTTGCAGTGAGCCAAGATTGTGCCACTGCACTCCAGCCTGGGCGACAGAGCGAGACTCCATCTCAAAACGTAAAAATAAAAGAGACAAAGAGGAACATTATATAATGGTAAAAGACCTTGTCCATCAGGAGAATATCACAATCCTAAACATATATCCACCTAACACTGGAGCTCCCAAATTTATAAAACAATTCCTAATAGACCTAAGAAATGAGATGGAGAGCAACAAAATAATGGGGGGCTTCAATACTCCACTGACAACACTAGACGGGTCATCAAGACAAAGTCAACAAAGATACAAGGGATTTAAACTATACCTTGGAACAAATGGATTTAACAGATATATACAGAACATTTCATCCAACAACCACAGAATACACATTCTGTTCAACAGTGCATGAAACTTTCTCCAAGATAGACCATATGATAGTCCACAAAACGAGCCTCAATAAATTTAAGAAAATTGAAATTATATCAAGCACTCTCTCAGACCGCAGTGGAATAAAGCTGGAATCCAACTCCAAAAGGAACATTCCAAACCATGCAAATACATGGAAATTAAATAACCTGCCCTGAATGATCATTGAGTTAAAAATAAAATCAAGATTGAAATTAAAAAATTCTTTGAAATGAACAACAGTAATGACACAACCTATCAAAACCTCTGGGATATACAGCAAAGGTGGTGCTAAGAGGAAAGTTCATAGCCATAAACGCCTACATCAAAAAGACTAAAGAAGCACAACCTGAAATTCTAATGTCACACTTAAGGAACTAGAGGAACAAGAAGTAACCAAACCCAAACCCAGCAGAAAAAAAGAAATAAAGATCAGAGAAGAACTAAATGAAATTGAAACAAACAAAAAAAATACAAAAGACAAATGAAACAAAAAGCTGGTTCTTTGAAAAGATAAATAAAATTGATAGATCATTAGCAAGATTAACCAAGAAAAGAGAGAAAATCCAAATAATCTCATTAAGAAACAAAACAGGAGATGTTACAACTGACACCACTGAAATACAAAAGATCATTCAAGGCTACTATGAACACCTTTATGCACATAAACTAGAAAACCAAGAAGAGTTGGATAAATTCCTGGAAAAATACCACCTTCCTAGTTTAAATCAGGAAGAATTAGATACCCTGAACGGACCAATAACAAGCAGCGAGATTGAAATGGTAATTTAAAAATTACTAACAAAAAAAAAAGCCCAGGACCAGAGGGATTCACAGCAGAATTCTACCAGACATTCAAAGAAGAATTGGTACCAATCTTTTTGACACCATTCCACAAGAAACAGAAAGAAGGAACCCTCCCTAATTCATCCTATGAAGCCAGCATCACCCTAATACCAAAACCAGGAAAGGACATACACAAAAGAGAAAAGTACAGACCAATATCCTTGATGAACATAGATGCTAAAATCTTTAACAAAATACTGGCTAACCGAATCCAACAACATACCAAAAAGATAATCCACTATGATCAAGTGGGTTTCATACCAGGTATATGGGGGATGGTTTAACATACACAAGTCAATAAATGTAATATGCCACATAAACAGAACTAAAAACAAAAATCACATGATCATCTCAATAGATGCAGAAAAAGCATTCAATGAAATCCAGCATTCCTTTATGATTAAAACTCTCAGCAAAATCAGCATGCAAGGGACACACCTCAATGTAATAAAAAGCCATCTATGATAAACCCACAGCCAACATAATGCTGAATGAGGAAAAGTTGAAAACATTCCCTTTGACAACCGGAACGAGACAAGGATGCACACTCTCACCACTCCTTTTCAACTTAGTACTGGAAATTCTAGCCAGAGCAATCAGACAAGAGAAAGAAATAAAGGGCATCCAAATCAGTGAAGAGGAAGTCAAACTGTCACTGTTTGCTGACTATATGATCATTTACCTTGAAAACCCTAAAGACTCCTGCAGAAAGCTCCTAGAACTGACGAAAGAATTCTGTGAAGTTTCTGGATACAAGATTAATGTATGCAAATCAGTAGCTCTTCTATATACCAACAGTGACCAAGCAGAGAATCAAAGCAAGAGCTCAACCCCTTTTACAATAGCTGAAAAAAGAAGAAATACTTAGGAATATACCTAACCAAGGAAGCAAAAGACCTCTACAAGGAAAACTACAAAACACTGCTGTAAGAAATCACAGAGGACACAAACAAGTGGAAACGCCTCCCATGTTCATGAATGGGTCGAATCAATATTGCGAAAATGACCATACTGCCAAAAGCAATCTACAAATGCAATATAATCCCCATCAGAATACCACCATCATTCTTCACAGAATTAGACAAAACAGTTCTAAAATTCATGTGGAAACAAAAAAGAGCCCACATGGTCAAAGCAAGACTAAGCAAAAGGAATAAAACTGGAGGTCTCACACTACCTGATTTCAAACTATACTATAATGCCTTAGTCACCAAAACAGTGTGGTACTGGTATAAAAAATAGGCACATAGACCAATGGAACAGAATAGAGAACCCAGAAATAAACCCAAATACTTATAGCCAACTGATCTTCAACAAAGCAAATAAAAATGTAAAGTGGGGAAAGGACAATCTTGTCAACAAATGGTGCTGGGATAATTGGCTAGCCACATGTAGGAGAATGAAACTGGATCCTCATCTCTCACCTGATACAAAAAGCAACCCAAGATGGATTAAGGACTTAGATCTAAGGCCTGAAACTATAAAAATTCTAGAAGATAACATTGGAAAAACCTTCCTAAACATTGGCTTAGGCAAGAATTTCATGACCAAGAACCCAAAAGCAAATGCAATAAAAACAAAGATAAATAGCTGGGACTTAATTAAACTAAAGAGCTTTTGCACGGCAAAAGGAACAGTCAGCAGAGTAAACAGACAACCCACAGAGTGGGAAAAAAAATCTTCACAGTCTATACATCTGACAAAGGACTAATATCCAGAACCTACAATGAACTCAAATCAGCAAGAAAAAAGCAAACAATCTCATCAAAAAGTAGACTAAGGACATGAATAGACAATTCTCAAAAGAAGATATACAAATGACCAACAAACATAAGAAAAAATGCTCAGCATCACTAATGATCAAGGAAATGCAAGTCAAAACCACAATGTGATACCATATTACTCCTGCAAGAATGGCCATTATCAAAAAACCAGTAGATGTTGGCATGGATGTGGTGATCAGGGAACACTTATACATACTGCTGGTGGAAATGTAAACTAGTATAGCCAATATGGAAAACAGTGTGGAGATTCCTTAAAGAACTAAAAGTAGAACTACCATTTGATCCAGCAATCCCACCACTGAGTGTCTACCCAGAGGAAAAGAAGTTATTATACGAAAAAGATACTTCCACACGCATGCTTATGGCAGCACAATTTGCAACTGCGAAATCGTGGAACCCACCCAAATGCCCATCAATCAATGAGTGGATAAAGAAACTGTGGAATACTACTCAGCCATAAAAAGAAATGAATTAATAGCATTCACAGAGACCTGGTTGAGATTGGAGACTATTATTCTAGGTGAAGTAACTCAGGAATGGAAAACCAAAGATTGTATGATCTCACTGATATGTCAAGGCTAAGTTATGAAGAAGCAAAGGCATAAGAATGATACAATGGACTCTGGGGACTTGGGAGGAAGGGTGTGAGGGAGGTGAGGGATAAAAGACTACAAATAGGATGCAGTGCATACTGCTCAGGTGATGGATGCACCAAAATCTCACAAATCACCACTAAAGAACTTATGTAACCAAATACCACCCGTACCCCATTAACCTATGGAAAAAGAAAGTATGTATCTCCTTTTGAGGCATAAATTTAGAACTTAAACAGAGTTGCTTCTGCTGCAAGTGATTGTCCAAGGCAAGTCAAAAAACAACTCCAGATTCCATCTCTTGATGGGAAGAGATACAAAGTCATATTCCAAGACCTACACTTGGAAGCAAAAGACCAATATCTATTATCGTGAAAACACATGAAAGTATAAAACCCACTGGTACAGCAAACACACAAATGAGGGAGAGAAAAGACTCAAATGTTACTACTGCAGAAAACCACCAAACCACAATGATAAGCAATAAGAGAGAAAGAAAGGAACAAAGGATATACAAAACAACCAGAAACCAATAAATAGAATGACTGGAATAAGCTGTCACATATCAGCAATAACCTTGAATGTAAATGAATTTAATGTTTTACTTAAAAAATTATAGACTGAGGCCAGGTGCAGTGGCTCATGTCTGTAATCCCAGCACTTTGGGAGGCTGAGGCAGGAGGATTGCTTGAACCCGGGAGTTCATGACCAACTGGACAATATAGTGAGACCTTGTCTCTAAAAAAAATAAAAATAAAAAATGAAAAAATAAAAATGTAAAAATTAACCAAGCATGGTGGCATGAAATTGTAATCCCAGCTACTCAGGAGGCTGAGGTGAGAGGATTGCTTGAGCCAGGAGGCATAGGCTGCAGTGAGCCAAGACCATGCCACTGCACTCTAGCCTGGGCAATAGAATGAGACCTTGCCTCAAAATATATATATTTTGAAGGATGACTCTGACTAAATATATACAGTCAGAGAGACAGAGAATGAGAGAGAGAGACTAGCTGAATGGATTTTAAAAATTACTGAACTATATGCTGCCTATAAAAAAACTCATCTCACTTGTAAAGACACAAAATAGACCGACAAGAAAGGGATGGAAAGAGATAGTCCATGCAAATGGAAACCAAAAGTGAGCAGGATATACTTATATCAGAAAAAGCAGACTTTAAGTAAAAGACAGTAAAAAGAGACATTATACAAAAAAGAGCATTATATAATAATAAAGGGATCAATTCAGCAAGAGAATATAACAGTTCTAGGCCGGGCATGGTGGCTCACACCTGTAGTCCCAGCACTTTGGGAGGCCAAGGTGGACGGATCACCTAAGGTCAGAAATTTGAGACCAGACTGACCAACATGGTGAAACCCCGTCTCTTCTAAAAATTCAAGAATTAGCCAGGTGTGGTGGCACACACCTGTAATCCCAGCTACTCAGAAAGCTGAGGCAGGAGAATCACTTGAACCCAGGAGGCGGAGGTTGCAGTGAGCAGAGGTCACACCACTGCACTCCAGCATGGGCGACAGAGTGAGACTCCATCTCAAAAAAAGAGAGACAATATAACAATTCTAAACATATACAACACCAAAGCACTCATCTGAGTGCATGGAATGAAACTAAATATTATTAGATCTAAAGGGTGAGATAGACTTCAATGCAATAGTAGTGGGGGACTTCAACACCCTACTCTCAGCATTAGACAGATCATCTAGACAGAAATTAACAAAGAAATTTTGGATTTTAACTGTGTACTTTAGAACAAATGGACCTAACTAACATTTACAGAACATTGTACCCAACAGCCACAGAATATACATTCTTCTCATGAGCACATGGAACATTCTCCAGGATAGACCATATGTTAGGACACAAAACAAATCTCAAAAATTGTTTTTAAATTGAAGTCATATAAATTATATTCTCAGATCACAATGGAATAAAACAGAAATTGATAATAAAAGAAACTTTGGAAACTGTACAAATATATGGATATTAAACAACACGTTCTGGAATGACCACAGGGACAAGGAAGAAATTAACAAGGAAATAAATGAGTTAGTGTTTGTAAAGTGCTTTAAGCAGCAACTGCCACAGAAAGCCTATGTGTGTATGCTTATTTGTGTTTTTTGTTAAGTTTATCTTTCTCTTGTCTCCTGACTTCCCTGTCATGTTTCCTCGTGAAGCAAGGGATCAATCTCAATCAACTTTCCTTTTCCCATGAAAATTCCACCCATCCCTCAAGGTTCTGTTCAAACACTTCGTTTCCTCGTGACTCTTCCTTAAAACAGCGTCTCGCTTTGTTGCTCAGGCTGCAGTGCAGGGTGCAATCATGGCTCACTGCAGCCTCAACTTCCCAGGCTCAGGTGATCCTCCTACCTCAGCCCCCTGAGCAGCTGGGACTACAGGCATGTGTCACCACACCCGGCTAGTTTTTTGTATTTTTTGTAGAGATGAGGTTTCACCATGTTGCCCTGGCTGGTCTAGAACTCCTGGGCTGAAACAATCCACCCACCTAGGTCTCCCAAAGTACTGGGATTATAGGCATGAGCCACTGCACCTGGCCTTCCTTCTTCCTTTTAATCGATATTACTTTTTACCCCTTCTGTACTCCATCATCACTTTTTATTTCTCTGACAGCAGTTGTTATATTTTGCTTTGCATAGATTATATATTTCTTCATCCAAAAAATAATGAGCTCCTATTACATTCCAGACACTGGATATAAGGCGATGAACAAGATAGACAAACTAACTGGGTTTATCACCCTACAGTAGAGGTGTGTGTGTGTATGTGTATGTATATACATATCTTCTAGATTACACCTCCTGAAATCGGATTCACTTATCTTTCACATACCCTAGCCAGAGTAAGTACTCAAAAGCCATTCTTTGGGCTGGGCACAGTGGCTCATGCCTGTAATCCCAGCACTTTGAGAGGGCAAGGCGAGAAGATCACCTGAGGTCAGGAGTTTAAGACCAGCCTGGCCAACATGGTGAAACCCCATCTCTGCTCAAAATACAAAATTAGCCAGTTGTGGTCGTGCACGCCTGCAATCCCAGCTACTCAGGAGGCTGAGGCAGGAGAATCTCTTGAAACTGGGAGGCGGAGTTTGCAGTGAGCCAAGATCACGCCATTGCACTCTGGCCTGGGTGATAAGAGCAAAACTCCGTCTCAAAACAAACAAACAAACAAAACCCATTCTTTGGATTGAAATATATTGAACTGAACTTAGTCATGTTGAAGGTTATCAAATTGACAAGTTTCATTTGGGTTGCTAGTTAACTCTCTTGTTGGTTGCCTGTGACCAGGAAGGGAGCTAGATTGTCTTTAAACCTTCATCAGTGGCATCTCCTAAACCATCACTTCAAGATCTCCCTATTTAGGCTCTCAGTTTAAGCCAGACCTCATTTTCTCCAGCTAAATAAAGCCAAAACAGTCAGCTCCCAGAGCAAGTGTCACTTGTGGCTTTTCATAGAGTCTGTGGGAACAAAGCTGCTTCTCGTCCCTTTGTGCTGCTTCCCGTAAGATGAAATGTGTGTCCATGACTCAGAGCTATAATAGACCCACGGAGTTACTATCAGTGAGTGTGACATGACTGTGCTCTGACTCTGAAAATACCTTCAAGTCCTCAATCATATTTTCATGGTACTATGCTTCTAGGACCTCTGCTATGGAGTTTGAGAAGTCAGTGTAGCACAAGATAAAAACAAACTAAATCATAAAATAAATGTAAAAAAAACTCATGTTCTGATTCTCCCCATGATGACTGTTTTTAATAACAGAAATGATCAAATTCTGGCGGGGCGTGGTGGCTCACGCCTGTAATCCTAGCACTTTGAGAAACCGAGGTGGGTGGATCACCTGAGGTCAGGAGTTCGAGACCAGCCTAGCCAACATTGTGAAACCCTATCTCTACTAAAAAACAAAAATTAACTGGGCATGGTGGCAGGAGCCTGTAATTCCAGCTACTTGGGAGGCTGAGGCAGGAGAATGGCTTGAACCCGGGAGGCAGAGGTTGCAGTCAGCTGAGATCATACCACTGTACTCCATCCTGGGTGACAGGGTGAGACTCTGTCGAGAGAGAGAAAGAAATCAAATTCTTTCAAAATGTTTTTCTCATATTTTATGAGTGGTATTGGAAGGACCCTAAGTACCTGTATAATCTATGTATTTGATACCCTAGAATGGGGCCAAGTATCATTGTTACTCATATTTAACAAAACAAAGGTAGAGAAATAGGCAAGCTAAGGGGTTTAACCAAGATCCCAATGTTAGTTAGTGGCTAAACTGCAATTCCAGATTTGCATTTTGCACTCTCTCCCAATAGATTGTACTGTACAAATACCAAAGGGTGTGTGTGATGTGTATTTGTTGGGATCAGGGATGGAAACTATCTACAAATAACATGGTAGCCGGGTGCGGTGGCTCATGCCTGTAATCCCAGCACTTTGGGAGGCTGAGGTGGGAAGATCATGAGGTCAGGAGTTTGAGACCGGCCTGGCCAACATAGTGAAACCCCATCTCTCTAAAAATACAAAAATTAGTCGAGCATAGTGACACGCACCTGTAGTCCCAGCTACTCAGGAGGCTGAGGCAGGAGAATCACTTGAACCTGGAAGGCGGAGGTTGTGGTGAACCAAGATCACGCCACTGCACTCCAGCCTGGGCAAAAGAGCAACACTCTGTCTAAAAAAAAAACACTGACTAAATCTGACCATCTGACCCAAGGAAGGCTGGGACTCAGAAGGCCCAGGGTGACACACTCTCTGTGGACAGTTGCTATGGAGAATATACATTCCAGGGAGAGTCACATAAAGGTCCCTGAGACTTGGAATCTCAGAGTGAAGCACCACCCACAGAGTGCCTTAAACCAGACATGGAGACGTTTCTCCCATAATTACCATGGGGCAAGTCTTCCTCTGTTGCAACGGAAGTGGTGCAGGATTCAGAGTTGCTTTTCAGGCTGGGGAGGCAGAAAAAGTATCAGTCCATCTGCTGTGTCTCATACAGGCATCCAGAAGAGAGTGTGAAAGAGATGGCAAGCGGTTTATTCATAGAGGGCAAGTTTTCAGTTTCACAGATGGATGATAAAACAAATCTGAATGCAGTCTTACAAATCTTAAAGAGTCTTAAGAGCTGATGTTTGCAGCCCAAGCTGGGGGAATATGGAGCCTCCAAAGTAATATAATCTTGATCAGATATATGTTCTTTCACCAGTTATTAATTATCAGGATGTCAATAACAGGACTTGACTGAAGAAGTCCCAAGAGCTTCTTGTTCTTGCATTAGTTAATGCAGGTATTTATTTTCCAAAATTTTTATTTCAACACCGCCATCTAGTGTACAGTTTCCTGATTTTTACCAAGCCTCAGGGTATCTGTTCAAGTGGGTGTTATTCAGTTCTTAGGAGGAGCAATATTCTCTAGCTTGGAAAGATGTCTATGACATTTCACTAAGTGCAAAAAAGCAAATTACAAAATGATATGTACTATGTGGTTCAATACATGCAGACTACACGTATGTATTTGTGCAAACTTTTTCATATGTGTATATGCATAAAGATCTGGAAAGGAGGCTGGGCGCCGTGGCTCAGGCCTATAATCCCAGCACTTTGGGAGGCTGAGGTGCGTGAATTACTTGAGGCCAGGAGTTCAAGACCAGCCTGGCCAACATGGCAAAACCCCAGCTCTACTAAAAATACAAAAATTAGCAGGATATGGTAGTGCCTGCCTGTAGTCCCAGCTACTTGGTGAGGCTGAGATGGAGGATCACGTGAGCCTGGGAGGCGGAGGTTGCAGTGAGCTGAGATAGTGCCACTGTACTCCAGCATGGGTGACAGAGAAAGACTCTGTCAAAAAAATAAAATAAAGATCTGGAAAGATATTCTCTAAATTGTTGATAGTGATTGTCTCTGGTTGGGAGAATTGGGGGAATTTTTTTGTTACTTATTCTTATCTGTTCAGTTTTTCATAATTGATCATTGACATATATAGGGTGAAAACTTAATTTTTAAAAAGATCAAAGGAGCCCCCAAGGTGAGAATCCACCCAAAAAAGATTATTTTCTAAGGCAATTATATTCAACAGTTATTTATTGAACAGCTACTATGTACAATGTATCCTCCTTTTTTTTGTTTTTGTTTTTGTTTCTTTGGTCTTTTTCCTTCTGTTACAATGTTTTCTTTTGATCTTCAAATATACCAACAAAGTAAGATAAACCCCTCTACCATAATACCAGCTACCATTTAATGAGTGTTCACTGTGTGTTAAGCATTGTGCTGAGCACTTTGCATTCTGAATCTTAATTCTGGAGGTGAAACTACTGAGGTGAGAATACTAAGGCTCAGAGAGGTCAAGTAGCTTACCCAAAGTCCCAAAGGATATATGGGATTTAAATACAGAATACAAGTATTTTTCCAAAGCCTGAACACTGGACAACTACACAATTACACAATTCCCAATTCCCCTCCAATTTTTTTTTTTTTTTTTTTTTTTTTTTTTTTTTTTTTTTGACAGAGTGTCCCTCTGTTGCCCAGGCTGGAGTGCAGTGGCAGAATCTCGGCTCACTGCAACCTCCACCTTCTGGGTTCAAGTGATTCTCCCACCTCGGCCTCCCAAGTAGTTGAGATTACAGGCACTTACCACCATGTTAGCCTAAATTTTGTATTTTTAGTACAGATGGGGTTTAACCATGTTGTCCAGGCTGGTCTCGAACTCCTGACCTCAGGCAATCCGCCCTCCTCAGCCTCCCAAAGTGCTGGGATTACAGGTGTGAGTCACCACGCCTGGCCCTTCCCCTTCAACTTTCTAAGAAATTCCCTTGGCCCAGCATGGTGGCTCACACCTGTAATCCCAGCACTTTGGGAGGCCAAGGCGGGCAGATCACCTGAGGTCAGGAGTTCGAGACCAGCCTGGCCAACATGGTGAAACCCCATCTCTACTAAAAATACAAAAATTAGCTGGGTGTGGTGGCGGGCGCCTGTAGTCTCAGCTACTCGGGAAGCTGAGAATCGCTTGAACCCAGGAGGCGGAGGTTGGAGTGAGCCAAGATGATGCCACTGTACTCCAGCCTGGGCGATACAGCAAGACTCTGGAAAGAAAAAAGATAAGAAGGAAAGAAAAAAGATAAGAAAAAAAGAAAAGGTGAGAAATGAACTATCAGAAATGCCTAAAGAAACCAAAGAACAATGGAATATAGATGGGATATAGTTGATTCACTAAAGGAGGCTTTCACTACTAAACTGCTGATGACTTACCCACTATCACAGATGCCCCTTGGCTAGGAAGGAGCTGGCCTAAAAACTCCACCCTGAGGATTCTCCAACACACATTTCCTAGGTTAGACCAGATATTATGTCAAGCAGGTAATGGAGGACTGATTCAGTAGTGATTTAGCATTGGAGTTTTGCTGGGCAAGATGTGGGTACAAGCAAATGGTGTAGGTGGAATGGAAGAAGTCCAAGCAATCAACCAGACTCCAAGCAGGGTAGAGAGAAGAAAAAGTACTCAAGAAGGGGGGAAAAGTCAACGTTCTTAAAGAATAAGAGTTCAGGGGAGTATACAAAATGGCTGTGCTGGGTTTGAAGAGGCGGATTGTGCTCAGCATCTGGAATACGCGAATTTAAGATAGGGAAAGCACTTCTGAGTGGTAACAAACTTTAGAGGTAATATGGGAGTAGCTGCTAGAGAGAAATTAAGGTAACCGTCATTGGCATTAAGGAGATAAAGAAGTTATGAGGTTCAAGGGGAATTGGCCATGAATCATTCAAGTGATGGAGGAAGCTGGGTGGGAAACCTATAAGCCAAGTTTCAAAGTCTTTACTGAAGACTGGAGAGTGAATAAGAGGCAGAAGTGGACAATATCAAGAGACAAAAGGTATAAAACTAGACATGATTGGAGACACGTGGGGAAGAGCAGGAGAGACGTGAGGGATAAAAGACTACACATTGGACCAGATGTGGTGGCTCACGCCTGTAATCCCAGCACTTTGGGAGGCCGACGCGGGTGGATCACGAGGTCAAGAGATGGAGACCATCCTGGCCAACATAGTGAAACCCCCATCTCTACTAAAAATACAGAAATTAGACGGGCGTGGTGGCGGGCACCTGTAGTCCCAGCTAGTCGGGAGGCTGAGGCAGCAGAATCGCTTGAACCCGGCAGGCGGAGGTTGCAGTGAGATGAGATCGCACCACTGCACTCCAGCCTGGGCGACGGAGTGAGACTCTGGTCTCAAGAAAAAAAAAAATTACACACTGGGTACAGTACATTGCTAGGGTGCACCCAAATCTCCAAAATCCCCAGTAAAGAATTTATTCATGCAACCAAACACTACCTGTTCTCCCAAAAACCTATTAAAATAAAATTTTTTTAAAGATTACAGAACTATTAAGTGATAGATTCTGCCACTAAAGCATACACAATTAGCTAATGTATTAGAATCCCTTAGAACACAAGCCTCCTTAAAAAAAAAAAAAAAAACTAAATATGAAACAGGGAGATAATAAACTAAAATTCACAGCTGTATTATTGGAAATACATTTTATGGTTGTGAGAAAATCACAAACTAATTTTTCCATTGGGCAAAATTGAAATAATACCATTGGAAACAAATTTTATCACCATGGCAATAAAGCACAAATAGCTATTAATCCCCATCAGAGAAAAGATTTCTGGTAGGTGTTAGGCTTTTAAAGAACAATCGTCAGATTTTTATTTCTAATTTATTTCCCACACAATGTGGATGTATTTTTCTTATATTTTAAAATTTATTAGATTTTTCAAACCTGATAGTTTATTCTTAAGTGTGAATCATCCTAATAATGTAGTGAAATGACCCAGATAAATTTATGGGTTGTTTTTTCTCTTTTTCAGCAAGGAAGGTACTAGAAAACTGCCATAGATGTATTGAGCACATCATCTTTTCAAAAGGGAATAGGATAGCTTAGATTCATTAAAAACAGTCATTGCTCCAGAATTTTATATGAATATATTAGAATCTCTTGGGGGCATCTCCTCTAAAAAGATCAGTATTAAGAGTTGCATCCTGGCTGGGCACAGTAGCTCGTGCCTGTAATCCCAGCACTTGGGAGGGCAATGCGGGCGGATCACCTGAGGTCAGGAGTTTGAGACCAGCCTGGTCAACATAGTAAAACCCCATCTCTACTGAAAATACAAAAAATTAGCCGGACATGGTGGCACGCACCTGTAATCCAAGCTACTTGGGAGTCTGAGGCAGGAGAATCGCTTGAACCCAGGAGGTGGAGGTTGCAGTGAGCCGAGATTGCCCACTTCACTCCAGCCTGAGTGAAAGAGCGAAACTCGGTCTCAAAAAAAAAAAAAAAAAAAAAAGTTGCATCCCTTAGGAGGGTTGATGGTCTTGCTTTGGTAGAGGAAGAGAGGATATTCTGTGTTTTGAGGATTGAACATTTTAAAATTATTTGACCCCTAAAGATGCAAACACCTGGCCAGGTGCGGTGGCTCACGCCTGTCATCACAGCACTTTGGGAGGCTGAGGCGGGCGGATCACTTGAGATCAAGAGTTCAAGACCAGCCTGGCCAACATGGTGAAACCCCATCTCCATTAAAAATAAAAAAAAATTATCCGGGTGCTGTGGCGGGCGCCTATAATCCCAGCTACTCGGGAGGCTGAGGCAGGAGAATTGCTTGAACCTGGGAGGCGGAGGTTGCAGTGAATCGAGATCACGCCACTGCACTCCAGCCAGGCAGACAGAGCAAGAGTCTGTCTCAGAAAAAAAAAAAGATGCAAACTCCTGGGCAGGAAAAAAAGTCAATCGTTCTGGGCAGTAGACACTTAAATCAGTCCTTTTAAGTGCCTAAGTCCAGCTGATGCTTTAAGGGATGACTGCATATAAATTAAAATGCTAAGTATAACCAGGCATGATGGTTCATGCCTTTTGTCCCAGCAATGTGGGAGGCTGAGGCAGGAGGATCACTTGAGCCCAGGAGTCCAAGACCTGCCTGGGCAACACAGTGATACTGTTATCTCTATAAAAAAAAAATCTGGCCGGGTGCGGTGGCTCACACCTGTAATCTCAGCACTTTGGGAGGCCGAGGCAGGTGGATCACCTGAGGTCAGAAGTTCAAGACCAGCCTGGCCAACATGAAGAAACCCCATTTCTACTAAAAATAAAATTAGCCAGGCGTAGTGGTGCATGCCTGTAATCCCAGCTACTTGGGAGGCTGAGGCAGGAGAATCACTTGAACCCAGGAGGTGGAGGTTGTGGTGGGCTGAGATCACGCCATTGCACTCCAGCCTGGGCAACGGGAGCGAAACTTCGTCTCAAAAAAAAAAAAAATTTAGTCAGGTGTGATGATGCACATCTGTGACCCTAGCTACTCAGGAGGCTGAGGTGGGAGGATCACTTGAGTCCAGGAGGTCAAGGCTGCAGAGAACTGTAATCACATCACTACACACCAGCCTGGGCAACAGAGAAAAAATGCTAAGTATTAGGTACTGGAACATGTGTAGCTAAGCTTCAGCAGGTTTTTATTCATTCTCTCTTTTTGTGTGGCGCAGGGGTGGGAGGCAAGTTCTTGCTCTGTCACTAGGCTGGAGTGCAGCGGCATGATCACAGCTCAGTGCAGCCTCGGCCTCCCAGGCTTAAGGGATTCTTCCCACCTCAGCCTCCTGAGTAGTTGGAACTACAGGTAAGCACCACCACACCTAGCTAATTTTGTATTTTTTTGTAGAGACAGGGTCTCACCATGTTGCCCAGGCTGGTCTCAAACTCCTGGGCTCAAGAGATCACTTATCTGGCCGGCATTTCTAATAGTTCCCTGGGTAGCAGGCCTGTGTCAGGGAAGTGACCAAAATCTGGAGCCCACAGTGGAACTGTAGTATGGCCAAAAAATAATTTTTTTTGACAGGGTCTTGGTCTGTCACTCAGGCTGGAGTGCAGTGGTGTAATTAGGGCCCACTGTAGCCACAACCTTCTAGGCTCAAACAATCCTCCCACCTAAACTTCTCAAGTAGCTGGAACTATAGATGTGTGCCACCATGCCCAGCTAATTTTTTATTTTTTGTATCTCACTATGTTGCCCAGGCTGGTCTTGTACTCCTGGGCACAAGCAGTCCTCCCACCTTGGCCTCCCAAAGTGCTGGGATTACAGGTATGAGCCACCATGCCCAGCCAGCCAAAAATTAAATCTTGTTTTAAGCCAATAAGATATTTGGTGTTGTTTGTTATAGTAGCATAACCTAATTCTATCCTGCCTGGTACAAGCCTTCATTTCCTCATTGGTTAAATGGAGATATAAATAGTATATGCCTCCTTAAGATGTGAAGTTTATATAAGACAATGTATGTTTTTAAAAAACAGTCCATTGCCAGGCACATACTATTGTTAGATCAATGAGAGTTATGAAAGGGAAGTGAAAAAGCATCACCCTAGATCATCCAGCTTTTTAATGATAGAACCTGTTTCTTCAATCCTAAGCAGTCGTCTGCAGAGTCTGTAAGAGTGTGAATCATCTACTCAGATATGCAGATTCTGGCTCCCAAATATAGTCATTTTCACAAACATTCATGTTAACACCGGAATAATCATATGTTCCTCTCACTCCCCTTCTATTTACTTTGTCATTTGTCAATAGCATGTGTTCCAACCATAGAAAATATAACCTATTGAATTAAGCTTTCCTTTTTCTAAATAGGAGTAGCACTTCCTCATCAAGCATCTTCTAAAATTCTTTGTTCTGTCCCATTTACGTTATGCCAAGAAAGACTTCCTGGAAAAGATTAATATGCAATTTAGAGATATCATATTTGGGCAATGTCTTGAATATTAAATCACTTTTTGCTTTGTTACATGGTAGGATTATTACTACTTACCCAAACAAAAAGTAGTGATTCACAAGTTTAGGATCTGATAGAACATAGGAAAAAGCATAGTTAATCAACAAATACAAATGCAATATTACTGAGTTCCTGTTATTTTTAAGGCTTTATGTTTGGTTCTATGTTGAATATGTAAAAAGTGTTTGTTTCTGACCTTTCCCATTCCATTGAGATTTTGATACACTGCAAAGCAGAATAAGGCATGTCTTGGTCCATTCACACTGCCATAACAAAAATACTATAGATTAGCTGGCTCATGAACAACAGAAATTTATTTCTCACAGTCCTGGAGGCTGGGAAGTCCAAGATCAAGCTGCCAACAGAATCCATGTCTGGTGAAGTCACTCTTCCTGGCTTGTAGATACACTGTGTCCTCTCATGGTGTAAGAAGGAATGAACTTTCTGGGTGTTCTGTTATAGCAGCATAAATGGAAAAAGACAGCATGGAAACCCCAGCTACTAGCACTACAAGTTCTCTACATCACACATTGTGTACAGACTGTGGCCTCCCCAATGGGCAGGCAGTGAATGTAATAGCTGATTGAGTGAGGCATATATGGAACCATCTGAATGCTTGTTTATGGTCAGTTGGAGCTAATAATTGTTCAAATGGCCTCTTAAAATTGGTACGAATTCTTTCATTTCCTTCTCCAAAAGTGTTCACATTTTAAATTAAGATTGCTGGAAGAGGCCGGGTGCAGTGGCTCACACCGGTAATCCCAGCACTTTGGGAGGTCAAGGAGGCAGATCACCTGAGGTTGG